>NC_000002.12:54432776-54735806 GCF_000001405.40 Homo sapiens
ACACGACACGACCTCTGTGGATCAGCAGCTGTTTCCTTTGCTCAGCAACTGAACAGCCCATTCCCTCTTTGTTTCAACTTTGCAGGGGATCACCAATGGGGAGCTGAGATACTAAAGCTCTCCATGGGAATGAAAGTTAAGAAGGGCACCAGGGAGGCCACTGGCACACAGGTGAGCATCAAGCCTCCTGACCCCGACCTTCCATAGCATCCTCTTCTCAAGGACCCATTGCAGGCAGGTTCTCCCTGTGTCCCCGTGCCCTATGGACACATTTTATTTTAGGAATATTCTCCTCCTTATTCACATTAGGGCACCAGTAAGAGGAGCATACAGTATTATATCTCTCTCAAATATTTTTATTTAAAAAATGCTGAAGAAAGCCCTAAGCCAAAGAAAATTAGAATCTACCTGTGCGATTTCAGACAACAGTCAGAAGTTGGAGAGGATTTTTGTCAGGGTGTGGTCCTAAGGAATGACAGGCCCTTTACAAAGTCCCTCTCATCTCAGAATCCATTTATTCAACCTAAATGTTTCCTTCCAATGCTTTCATGTATGATGTTAGGGATCTGCGTGTTCATAGGCTTCACTGCAGTTTGGGGCCGGCTACACAGCCATTCCCTGGGGCCCACGACCAGTGACTACTAAATCCCTGTGCCATGGTTTCCATCGAAGTTTTTGCTTCGGAGTTCTCTTTTCCTCGTGGCCAAAGCTTCAAGGCCTGTGCACAGTCATAAAATGGTGCCCTGACCACCTTTCATTTGCATTTTGTGGTTTTGACCACATATGTGCACTCATATACCATAGGAATGGGATTATTTTTACATGTAGAAAAATGCCAGAGTGAGGAAAAGCAGCGCCACAGTGTTGCCAATGAGGGTACACCTGCTTTGACTGGCTTGAGCTGTGCCTTTGTTTTTAAGGTCATATTTGATGCAGGACATAAATACATAAGTTGGTTTGTATGCTTTACTGAACAAGCCCAGAAATAAGTTATCAACATCCTTGTGACATTTTTTTCTTTATTTCTTTTTTTTTTTTTCTGAGACAGGGTCTCCGTCTGTAACCCGGGCTGGAGTGCAGTGGCGCGAACACGGCTCACTGCAGACTCGACCTCCTGGGATGGGATCTCATCATGTTGCCCAGCCTGGTCTCCAATTCCTGGACTCCTCCCACTTTGGCCTCCCAAAGTGCTGGGATTATAGGTGTAAGCCACCTCACCCACCCATGACATTGCTTAAAGAAAGTAGTTGTTATGTGTGACTGGTAACCATTTTTTCAAGAGTTAAACATCTGAGCTATCTAAATTCCACTGCAAAGTATGAAAAGCAAATTAAGTAATCATGACACAATCACTCAAATCAGAAGAATGAGGAGTGCAGTAGGTTTTTTTTTTTTTAAACGGGTGTGGGTAGGGAAACATCAAACCTGATGGTCAAAATTCAGTCAAAATCTCCAGCCATTGAACGTTTTTAGGAGATCAGTGATACCGCATACAGGTGATTGGTTGGGATGATTATCCTTGTGGTACAATCGAATTAACATGTATTTGGTTGCCGACTGTTTGCTGGGTAGGACAGAGTGAGTATGGAAGTCTGGGGTGTGGGGAGGGCATTCTAAGTATGTGCTCTGGGTGTGTCCATGAAGCAGAGCTGTTTGTCTCAACTTTCTGTTCATGAAGCCTGGTTAGTTGGACAGCTGCTGAGGGGTTGAACCAAAGGGTATGACAGTCAATATGTTTCATCTATGAGACCTAATTTCAATGAATGTTTCAGTGGTATAAGAAGCCATATTCTATGCCAGGTCTCCTCTGCTCAGAAGAAAACAGAGATATTGTTAGTTTATTTCCCATGAAGGAAAAGTTTTGATTCCACCTTGAATGTACTTTTGTTTGTTTGTGGAGCTGTTTCCTGTTTTCTCTTATCAAAATATTTCAGCTGTAGCTTAACAAATTGAGAGGGTATAGGAGCTTCTGTCCCAACCAAGTCAGATGAGCATGCTTAATCACAGCTTTGAAGCAGATCCACTATTTTAGCGAATAGAACACTTTTTTAAAAAAGGGAAAAATATTTTTATTCCATTGAGTATCTTTGATTGGAAAAAAATGCACATGGAATGAATAGCAAGGAAGAAGCAAAGTTAATATAGCTCTATTATGTAACAACCAAAACAGTTGCCATGTAACATTTCTATGTTTCCTTTTATAAATAATATACATGGTGTTTTTTCTTTGAATATGCATTTATACCTAAGTCCAGCAGCAGCCAAGCCTTCAAGCCCTAAGGCAGGTCATCGATTTTGGCCCTTTTAAAGAGATTTTACATATCTCTGCTCAGTGCCATTATGTGTTGATTTCATAGTTTAACGGTTACAGAGTGTGTCTATTTCTCTAATTCCCGTTTAGTGTCTGTGTGCATATATTTCTCTATTTCCTATTTCTTCGCTTTGTTAGGGGCTCAGGGTGGATAGTTTACTTTTACCCTCACGGACCACCTGTACATGTGAAATCAAATTCTGAGAAAATATATTCTAGCTCCTCCAAAGCTACATATGAAAATGTTTTATTATTGGAAACTGAATATATTTCAGTTTTCTAGCAAATATAGCTTTGGGGGCTTGAAAGTTGAGGTCTTTTTTCCTCCTGTTTCTTTCTACAGAGCAGTCAATAGTATTGAACAAGAAAAAGCTGCATGACTTTTAGACCAGAGGAGTGAGGACAGCACTTAGAGGAGGTAAGAGAGTTCATCACGCGTTCTACATTGAGCTGACAGCAATGTACCTAGTGCATCCAATTAACTAATCTTTAATTTTTGTACCAGGCACACAGCCAACACGTCCAGTTAACCAGGATAAATGATTTAAAAGAACTTTGTAAAAATGCTGAACATAATTTGCTATCACCAAATATAGGAATCTCTGAAGCCAGCTGTCTTGCTCATATGAAATGCAATGACAAGATCCAAATTGTGAGAAAAGGAATCCAACTTGGTTGGAACAGGAAAGAAACAAAAACAAAGAACCTCTGGCCCAGAGTCATTTCTGTTTGGAAAAATTTCTGAAGATTAAACTTAGGCCCTGAGTGCACCTAACAGTGCAATCTGCAGGCTGCCAACGCGTAGCCGTGGAACTAAATCCAGCAGCTCAAGGTGAGAGAAAATTAAGTGGATAGAGTCTACCTCCTTAAGATACTCTTCTTATCAGAGCTTCCTGAGACCTTCCAGAGTGATGAGTTCCAAATTACGTACAGCCATAGGAAAATAAATATTTGGCCAGCTGTAGACATTGGATTTACTTATCTGTAGCCTATTTCTAGCTTCAGAACAATTTCTACTTCTACCTTATAATCCACCACAGCCCAGGAGTTTAAGGATCTTTTATTAAAGTATCTTCACGTAGTTTATTTTTTGAAACAAAAATTACCACTAAGAAAATATTTTTTAAAAATACTCTCCAATTATACATAGTGTACATGTGTATGTGTATAAATACATAACATATATTTTACTTTCACACAGAGGTTAAAATCAAGTCAGTGCCCTGGTCTACTCCCTATGTGGAAAGTTCAGAGAGAAGGGTCTGAACATGGCTTTTTCCTAAGTTTGTTATATTCCTTGGAACATGTTTCACAGGATGTTACTTAGGGCTCCAATTGACTGGACAAAATAATCATTACACATACAGAAAAGAAATTACTAATTTCTTTAATATAAAAATGTATCTTACAAATCAATAAGAAAAGATAACTCTATAGGAAAATAGGCAAAGGAAATATCCAGGCAGTTCAGGAAGAGGAACAAAAAGCAGGAAATCAACATGTGAAAACATACTCCACCTTGCTTGTAGTTTAAAAATTCAAATTCAAATGATGATGAGACAGAAATTTTCACTTCCAGTTGGTACAGATTTTTTCTTTTTTTTTAAGACAGAGTCTCCCTCAGTCACCCAGGCTGGAGTGCAGCAGCCTAGGATCTTGGCTTACTGCAACCTCCATCTCCCAGGTTCAAGCAATTCTCCTGCCTCAGCCTCCTGAGTAGCTGCGACTATAGGCACCCCCCACCATGCCCAGCTAATTTTTGTATATTTTCAGTAGCGATGGGGTTTCACCATGTTGGCCAGGGTGGTCTCGAGCTCCTGACTTCAGGTGATCCATCCACCTGGGCGTCCCAAAGTGCTGGGATTACCAGTGTGAGCCACCGCACTCAGTCAGATTTTTAAAAGAGGTAAAACCAGGATAAGATATGAGAAAACAGTCGTTTCATACATTGTTCATAAGTGTATAAATTGATATAATGTTTTGTGTTGGCAATGTTGCAATACTTATTAAAATTGAACCCCACATTTTACTTCTACTGTAGAAGTAATTATAGTAGTAACCTATAGAAAACATTCCCCTAAGTACACAAAGACAAATGTACATGAATGATGTACATAGTTCCTAACAGCTAAACACTGGAAACAAACCTCTGAAAAGAATTTGGTAGATCTATATGTACTTACACAGAAAGGGTTCCAAGATACAGCAACATGTAAAAAGAGCAAGTTATAAAAATGATTTAGAAAATGATTCAATTTTTGTTATATGCAGAGGAAAAAAAATCTAGTGTCATATAGACTAAAATATAAATACTAGCTATTTCTGGGGGTTGGCATTTTGGAGTACCTTCCATTTCTATCTCATGTTATTTCTGTAATATTTGATCATATACTAAGGGTAAAAGAAAAACAATTTAAAAAATAACAGTATGAACATCACTTACATAGCTTTCTTGCCAACCCCCAGAAATAGCTAGATTAGATTCAGGATCATGTTAAATCTGAAGCTAAACATGAGGAAACAACAATCAGATAAATCCAGATTGTGTGAGATGCTGCAAGATAACTAACCTGGACTCCTAAAATGTGTCAATGTCATGAAAAATGAAAAGAGTCATGGAGACTGTTCTAGATTACAAACAACTAAAGAGACCTGACAATGAAACACAATATGTGATATCTGACTGGATTCTAAATTTAGACACACATGAAAAAACATTATAAAGGACCTTCATGGAACACAACTGCATGGGTGACTCTACATGACAGAATAGTATTTCTAGGATCATATTTTGGGAAATGCTGGGATAGAAAATGTCCCTTTAACTGAAGCTTATTGTGACCCTTCATGCTAGATGTTCCTATATTTTTTTTTCTTATTTAATCCTGGTAATTTACAGAAGAAGATGATGATTTTCTATCAAACTTAAACTCTAATTATTACTCTGATTGTTGAGAGATGCCAATATATTCATTTCTAGAATATCTTACCTGGTTTATAGATTTTTCAATTAGTGCTTAGATACCAACTGTAATTTATTATCAAGTTGGGGAATTTCTGAGCTGTAGGGGATCTTAGAGGAATTGTGGGATCAACCCTTATCATTTTACAGATGAGCAAAGGAACTCCGATGGGCTATGTGACTTACAGATATTTAATTAGGAGAACCGGCTTTGGAAACCTAGCCTCCAAATTCAGTAGTCTTACCATAAAACTATTATGATTTACTTACCCTTGCTGAATGCCAGCAGTGGACAAGGCATCATAACGGCCTGCCCTAAGGCACCCTTCTGCCGGAAAGAGGCTCAACACTTGAGGAGGAATTGCATGACAATCTTCAGGGAGCAAGAGCATCCAACTCCCCGCACTTCTAATCATGCAGGCAGTCTGCCGAGTCCACGTTGCACTAAGGCATGCCCTTTGCCTGACTTGTTTGTTACATAAGAAAGCACTAGGAGTTCGAGCCAATACTCTTTTTTCTTTAAAAAAAAAAAAAAAAGACAAAAGACAAAGCAAACTGACTGCTTATGGAAGATGGATCACAAAAGAGTCCTAAGTCCTTTCCTTATCCTCCTAATAAACGTTTCCCTCACAACATATTTCCAGTAGGCCTCAATCCATCTGGTAGAATGATGGGGGAGATTAAATCATTTGTTCTTTATAAAATGTGTGTAACACTTTCTCAACTACACTAAGACTCCAGATTTATACAACCCTCATTTTATATCTCCCTCTGAGAATAACCTCCTGATTTACAGGATTTAAAGAAGTCAAAAGCCCTTCTCCCTAAAGCAATTTTCTTCACTGGCTTATACCCATTCTTTTTTTAGATGGAGTCTCTCTCTGTTGCCCAGGCTGGAGTGCAGTGGTGTGATCTCAGCTCACTGCAACTTCTGCCTCCCAGGCTCAAGCAATTCTCCCTAATTTTTGTATTTTTAGTAAAGACCGGATTTCACTATGTTGGTCAGGCTGGTCTTGAACTCCTGACCTCAGGTAATTGGTCTGCTTCGGCCTCCCAAAACGCTGTGATTACAGGCATAAGCCACCATGCCTGTCCTTATACCCACTCTTTAGGAGGCCAATGGAATGCCCCCCAATGATGATAGTAAAAGGGTGACTTCCCTTGTTGAGGGGGTAGGACAGGCACAGGGCTCTTGAGAGCACAGAGAGCCACAAAGGTGACCAAGACCAAGGTTTGTAGAGGTAAGTCCAAGTCTAAATAGCTGGAAAAGCACATGCAACCTCAAATCTGGAGACTACCAAGATTGTGGTCGTGAATCGAGGGTTTGGAATTGAATGGAAATGGGTTGGCTGCACAGACAGGTCAGGGCCAGGCAAGACTGTCTTGGAAAATAGCCCCAGATTCTAGCTGGCATGTGTCGTTTGCCATGTGTGGTTGGCAGGGTCTTGTGTCTCGAATTGGCTGATGTGGCCAGGATCAGGTGGGACCAGAAGAGCCACTGCACGATCAGTGAACTACTGTTGAGATCTCCAGGGCCTGAGTTAGGGTCTGGAGTGAAAACTGGATCCCCACATTCAGGGGGTCAGCAGGGTGTGAGGTCAAAGGTAAACCCATTGTTGGTCTAATAATCAAATTTGACAAATCAAAAGAGGAGTAAGAATCCAAGCATGAAGCCACGGAGAGCAGGCAGCCCAGGCAGCCAACCTTAGAAGTGTGTAGTGCAGGGCTGGGGTGGAGAGGGGTTGGGAGGATGCCAGGCCCAAAGAGTAGATGGTACAGCCACTTTTCATCGTGTTCCTGCTGTTCCGAATGGGGACGTATCTGTGTCATTAAAATACCACTGGACATTTGTTTACTCTGTTTCTTTGCAATTAACTGAGAGTATGAAGTAGAAAGGAGAAGTTTGCTTATGGGGAGAGTATGTTTGTGTTGACAGGAAGTCCTATGGGAGCCCTTCAGAGTTTCAAACATGCAGTCATTTTTCTGTGCCGGGGCAGGAAGAAGCAGGGGATATGGCCGAAAGGACTGCTCCTTGATTAGCCATACTGAGTTCTCCAACTGACTAGTTGGAGATCCATGGATCAGATCAGGTGCTTGCAATTTGGAGAGGGTATGTAAAGTTCCTACACTCAAGTTCTAACAGCTCAGTTCAGACACATTTATGCTTAAGCCCCAAGGAAGGGAACCAGGAAGCCCGAGTACTAGAGAAGGCTATGTTCCCAGCATGAAAGCCTGAGAAGACTGAGTGCCAACAGCACAGGGAAGAAAGAGAGAGTGAACCCCAAGGGTGCTCCCAGGCCTACTCAGAGAAGAGGGTAGATGGTGGGGTCCAGCTCACAGGATGCCAGTGTGCCCCTCTTTACCCCAGCCTCAACCACAATAGCTCAGCTTTTGTCTGTGTCACATAATGGGTTCTCTGTAACTTTCAATCGGCTTTAGATCACTTGAAAATGACCACCCTGTACCAGCAATGCCAAATGCCATCCCCATCTTAGCTCTGAGTTGGTTGCCATGTCAGACCCTCTCCTCAAGGGATTTACAATCTCTCTGGAAAGCCCAGGTTTATGCAATGGCAAAAAGGAGACAACAATATAGGATGGGTCTTAAGTGAATGCTAAGTGATATGTTACAGGCTGCAAGTGACTCAGAGTTAACAGAAAAAAAGAGATCCATTGGTTGTGGGGTATGGCAGGATATGTCAAAAAGGAAAGAAATTTCTACAAAAAAAAAGTGGAACTTGAGCTGAGCCTTAAAAGGAGGAGAAGATTTGAAGAAATGGGGAGGGCATCCCAAGCTTTGGGAAGAGCATGAACAAAGGTGTACAGACAGGAATACTTAAGGCCAGTTTAGGAAACAGTAAATTTAAAAACATATGGATGATTGACAGCATATTCCATTTTTAAAATTACTTATTCAGACTCTATCCTGAGCAAGAACAATTTCCTGTGGTTTATAAATAGGCCCCAGTTATTTTAGTAGAACTGTAACACTGGTGATCATTCATGAAATGTTCCATGGAGACTTCAGTTTTCCAAGGGCCAGGAGAAAATGTATAAATGCGTAAGAAATGGTCCAGAACATGAAACACCATCGGTAAAACCTAATACAAGGTTGCTGCAGAAACTTTCTTTTCCTAACAAGGTACTTATCTCCTTCTCCCTTCTTCCCTCCTAGATTTGTTCCAGATTTACTATGCAAAATGCCTAAGGTTTTTGAAAGAACTAGAATAGAAATTGGGAGATAAAGAAATAGGCACAAGAGATGATGTCATTTGTTTAAGCTCACAGGGAAGGCAGTGCCAGGGTTGCAATTCAGGATGCCCATCTCAAGTTTCCTTTAACTGATGATCTTGAACACAGAATTCTACCCGCCTTCATAACCTAAGAAGCCATCAGCATTGTGCAGAATTCCAATTCCCTCAGTTCCTATGATGAGAACCTTCTCACCAGTCTGGTATGTTTCATAGGTTGGGGACCCCAATTGCCTATACTTGAGAAACATTCCAATGTATTTGTACATGTTATATGGTGTGCAAAAGAAAGAAAATACTTACATTGGTAGTTGTGTAGTTAATTAGAGTAACCTAATTAAGTTAACTTATATTTTGTTTTTGTTTGCAATCAACATCATTCTTAATTTTCCTGTAGAATACTGTTTTTGTGTTTTTTTTTTTTTTTTTTTTTTTTTTTTTTTTTTTTGAGATGGAGTCTCGCTCTGTCACCCAGGCTGGAGTGCAGTGGTGCAATCTTGGCTTACTGCAAGCTCCGCCTCCCGGGTTCACGCCATTCTCCTGCCTCAGCCTCCCGAGTAGCTGGGACTACAGGTGCCCGCCACCACGCCTGGCTAATTTTATGTATTTTTAGTAGAGACAGGGTTTCACTGTGTTAGCCAGGATGGTCTCCATCTCCTGACCTCGTGATCTGCCCGCTTTGGCCTCCCAAAGTGCTGGGATTACAGGCGTGAGCCACCGCGCCCGGCCACAATACTGTTCTATTTTCCAATCTGTTCTGCTGGCATTTGCATCACAATATAGTGTTCATTTTGGCCTAAGAGAGGTTATGAATGAACAAATCTATGTTATTTGTATTTTTCATTTGGGTTCCACTAACTATAGACTTAGGGCAAAAATGAACCCATGATTATCCTAACTATTCTACCTCTCAGTCTTAATTCAGTTGGTAAAAGAGGGAGCCTGAACTTTGCTCACAGCTTTGAGTGATTAAAATTAAATTTCAGTAGCAGCAGAAGCAAACTACCTTATTACAAAAACTTTCCTAGGAAAAATACCTAACAGTCAATCCTATCTTATATCTGAAGAGATCACCATTCAGTATCTCCAAAACTATGAAATAACACTACTAACTAGTGATTTTACATGTTTAGCAAGCATCTGGAGTTATATGTAAGCCTTTACCGAGATCCCAGCTATCTAAATAAAAATGGATGTTAAGCATCACTCTCATCCTTGCAACGAAGTCATTTTATGGTGTCATAAAACCACCAACAGCATTTCTGACTATTCCAATAATCATCCCAAGCACCTCAAAATTCTTAAAATACTGAAATTGAAAAGGAAACTCTACCCAACTTATCAAATGCAATAACAAATGTGCACAAAAATGTCATTTAGTAGGCAGAATTTGCAGCCAAAGAATATTATTTTCATACGGTGTTTAAGATTTGCAGAGTTCCTTTTTAGTGACAAAGGTCCTATTTGGTTCAGCCATGCCACATGTGTAAGTTTAACATTTCATGAGGATTTTCAGAGGAAGAGTGTGAAGGTATTCTTTTTGGCCAGACTGTCTTTTATAGTGATATGATAGCAACATTGGATTATATATTAAACCACCAGCTAATTAGAAGTTAGGTACACAGCCTAAGAAACCTAAGAAAGCATGTCCTATATATATTTTTTGGTTCTCAACATCCCAACATCTTTATCTCAGGTTATAAAAGAACTAGAATAGAAATTGGGAGATTTTTACATTAGACATAAAATTGGAGTTGAGTGCAATGTGTGCCCTATAGACCCAGCTACTAGAAAGACTGAGGTGGGAGTTATCACTCGAGGCCACGAGTTAGTTCAAGTCCAACCTGGACAATCTAGTGAGACCTCATCTCTGGAAAAAAAAAAAAAAAAAGGAAATCAAGTTTTTTTCATTTTGATACCAAAAAAAAAAAAAAAACCGAAAAGAAAAAACCCAAATGAATACGAACACACAAAGACAAAACAAAAAATACCACTTTTCTGAGACGTGGAAGTTTAGATAGCTTCCGTGCAGCCCTCAGGAAGTAAGATTCAACAGCCTTTCTGAATTTTAGCATTATGTATCTGTGAAGAGTGGCAACAGACACAGGTGATCAGGAAATACACCTTTCGCTTCTCTAGTATGGCCTCTTTAGGCCTTTCCAAACTGATAGCCCCTCTCAGCACGATTTCCGCTCAATGTGACATGCAAAGGACTTAGGAGGAGTGGGAGAGGAAGTTTAGTTTTGGAAACATGAGATGCTACATCTACCTCTCGGTTGATTTATGAAGCACAATAGCATATTAAAAGTACCTGAAGGCCTAACTTGGTTATCTTAGCATTTCCCAAGCTGAGTTGACCACAAAACCCCATCCCCCGCTAGGCTGGGCACGAGTATTCCATGGGCTACTTTGGGAAAACACTGTCTGTGCAAGAGCGCAGGCTTTTGATCAGACAGGGTACTCAACGCTTTCTTCACCACTTAAGAGCTTTGAGGCTTTGGACAAGTTACTTACTTCCTCTGAACCCTAGTTCTCTCATCTGAATTCTGTGGGAAATAACATCTATCACACATGATCTTTTGAAAACATAGTATGTACTTAAAAAATGTTTATCCCCTTCTTTCTTTTTACAACTCATGGTAGGAGAAACCTTTTTGTGTCTCCACATGAATTCCAAGATCCTCTCAAATATGATCATTTTCTTTCTCCAGTCTCATCTCCCGGTAACATGGAGAAGTGTTAATAGTATTTTAGATTCAGACTTCCTAAAATGTAACCTTACTAGCTGTGTGCCTTATGACCTAAGAAAATTCCTACCCTCTCTGTGCCTCAGAGTCCCCACCTGTAAAGTGGAGGATAATAATGGTACCTACATCGTGGGGTTGTGAAGATTAAAGAGTAACATTGAAGAAGCACTCAGAGTAACACTTGGCATTAGGTAAGTGATCAATAATCTCAGTGAAGTTACTAGTATTCTTATCTTCCAATCACATATTATGTACCAATCATACTCGACTCCTTGCTTCCCAAAGATGCCTGATGTTTTCGCATGTCCACGTCTTTGCTCTTGCTGGTCTCTTCATTTGGAATAACCTTCTTCCACGTTTTCTACTTGGTGAAATCCTATCCACCCTCCAAGGCCCATCTTGAATGCTACCTTCTCTATGCAGCCTTTCCAGATTTCCTCTAACCAAGTGTCTTCCTCCTTAAAAGAATCCCCTCTAGGCCTTGTGGCTCTCTCTTGACTCTTACCATGTTCTACTTTGTATCTAATGAGTTCTATGCTCCTGGAGGAGCCAGTGGTATTTATATACCCTCCCCACACCCTAGCACCCAGCAGTGTGATCCAGCAGGAACAATGTCAGCCTGGGAATCAGGAAGCCTGGGCTCTGGACCCAGGCCAACCACTCTGCAACTTGGGGAAGTCACTTCACAGGAACTTTGGTTTCTTCTTATTTAAACCAGTGAGTTGGAATAGACCAGCTCTAAAGCCACTTCCATCTCTACCCTGTGAAAGTTTAATATATACTCCGTGGGCAGCCACATACATGCCTATGGAATTTTGAGTGACTAGAAGGAACAAGGTTTGAGCCCAGAAATAACTGTTCAGAAACCCTTGATTGCTCTGTTTGTGAAAGCAGAAAACTGAAACAACCCAAATAAAGTATGTCATATGATGGAATACTATGCAGCTGTAATTTAAAAAAGGAAGCATATCATGTGCCGATAAGGAAAGATCCCAAGGGTGATTAAGTAAAAAGAACAAGGAGCAGATTAATATTTGTAGTATGCTGTCTGTTGTGTTAAAAAAAAAAAAAAAAAAAAAAAAAGGAGAGAAATGGCCAGGTGCGGTGGCTCAACGCCTGTAATCCCAGCACTTTGGGAGGCGGAGGCAGGCAGTTCACTTGAGATCAGGAGTTTGAGACCAGCCTGGCCAACAAGGTGAAACCCCGTCTCTACTAAAAATACAAACATTAGGCTGGGCACGGTGGCTTACACCTGTAATGCCAGCACTTTGGGAGGCCCAGGCGGGCAGATCATGAGGTTAGGAGTTCAAGACCAGCCTGGCCAACACGGCGACACCCTGTCTCTACTAAAAATACAAAATTAGCCAGGCATGGTGGCGCGTGCCTGTAGTCCCAGCTACTTGGGAGGCTGAGGCAGGAGAATCGCTTGAACCCAGGAGTCAGAGGTTGCAGTGAGCTGATATTGTGCCATTGCACTCCTGTCACTCTGGCGACAAGAGCAAGATTCCATCTCAAAAGAAAACAAAACAAAACAAAAAAAACATTAGCTGGGCATGGTGGCATGTGCCTGTAGTCCCAGCTACTCTGGGACCGAGTAGCTGGGGCTGAGGCAGGAGAATTGCTTGAGCCTGGGAGGCGGAGGTTGCAGTGAGCCGAGATTACTCCAGCTTGGGTGACAGAGTGAGACTCCGTCTCAAAAAAAAAAAAAAAAAAAGAAAGAAATAACAGGAATTATATATATTTGATTTTCTTTATATATATACCTAAAGAAACACTGGGCAGGCACCCTGGAAGAGAAGTACACAAGAATATTTAAAACACACTTACTTATGGGGAATGGGGGTGGGTTGTGAGATGGATGGGGACAGGGCGAGAGTGAGACTTTCAATTCATTCCTTTTAATATCATTTACATTTTAAAATAATAAGTACTGCCTATTTAAAGAAAAAAAGCTAAAATCAAAAGAGAAACCTCTGACTGCAACAATGAGTATTTTTAACAAAACAGATGTTTATCTTACTTGTTCCTTTTCTCCTTCCAGTGGGGCTAGGGAAGAACTAAGGAATGATTTACTAATTTTTTGATGTAATTTTGTACTGGCTATGAATTCCTGTAACAAACTTGTCATTGGAAAAGTGAGACTTGGACACTTCAGGTATCTCTGGAGTTTTCATCTAAAGCCAGCTACATTGATCTCCAGTTCATGCTACTTGATTCAGATGGCTCAGAAACTGCAGGCTTCCATCTATGTGGGATGTAGCTGGTGACCATGTGAGAGGCCAGGGGTGGCAGTAGCAGCACCTCTATCCTCTCTGGAGGAGCTGGGAGAATTCAGTTGGCAAGGAGGCAAGTGGAACCCAGTAAATTCTCAAATTAACAGAGGAACAACTGGAGAAGGCTCTGATTCCTCTCTTAAGTATGGCTAAAGATAGTAGGGCCTGCACTCCAATAGCTAAGAGATAATTCATAGAATGCTTCCAGATAACTTTCCTAGCCTTCCCATAGAATCTGCCACTCAGAAAACATACGTCTGCCCACCAAATTAGTAAAATTCCAAGTTCTTCTCAAATTCAGTTAACCTGCACCATAGGTAACTTAGGACCTATAAATATTTTTATTCCTTCTGTAGTGTCCCATCACAATTTGAAATCCAGTGTATGATTTGCTCAGCCTGCTTTGGTCCAAGGTCCTCTTTGGAGAGAATCCTGAAAGTGTAAATGACTTGCAGCTGAACCAGGCCCCTACTTCCCGGGTATGTACTGCATTAAACCCCACACCCCTGCTTGGCCTCGCCTGGGAAGGCTTCAGAAGAGCTCTTCAAAGCAGACCTCATCAAAACAAACACCCCTACCTCTACCCCCATCTCCTGTGCCCTTCAGAAAACAAACAACAATACTTCTCTGTTCACCAAAAACAAGGAGAATTTTCTGTTCAAAGTATTTTTTTCTTATTCCCTATTGGCAGCACTTATTAAGGAACGGATGACTTTCAAGTTGAGTGAACTCTGTTTGAAACATAAGCACATAAGAATCCAGGTGCTTAAAACTTTTTCAAACTTAGGTACACATCCTTACAGCCTTCATATAAAAAAAAATCCTTTTAATGTTTTATTAAAACCTCTGTCAGTTTAAAAGAAAGGATATCTTTGACCACAGATTTTGAGTAATTACGTTTACATTGAAAGCTAGTAAGCAAAATGTCTAAGATGTTACTTCCCTTTCAAACTTTTGGAAACAGCTATGGTGTTAGATGGACCTGGGTTTGAATTCTGTTTCCCTTACTTCCTAGCTGTAAGATCTCAAGCAGCTGACCCAACCTCTCTGCACCTCAACTTCTTCATTAGTAAAATGAGGATAAGAATAGTTCATAGTAGCCAGACATGGTGGTTCATGCCTGCAATCCCAGCATTCTGGGAGGCCGAGGTGGGTCAATCACTTGAGGTCAGGAGTTCAAGACCAGCCTGGCCAACACGGCAAAACCCCAACTCTACTAAAAATACAAAAAAAAAATAGCTGGGTGTGGTGGCGCACACCTGTAGTCCCAGCTACTTGGGAGGCTGAGGAAGGAGAACTGTTTGAACCCGGGAGGCGGAGTTGCAGTGAGCCAAGATCACATCACTGCACTCCAGCCTTGGCAACAGAACAAAAATTAAAAACAAAAACAAAAACAAAAAAACAGAATAGTACATAGCACATACACAGTTATGAGGATTAAATGAATACATGAAACTCCTTAGCAAAGTGCCTACGTAACATATATGTAGTAAAAATAATAATGTTCAAACAATAAAAAATTAGTATATCTTATTAGCTAAAATTTAGCAAATGTTTCTTCATTTTTATGAAGGTCTCCAATTTCACACTTAAATTAAAAGGCTTTTCATTAAAATCAAACTCTTGCTTACGCTAACTCATGAGTAAAAGAAAGAACCCAAGAGAAGAAATCAGCCTGCAATCCATGAGGAATGAGCAAGGAAAGAATTCCATGCTTCCATGACAAATGTTCAGATAGTCCTAATGTTTTTTATTATCTCTAGTGATCCTCTGAGAGTGAGATGTCTCACTTATGCCATGTATCTATATCCACGCAGCATTTGAGGGTATAGGATGGGAAATGAGATTACCCCAATGTCAGAAGTATGGCTTAGGGGGCAAAGTGCCCAGAATCTAAGAACTCAATCCAGACAGAAGAGTTTCTCCTCAAAGAAACTACATGGTAAACCTGTCTGTCTGACTTCTGACTTCTGTGGGGAAGTGATTTTTCTCTCTGTTTCTTACCAATAAGCCTATTGATTTCTGCAGTTTCTTGAATGAATTCTAGGTATGAACCTAACCCACTTCTGGAATTTTTCTTTTTTTTTTCCCAGACAGAGTTTTGCTGGAGTGCAGTGGCATGATCTCAGCTCACTGCAAGCTCCACCTCCCGGGCTCAAGCAATGCTCCTGCCTCAGCCTCCTGAGTAGCTGGGATTATAGGCATGTGCCACCACACCCAGCTAATTTTGTATTTTTAGTAGAGATGGGGTTTCACCACGTTGTTCAGGCTGGTCTCGAACTCCTGACCTCAGGTGATCCACCCGCTTCAGCCTCCCAAAGTGCTGGAATTATAGGGGTGAGCCATCATGCCCGGCCTGGAATTCTTTACATAGGCCAGCAAATGATGTCAAATGTGGGGTAGGGGAGAAGCTGGTGATTTATCTTGAGGCAATGACACTCTGTCATTATCAAGGATCTATTTGGACTTCCAAAAGAATACCATGAGGCATGAAAATATTAGCCATGCCTATCTTCTGTTCATAAAAAAAGGCATCTTGACTTGCCATTCACAGATACCAAGGCCATTGTGATGGGGGCACTATGGGAAGCCTGGAGGTTGAAAACTTGACCTCGTTTTGGAGTGCTTACTTTGTGGCATTTTCCAAATTCTGGTTGCCTTTCTTCAGTTTTCTTGAGTCTAAAGCATTAAGGATGCCAATTACTAAAGACCTCATTGACAAAGTCTAGAACAACATTGTGCAACAGGAATACAATGTGAAGCACATATATAATTTAAATTTCTTTAGAGACAGGTGCAATGGTGTGCACCTGTAGTCCCAGCTACTTGGGAGGCTGAGGTGGGAGGATCAATGCTTAAGCCCAGAAGTTCAAGTCTAGTCTTGACAACATAGTGAGACTAGTTTCAAAAAAATTGTTTTCCCCAATAGCCACATTAAAAAAAAGGTAAAATAATTTTAAAAATAGATTTTATTTAACGTATTAAATAAAATACAAAAAGATTAATTGCAACATATCAATATTTTTTAAGTTGAGATATGTTGCATTTCTTTTTTTTTTTTTAACTAAGCTCCTGGAATCTGGATTGTTTGTAGATTTCATAAAAAGTACAGTTAAAACAAGCAGATTCAAATATCCAGATTGTTCCAAACATACTTAAAAGTTTTTCAGTAACTGAAGCAATAATAAAATTTTAAATCTTAATTTTAATTAAAGTCAAGTAAAATGAAAAATTCAGTTCCTCTGTCACTCTAGCCACATTTTAAGTGCCGAACAGCAACATGTGGCTATGAAAAATAACTGGTGGAGGCCGGGCATGGTGGCTCACGCCTGTAATCCCAGCACTTTGGGAGGCTGAGGTGGGTGGATCGACTAAGGTCAGGAGTTCGAGACCAGCCTGGCCAACATGGCAAAACTTTGTCTCTACTAAAAATACAAAAAATTAGCTGGGCATGGTGGCAGGCTCCTGTAATCTCAGCTACTCGGGAGGCTGAGGCAGGAGAATCGCTTGAACCTGGGAGGCAGAGGTTGCAGTGAGCCGAGACCGCACCATTGCACTCCAGCCTGAGCAACAAGAGCTAAACTCTGTCTCAAAAAAAAAAGAGAAAATAGCTGGTGGCTACTGTATTGCACAAGGTAGTTTGAGGCGATGAAGAAAAACTGCACATTGTCACATGGAGAGTCATCACACTCTGAGATTTTTCCCTTCATTCTTAAATGCTACTTGCCAAAGAGAGATTTCAAAAACTTTTTTTTTTCTTAATTTCTAGTTTGGCTCCAACAGTAAAGGCTCAGAATCCTTCTTATATTTCTGTGGTGGGATAATTAACATCAAGCTCCCTGAAAACATGCAGGTGGAATAGTTCATATCTGAGAGATGAATTGTAATAAATCCTTTCTCAAGAGGCACATATAGGAAAATCTTAAAGAACATGCAGGAGCCCATTTACCTGATACGACTAGTGCTTCATTGGTCATTGATAAATGATGTTAAATGAGAAACTAATAAAAAACAATTTTTACTTTTGAATTATATTTCTTAAAAGATTAAGGTGATAGGCATATAACATAAAATTAACCATTTTAAAGTGAACATTTCAGTGGCATTTCATGTGTACTATGTTGTGTAACCATCACCTCTAGTTCTAAAACATTTTCATTACCTCAAAAGAAAAGCCGTATTGGCCAGGCGCAGTGGCTCATGCCTGTAATCCCAGCAATTTGGGAGGCCGAGGCGGGCCAATCACTTGCAGTCGTGAATTGGAGACCAGTCTGGCCAACCTGTGAAACCCTGTCTCTACTAAAGATACAAAAATTAGCTGGGCATGGTGGCGCATGCCTGTAATCCCAGCTGCTCGAATCAAGAGATTCGAGCAGCTGGGATTACACGAGGGGTAGCATGAGAATCTCTTGAATCTGGGAGGTGAAGGTTGCAGTGAGCCAAGATCGTGCTACTGCACTCCAGCCTGGGCGACAGTGCAAGACTCTGTCTCAAAAAAAAAAAAAAAAAAAAAAAGCCATATCCATCAAGCAGTAGACCCCATTCCCCCACTCCCCACCCACCCTAGCTCCTGGCAGCCACAATCTGCTTTCTATCTCTAAGGATTTACCTATTCTGGATAAATAAAATCATATGTGACCTTTTGTATCAGACTTCTTTCATTTAGCATAATGTTTTCAAGGTTTACCCACACTGTAACATGTATCAGTACTTCATTCCCTTTTGTGACTGAATAATGTTCCATTGTGTAGCTGTACCACATTTTCATTATCTATTCATCAGGTGATGGACATTTGGGTTGTTTCCACCTTTTGGCTGTTGTGAATAGTGCTCCTATGAACATTAGTGTACAGGTATCTATTTGAGAACCTGTTTTCCATTCTTTTGGGCATATACCTAGAAACGGAATTGCTGGGTCACATGGTAATTCTATGTTCTTCTTTCTGACAGACTGCCAAACTTTTCTGCAGCAGCTGCACATTTTACATTCCCACCAACAATGTACAAGGCTCTCAATTTCTCCACATTCTCACCAACGCTTGCTATTTTCCATCTTTTAAATAAAATAAAAGCCATCCTAGTGAATGTGAAGTGGTATCTCAAAGTGGTTTGGATTTGCATTTTTCTAATGACTAAAAATGTTGAGCATTTGCTGTGCAGAAGAGCTAAACAGACAACCTACAGAATGGAAGAAACTATTTCCAATCTGTGCATCTGACAAAGGTCTAAAATCTAGCGTCTATCAGGAACTTAAACAAATTTACAAGAAAATAAGATAATATTTGATAAAGCCCATTAAAAAGTGGGAAAAGGACATGAACAGACACTTTTCAAAAGAAGACATACATGTGGCCAACAAGCATATGAAAAAAGTTCAATATCACTGATCATTAGAGAAATGCAAATCAAAACCACAATGAGATAACATCTCATACCAGTCAGAATGGCTACTATTAAAAAGTCAAAAAATAACAGGTGCTGGAGATATTGCAGAGAAAGAAGAACACTTTTACACTGTTGTGAGTGTAAATTAGTTCAACCATTGTGGAAAGTAGTGTGGCGATTCCTCAAAGAGCTAAAAGCAGAATGACCATTCAACCCAGCAATCCCATCACTGGGTATATAACCAAAGGAATATAAATCATTCTATCATAAAGACACATGCACATGTATGCTCACTGAAGCACTATTAATAATAGCCAAGACATGAAATCAACCTAAATGTCCATCAGTGGTAGACTGGATAAAGAAAATGTAATACATATACACCATGGAATACCATGCAGCCACATAAGAACAAGATTACGTCCTTTGCAGAAACATGGATGGAGCTGGAGGCTGTCATCCTTAGCAAACTAATACAGGAAGAGAAAACCAAATAGCGCATGTACTCACTTATAAGAAGGAGGTAAATGATGATAACACACAGACACAAACATGGGAACAATAGACACTGGGGCCTACTCTAGGGTGGAGGTTGGGAGGAGGGAAGAGAATCAGAAAAAATGACTATTGAGTAATAGGCTTAGTACCTGGGTGATGAATTAATAAGTATAACAAACCCCTGTGGCACAAGTTTACCTGTTTACAAACCTACATATATACTCCAAACCCAAAATAAAAGTTAAAAAAAAACCCAAAAGAATTTTCTGAATGGTTAAAAAAAGTAACATACGCACAACGTAAAACTTACCATTTTAACCATTTTCATACAGTTTAGTGGCATTATGTACGTGTACATCGTTGTGGAACCATCACTACCATCCATCTCTAGAACTTTCTTCCATCTTGCAAAATAGAGTTATGTTGAGTAATTCATATGCAATGCCCAGGCATACAGCTCTGATATGCTAGCTCCTAAGATATCTCTGGCACTTAACTAGCTGTGAGAACTTGGGCAACTCATTTGACCATTTGGTCATCCACAGAATGGGGTTAATATTTACCTCACAGAACTGGCAAAAGGACAAAATAAGATAATATTTGATAAAGCATTTTAAAAACTGGAAAACATTTTATGGTTGCTACTTATAATCATTATTATTATTAACATAGAAAATGTGAAGATCTTTTATAGAAAGCTGAGACCATTTATTGTGATCATTTTATAAATATTGTTATACATTTAGGTTACCATCTATTCAGATTTATCATTACACATATCTTTTACTTTTTTATTGATTGATTATATCTAGAATGGAATACTAGATATAATCTACTAGAATGGAAGATCCATGAAAGCAATGATTTTTTAAAATTATTTTACCCATTGCTCTATTTCAGAGCCGAGAAGAATATAAGGCATATCTATCTCTTGAATAATGAAAGAATAAATTACTTTATGCAAGAGTAAATATGTTATTAGTGCTTTAAAAAATTCATTCATAATGATAGTTTACATATAAGTCTTTAGGTTTTCCCAGTGCAAAATTAATACATGTGAATTCCCAAATGAAATATATTTTAAATATGAGGAAATTTCCCAGACTAGTTCAGAGTTAAAAGGAAGCAAGTTTAGGAGTAAACAGGAATTTTAAAAATATATGCAAGTTTTCAAAATATGTTCTGATTTTAAAGTTTTGGGCTATTATCAGTACAATAAAAGATGAGTTCAATTGGGTTAATATAATATAACCAAGGAAATACTTAGAGTATCATTCTCTTTTCTAAACAAAACAGGTTGTAGTAGACAATACTGTTTATCAATACCTTTTTATTTTATTTTATTTTATTTTATTTTTTGAGACAGAGTCTCGCTCTGTCACCCAGGCTGGAATGCAGTGGTGCGATCTCGGCTCACTGCAACCTCCGCCTTCCAGGTTCAAGTGATTCTCCTGCCCCAGCCTCCAGAGTACCTGGGACTATAGGCGTGTCTCACCATGCCCGGCTAATTTTTGTATTTTTAGTAGAGACGGGGTTTCGCCATGTTGGCCAGGCTGGTCTTGAACTCCTGACCTCAGGTGATCCACCCACTTCAGCCTCTCAAAGTGCTGGGATTACAGGCATGAGCCACCGTGCCCAGCCTTCCCCTACATTCTGAATGGAAAGTTAAAATGACAATTTATATCTGTAAAAATTTTGTAATAAAGTATTTTGATGGGAGATAAAGCCATATGCAATCACATGGTTTTAAAAGTGGAGAGTAGTATGTTACAAACATGATATTGAAGACTTCTAGGTTCCTTTATATCAACCCTGATTCTAATATGAGAAGAAACTAAGCCGCTTCTGAGATACATGGGAATAATCCTTCTGAGCTGTTATCACTGCCTAAGACTTTTTATCTTTTTTAGATTTTGCCTTCCATAAAAATGTCTTCTCCAATAATCTTTCCAGTTGTACTATCTTTTCTTTGAATTGTTACTTCTTTTTGGTCGTTGGTACACTGAGTTCTCTAGGGTGATTTTTTGCACCTAAGGGTAAGAATTCAAAATTGTGATGCAGGTATTTACAGTAGAACTCTGAATCCTTGTCTTTCACATTTTTGGAATAATTACTGGGGCTTTACTAGAGTACCTTGCTAAGGTGTGTGTGGCCTTTTTTTTTTTTTTAATTAAAAAACAACGTAAGTGGGAGTGGAATGGGGTAAGGGAGGTGAATCATTCATCAAATGAAAATTTATTTAAATACCGTTGTCTGTGATAAAGGAATAACCATTTCAGAATAACACTGGAAGAATTAATTTAAATGGATGCACTTCCCAATATTGTTACTGTTTTCTTTGGTATTTCATTAACATTGTGAGTGGGGAGGTGCTGGGGTCCATGGTAAAAAAATAAGTAAGTGAAAGGCAAACAACTTTGCTTTCTAGTGGATTTCCCTTATTACCTAATGAGGGCAGCAGCTTACAAGTTGATTGTGTTCAATTCAACAAATTTGTTTTAGTACCTAAGTGCCTGCTATATGTACAGAGTGAAGAAAGAAATAACCCTACCTTTAAGAGAGTTTACGGTCTGGTTGTGTTGATTCACCTTCTGAGAAAAAATGTTATTTGCTTTCCTCAATTTTTTTCCTATCAAAAGTAAACATAGGTTCAAACATTCAAACCTATGAAGGCCTAAAAGGAAGAATCATCTTCAGTTTGCTGTGACGATTTCACTGAGTTTTATTTTAAAATATTCATTTAAAAATACATACAAACATATAAACCCATCAGGCCAGGTTCTAGTGATCTGAGATATAAGCATGATACAAACTACTTGGCTGCCGTGTATTTTTGTTTTATTTTAATCCAGGTGATCAGGTCTGTATGGGGAAAAAGCCCTGGGGCTTTTTCAAACAGGAAGGGCCCTCCTCCCTCTGAATGCCCGCAGTGCCGCCCTGTGCACTTTACAGAACAAGGAGAAAGTCAGTTTCTTCAAACTGCTTTTCTAAAGAGCGTTTCCATTCGTGGTCCTGGTGATTCCACCATCTTTTCTTCACAACAGTGACGGTTCTGGAATTTCTACACAGCCTGAGGGGCTGACGGGGTAGACCAGGTGACTGGGAAGGGGCAGTGGCACATGACAAAAATTTGAGGAAACGTCCAGTTTCCGTTTCAGGGAATGCGCATAGGGGAAAACGCAAGTCCCCACGCCATCACGGGGCCCTCCACCGCGGCCGGACGACCCCTCTCTCGGGAGTGACTGGGGCAGGGCACCTGGCCTCAGGTTCGAGCGGAGCCTGCACTGAGAGGCAGGAGTTGGATGAACCACTTGTAGGGTCTGCTCCCAGCTACCCAAAGCGAAAGGGTGGGCGAAAAAGCATTTGCAAAAGAATACATTAACCTCACAAGGAACGACCCCCACCACCCATCCTCCAGCGCCCAAGGTTTCCCACGAAGAGGTCGCCGTCGCCCTTCTCCAAGTTGGGTAGAACCTATAAGGCATCACCAACTGCATCTCAAACCAACCAAGCAAGTGACGCTCCAAAACCTCCCTAAATACCCTCTCTCCCCAGCATTCCGAACGCAACATCAAGGGCGAAAAGAGGCTGCACAAATCACGTAGAAAATTAGACCGCCTCTTTCCATGGCGATAATCGAATTAGCCTCAAATTAAACGTGAAATTGGCCCTCTCCGGCTGTGGAGACAAAGCCCCTATTGTCCTGCTCGGGTAGCGGCAGCAGCAGTGCCCACCCCGCCCCGGCCAGCCTGGTCGGTCCCCGCCGCTGGGAGGATGAGGTCCGGGCTGGACCCGGGAAGAGCCTCAGCTGGAGAGGACGTGGACGCGCCCGAGGCTCGGCTCCCTGGGCGGCTGCGGGGCTCCGGGCAGGAGGAGAGGGCGGGCGAAGCAGAGGGAGCGGGCGGGAGTGGGGAGGGAGGAGTGCGGAGGGCGGAGGGCGTGCGGGAGGGATCCCGGGAGTGCGCTTGTGTGTGTGTGCGCGCGCGCCCGCCCCGCGCGCTCCTCTCCCCGCCCCTCGCCCCCTCCCTGCGAGCGCCCTCCTCTCCTCCTCCCCCCGCCCCCCGCGCTCCCGCCCAGCCCCCGGAATCAGTGCCGCTGTTGCCGTGCAGGCTGCGGATTCCTCCAGTCCCTCCCTCGGCCGCCTCTCCTCCCGGAGCGAGCGCGCAGCCCTGCGCAGCAGCGCCCACTGGTCCCGTCCTGTGAGCCCCGGCCCCAGCCGCGGACAGACCCGCGGAGTCGCCTCCCGGCCCACCCGCCCGGCCGCCGAGGAGCGGGAGGAGGACGGGACCCCGGCGCCCCCACCCCATCCCCGGGAGGTAGGTAGGGGGCCCGAGGCAGGGAGATGCCAACTCACTGGGGCTGCCTCCCGGGTGGGCTCCGCGGCGGCGGACGGGCGGGAGGAGGGGCGCGGGCCCAGGGCCGGAGGACGCCGCTGCCCGCCTGCCCTGCGCCCGGGGAGCCGCGTGGGGGCAGGGAGGCTGCAAAGCCCGGGCGGGGGCGGCGCGGGGAGCCCGGGTCGCGGGTGCTCATTGGTACTCGGATGATGCGGGACGAGGGGCGGCAGGCTCTGCGGTGAGGCGGCAGCAGACCCGCCGTGCGCACCGCTGCCGTCCGGCCCCAGCCCCGGCGCGGCGCGGCGATTCCTCCTCCCTGCCTCCGCCGGCGCCTCCCTGCAGCCGGGCGCGGCGGCCCCTGACGCGGAGGCCCCTGGCGCGGAGGTGGGTGCGGAGCGGACAGCGGACAGCCGGAGGGTCTATTTTCAGGTGCCCTCTCTGTGGCCCCGCGGGTGGGGAGCGGGGGCGGCGGTGACAGGGCCGGGCTCTGCGCGTAGCGGTGCAGGGGATGCGGCCAGGCGTGGTCCCGGCTGCGCCGCGCTGCAGCTGAGCCGGAGGCGGCGGCCCCGCGCCCCCACCTCCGCCCCATCCCTGCGCTTGCTACCCTCGTGCGCCCGCCCCCCCCCCGCCCTTTCTGCCGTCCCCACTCTCCCAGGGCTGGGCGTGAGCCGCCTCCGGGCGCCGAGCCGCCGCTGCGCCCGCCCTTCAGCTCCTGCCACCCTCTCTTCAACAGGTTTGTCTCAGCGCAGGGACCCTCCGGGCCTGCTTTGGGTAGGTGGGCTGGCTCGTCATCACCCCCCACACCACGCCCACGGCCCTCTTTTAGGGGGCGCCTTCTCTTTGTTTTTGTGATAGGAAAGGTGCCAACTGCTGCCATCAGATGAGGAGGGGGTGGGGATCAGAACGCAAACCTCTGTCCATTATTTTTCCAATCGAAAGCCAGGCCAGATAGTAAGTGAGGACAGGGTGCGTGTGGGGGTGCTTCGGCGGAGCAGAAAATTGAATTCGGTGGGGTTTATTTGGGCGGGGATGTGCTTTTTTGGCAAGATGGATGGCTCACGGTGCCCTCGCCGTGATGCAGCACAATGCAGCAGTATCGCAGCTTCCTTGGTTCTCGCTGGCGGGGCTTGGCACGGCCGCTCGGCGCCTGCGGCCCCCGCCCGGCCCCACCCAGGCCCGGGGCTGCCCTTGGCCGAGGCCTGGAGCTGCTGCTACCTTGTCCTGCAGCTTCTGCTGGATGTGGCGTCAGGAGGACCAGGTCAGCTAGGTGTGAGCAGGGGAGAGTCTTTTCTTTTGGGATGATCCCTCCTGCACCTCTTCTTGGGCTGCGCTCTGCCGGAGGGGCGCCCTGCATCACCAGTGCAGGCAGAGGGGAGCCGGCCTGTGGTTGCGGATCGGAATCTGATCTGCGACCAGGGGACCTGAGCCATAGGGAGGGGCTGCAGGAAGGACTGGGCCCAGTGGTGTGCGGAGGCAATGTTGCAGTGTGGGGAGTCGCAGCGTTTTTCTGTGGATCGTCCATAATCTGTAACCACAACCCAGCTATGCATTAATTTTTTCTACGTGAAAAGTTGGTGTTTATTAATTGGACCTTCACAACTGTGACATTACAGTACCTCGTCTGTCTTTGGTTAATACCAAGTATGCATTTTTTCTGTAGGAAACCATTTTTAAATGAAATGATTAATGCATTTTGGGTTTTATGTCACTAAGACATTTATAAGTATATTAAAATTCAGTAGGTTGTTTTAAAAGGAATTTATATGTTTTTTAATGGATAGTAAATGATTCCTTTAGCTTGTATTTTGTTTTCATCGTTTGCTTTTTCTAAGTCAAGTACAGTTGCATTATTTGGATGCTTTATTAAGGATTATTAGGTGTATGAGTGTCATGATGGGGGCTAAATTGGTATTCAGATTTCTATTGATTGAGGTAGCCAAGTTAAGTGTCCGGGCGTAATTAATGGGATTATGACAGTAACACTGCGTTTGTGTTTGTTTATATGTATTTTTTGTATACATATTTTTCACAGCTGTGACTGGGGAGAGGGTGGAGAAGGGCAGACCACCAAGGCCTCTTGACTGGCATCTAGTCAGAAGGAGATGGTTCCCAGTGTTCTCATGTTTAGTCTCGGCCAGGACACAGGGAATTTCCCTTCTAAATGCCATCTCTATAATTCATTATTCAGTGTGGGATGGCAAATGGGATATATTTCAAATGTCAACCCAGGCTTTCCTAAAATGTTTAGGTGAAAAAGGAAATTTCAATATGCTAGTTGGAAGGGAAGGTCAGTGTTTACAAGCCAAGGGCGTGCCTGCTTGTATTTTTAAATATTTCTAATGAATCCAAGTTAGTTGCTTTTGATTTCATGTGGCTCTGCAGAATAGAACTGCATGTACATTGTGTGGTGTATGTGCGTTATTTTGAGTTTCTCTAATAGCCATTAAAATATGAGACTTTTTGTGCTGGTTGTGTAAAATCGTGTTGCGTACAGATTTTTATGAATGTTGTTCCCATGGATCATCCAAACGTTTTGGATTTACTTTGTTGTAAGAAATATCCTGTGTTGATGTCACAGGAGGTTTAGCTGTTCTGACTTACACAGCAGGTGCAGAATTCTGTTGGGTTAAGCTCTTTGTAACTCTGTCATTACTGGAGTGACCAAAACCTTCATCTGAGAGGAGAAGTATTGGGCAGTGAAGGAACTGCTGTCACTAGGTCGTCTCCCACAGTTGAGGTTTTCTGTGAAGAACTTCTCTTGGGCAAGACTAGTAACAACTATCTGTGATGTTGCAGAGCAAATGAGAAGACCTCCCTCTACTTGTGACACATCCTGAGCAGAGGCTTGGCATTGGCAGAGTTTCCTGGAAGGGTTTGTAGAGTGGTTGCTTTGTCTTGATGTTTGAATGTATGACTTTACATGTGGAAGTACTATTTTGACGTGGAAGGATTTTACTACTGCTAACATAGACATGATTAGTGGAAATCATTCAGTGTGGATTTTGTCGAAATAATTTTAAGCTTTTCTTTTTAATAGCATATTCTTATAGAACATTTTAAAGCCTAATTTTTTTTACGTGCAATGACATGATGCTCCTTTAATTATGTTGCATCGTAACTAGTATCTTCATTATAATTGGGCTTTATTTAATGGCAGCCGTAGTTTCTTTCACTACATTATTGGAAATGCAAACCATTCTTCCAGAAGGAAGGGGCTAACTACCCCTGTTAGAAGAGTGAACTTTGTAGGTCTGTGGAAGTGAGTAAAGCATCTCATGGGTTTTTCTTGTAAATTTTCAGTCTTTGCTTTTTCTCAGGGCATCTTTTCTTTGCAAAAGACCTAGTTTAGTACTCTGATTTTTCCGGTAGCACTTGTAATTATATTTAAATTTTTATTGTGTGGGAATAACATCATCTATTTTTTTCTACTCAGTGGTTAAAGGAAATTACACCAATTAGATATACCTGTGTTTCTATTTTTAAACATCTCTGGAGAAGGCATTTTCATAATGTCCTTTGCTATCATAGTGAGGTTCACGGACCTTCAACATTAGAATCGCCTGGAAGCTTGTTGCAAATGCAGATTCTTAGGCCCCACTCTGAACTCAGCCAATCGGAATCAACATTTTAACAAGACCTTTAAGTGAGTTGTATGCACATTAAATGAAGAAACTCTATTCTGTTCCTTCAGCAAAGGGACCTCAATATCAAAAGTTTCCTTCTTGAATTTTCCTTTCTTTTGCTGAAGTATCAGCACATTTTTTTCCTTGATGGTGGTGACAAAAGTGAGGCTCTCACTGTAAATTATTTGTTTAATACAAAATTATTTTATAAAGCTGTTCTTTAATTCTTGGTGGAAGAGTCCTATATACCATGGTTTATTTAGATTAATCAGTGTTTTAGGTTGTTTTGTAAAACACCTCTAAAGTTGAAAAACAGTCTTTTTCCCCTCTGGAAGAAAAAGGCATTGGTTTTGAGACATCAGAGCTGGAGCCTCGGAAGCTAACCCCTGAGCAAAGGGTCCTCTCTGCTCCCTCTGCTCTGGCATCTTGATGTCTGTCATCTGATATAGTCAATGTCCTGCCCTCTCGTCCAGTCTTTTCTTAGAGTTCTTTTTTGAATCAACTAATTGGTAGGTACAAAATAATGTTCCTAAAATATATGTTAAAGAATCGTAAACCAGCTGGGTGCAGTGGCTCACGCCTGTAATCCCAGCACTTTGGGATGCCGAGTGGGGGCGGATCACTTGAGGTCAGGAGTTCAAGACCAGCCTGGCCAACATGGTGAAACCCCATCTCTACTAAAAATACAAAAATTATCTGGGCATGGTGGCAGGCATCTGTAATTCCCAGCTACTCGGGAGGCTGAGGCAACAGAATCAGTTGAACTGGGGAGGCAGAGGTTGCAGTGAGCCGAGATCGCGCCACTGCATTCCAACCTGGGTGACAAGAGCGAGACTCTGTCTCAAAAAAATAAAAATCATAAACCAAGGGACACTCAGGCAGCCACCGGCTAGTTCAGGAAGAGCCTTATACATTCAGAGCCCACCTCCATCATCCCATCTGAAACAACCCATATCCTTGATTTTGTGCATATCATTCCCTTCTCTATGGTTTATCCTTTTTAAAAAATCTTGATTGTGTATGATTTTGAACTTTATATCAACAAAATTATACTTTATGTATTCTTCTGACTCACATATTTAGATTAAGATTCTATTCCCAAGGTTTATCCATTTCATGGCTGTATTTCATTCAGTTTCACCTGCTGTATAGTATTCTAACGTGATTTATTTATTCATTGTACTCTAGATGGAGATTTGGATTGATTCCAGGTTTTTTTGCTATTGTGAAAGGGTTGCTGTGAGTGGTTTTTGTACACGGCTCTTGGTACATATGTGGAGGCACACACACCCATTTGCTGTCTCTAGGGAATGAAATTTTCTGGCTCACAGGGCATATGCATCATCAGCCTTAGTAGAGAATGTAGAACTGTTTTTTACAAAGCGATTATGTTGATCGTGTTCCCACTAGCCATAAGTGTTACAGTTCCAAAGCCTTGCCAGTGCTTCACATACCAGGCTTGAAAATCTTGTCCAGTGAAACATTATCTCACTGTGATTTTTATTTACAATTTCTCTGATTATTGAGTTTGAATGTCTGTTTACATTATTAACCATTTGGGTTCTTCGTTTTGTGAAGTACCTGTTCAGTCTTTTACCCATTTATCTTATTAATTTGTAGTTCTGTATGTAGATTACTACTAATCCTTTGTGGATTACATGTCTTGCGACAATTACTTCTCAGCTTGTGTTTTTTTTCTTAACTCGAATTTGTGATTTCTTTTGATGATCGGTTATTTGTAATTTAGCAGAGTCATAATCAGTATTTTGTCCTTTAAAGTTTGTGAGGGTAATTTTCTTATTTCAGAAAAGTTTTTCTTTGTTTGGAAAGAGCATTCGTTTTGGAGTCAAACAGGTTGTGGGCCCAAATCCTAATGGTGTTGTATACTAGCCTTATGGCTACCACTAGGTACTGGCCTTGAGCTAGTTAGTTACTCAAGACCACAGTTTCCTCATTGGAAAAATCAAAATAATATTAGTTTCTCTTAGTTATGATACAGCAGTGTACAGTTCCAGGCACATAGTACGTATTTAGTTGATAACAGTTGTTTCCTTTCTGTTGGGACTGCCTAAGCACTATGACCCACTGATCCCTTTTGGTATGCTTTGCAAAAACTACCTAAACCTTTTTATGTCAGGAGAGCTATTAAATGGCTTATTCTAACTTTTGTATTTTAAAAGGCTGCATTACCAATGGCATTTATATATTGATTAATACAGTCTGAAGAGACCACTTACTAGAAACCCTTATCAGTTTAGGTTCTGGTTCTTGAAAGTAATGTAATTACATTTATTTGTACACAGTTCTTTTGACCATTAAGCATTTATAGTATTAATGATCTTCCTTTACTGCTACTCTGAGATTACTTTGTAATATTGTTTTTTATTTAATGAATAATTATTGGATACATTATCTTGCCAGGACTTGAAGTTGTTATGGTTTTGTGGACTGGCTTAAAGTTGAATAAGAATTAGTTCCTGAATGAAAGGACTGTATACTCTAGTATATGGAATATATTTTATGTACTATACACAGAAGGTAAAATACCTTTAACAGGCTGGATGTGTGACTTTGGCAAACCTTTAACCCTCCGGTCTCAGATCTAATTTTATAAAATGGAAGACTTAGATGAAATCATAGTGGGGGTTAAAACATGGCACATGCCATCACTCGCTTCTGTTCCTGGCAGACATCGAAAATCAGTAATGGTACTCTTTTTCCACTGAGCTGAGATAGTCTCAGTCATATTCTCGACATGGTGTTCTAGGCAGTAACTACCACTCGATTAAATCTGGCATTCAGTTTTTAAGCTCCTGTACACTTCTAAATTCTGTGATTATAAGATACTTGAGAAACTCATCACCTTGGCAGTGTTCAGAATACAGTGAGACTGGAAGAAACTAGAAGCAAGGAGACAGGAGAGAGGTGACTGGGGGTCCAGAAGTAAAGGGAGCAAGTTACAGTGGTGGCCAAGGGAACAAGGAGAGGAGAGATGGGAAAATGGTTGTGAAGGCCCAATCCTATGCGAAGCTATTTGTAGGGTAAATGGATGGCAGGATGGATGGGAGGTGGACCTAGTGGGTGACGAGCTAAGCTAAGGTGATAAAGATTTCAAATTTGAATAATGACAATGAGCATGTTTGGTGATGATGACAAATAGACAAGTCAAGTGCATGATTGGATATTTGATTGGGAAGAGTATCAGTTTTGCTTTAAACATGTTTGAGTTTGAGGTTCCAGCACAATCCTCAGTGGAGCTGGAGAGAGGTCATGGCTAGAGAGGCTGATGGGAGGCTTTGGATGGAGGGGCCCTGGGCCCCAGGCTTCAGGCTCTTTACACAACCCACCCACCTCGCTCACACGCTAAGTGACCTTGGGCAAACTGCCTAGACTTCTTTGTGTCCCTCAACATCTTCATCTGTAAAATAGTCGTAATGAGAGTATCTACCACATAGGATTATTAAAGCCAAATGAGGTAATTCAGCGCTTATCACAATAAATTTTAATGATTATAAAATGTGGAATTTTTGCTTAGTTTGACTTAATATTATGCTTTCTTTCAAATAAACAGTTTGATTTGTTTAGAAAAGGTATATTCTAGCAAATAACAATCATTTAGATAAATAATGCTAAGTTCCATCTGTATTAAACCTGTTCCTATACATCATGTCAAAATAATAGGAAAGGAAAATCTGATTTATATATATGTATTTTTTAAACAAACAATAAAATGCTAAAGCCTTAGTAGCTAAGGAAATGATATGAGCAGATAGTTTATAAAAGAAGAAATCAAGGAGGTCGATAACTGTAAGTTCAAACTCACCAGTGTATGAAATACAGACTAAATTAATTAATTTTTCCACTTAATGGATAGATATTATGCTCTGGGCTGCTGTGAGATGGGAGCTCTGCATCACCTGTTGAGAGCATATTTTGATTAATACAAACTTAGGGGAAAACAGTTGGGTTATATATATGTAACAGAAGCCTTAAATGCTTATACCTCTTGAACTGAAATCTCACATGTAGCTTGGTAACCTACAAAAACAATTAAAAATAAGGACAAGTTTTTAAACAAGGATTTTCTTGGCAACATTAATAGAGAAAAGGGGAAATGTTTTTTAATGGAACATAATCAAATAAATTATGGCGCAACTGTAGGGTGGAATTCAATGTAGTGCTTAAAATAATGGTTTGGAAGAATATTACTGAGATGGGAAGATGCCGGTAATACAGGGGTTAGTGGAAATATCTGGATGCAAAATTGTATAGTGTACTATAATCCTGGTTTTACTGTATTAAGTAAAAGACTGGAAGGAAATACATTAAAATGTTAATGGTTTGCTTTGGATGGTAGGTTGATGGGTGATTTCCTCTCTTGTATGAAAGGAAATTCCCATGACTTAATGTTTCTCTTTTTGAGTTTTGAAATATTTCACGGTAGAGAAGAATGCAGTAAATAATATAATAGATGACCATGAGGACCATTTGTTTTGGTTTGTTTGAGGAACTTTTTTTTGTTTTATTTTGTTTTCTTTTGTTTTGTTTGAGACAGAGTCTTATTCTGTTGCCCAGGCTGGAGTGCATTGGCACGAACATGGCTCACTGCAGCCTTGACCTCCTGGGTTCAAGCAGTCCTCCTGCCTCAGCCTCCCAAGTAGTTGCAGGCGTGTACCACCACACAGGGCTAATTTTTAAACCTTAAATTTTTTTATAGAGACGAGGTTTCACCGTGTTGCCCAGGCTGGTCTTCAACTCCTGAACTCAAGTGATCTGCCTGCCTTGGCCTCCCAAAGTGTTGGGATTACAAATGTGAGCCACCGTGCCCAGCCTTGGGCACCATTTTTTAATAATCAAAAAAGCAATCAACACTTTAAAAATTCTAATTTTTAAAAAGGAAAGAAAAAAGTAAATCTGTCCAATTGTAGATCATTATTAAGAAATAGTTTTAAATCCAGCGATTGTTATATCTGTCCTTCTTTGCAGTTTTCTAAGAGCAATGATACAGTGTGTAAGTTAGCATCTTAAGGGTATAGGTGTGAGATAAATTAGTGTATTCAAATGTATTAATTCTCTACACTAACCTAGGCAGCTTGAAAAGAGCAGAGGACCAGGGTTCTTTGGTATTTCCAGTCTCCACACTTGAGTGCAGAGCAGTGGAATTCCATGACGTGCATGTTCTCACTCGTGGAAACCTAAACACTGCTACTGGAGCTAGTTTGTAACCATTAGACCATCAGGTTTCAGTGGAATTGGTCAGAAATGAAGGTAAAATTCCAAGTGAACATTTTAAAATAAAAATCACTTCAGATTTAGATTTACTTTCAGTGAATGGTATCTCAGCATCTGGGAATATTGTAGGCTAAGATTGAGAGGAACTAATTTTAATATTCTTCGTTTTTTGTATGAAAAGAAATTCCTGTGCAATGTTATATTTTTGTATATATACATATATGATGCATACATATCATGTTTATCTCATATATATATATATATATATATATATATATCTCACACATGGGAGAGAGAGGTGTGTGTTTGATTGAGTAATCTCTACCACGAAGGGAGGCACATATTTTAAAACATTTTAAATGGGGAATTTTATAGAGACAGTATTTTGAAAAGGAGTCCCATGAATGAGTCAAGTTGTCCTTAGCCAGTGGAGGAAATGTTTGGGAGGGAATAGTACTTTCTATTTTATGGTCCAAGTCTCTAAGTGTGTTGGTACTTTGTGAAATGTAGCTTATAAAAATTAATGAATTTCCATTAATTTTGTATTTTTTCTGCCATCAGCTTTAACTGAGTGGTTGTTTGAAGAAGCTTTCAGGATTAATTGTGCTTTGACATATAAAAATAAGATGTTATCAAGATTGCTTTAAAACTGACCCTTGTTTATAGGAGTCATACGTCCATTCTTAAGAAACTCTCAACTGTGACAGTAAACATCTGAGTGATTTTTAGAACCATTTTAATATCTCTGCTCTAGAATCGAGAATGCCCTGTTAGTTCTGATTTTTAATATACAAATTTGAAGCCACTAGTTAGGCAGTAAAATATGTATTAGAACATAACTATAGATTTTTACCCAATAGATCAATTAGTATGAAATTTAGGATGATATATAAGTACAACAGAATTTATTCCTTTGAGGTATGTATTTTCAAAGTGTAATTTGTGTAATTAAGTATGTTTATTCTTCGAGACCATCCTGGCTAACACGGTGAAACCCCGTCTCTACTAAAAATACAAAAAATTAGCCGGGCGTGGTAGCGGGCGCCTGTAGTCCCAGCTACTCGGGAGGCTGAGGCAGGAGAATGGCGTGAACCCGGGAGGCGAAGCTTGCAGTGAGCCGAGATCGCGCCACTGCACTCCAGCCTGGGCGACAGAGCGAGACTCCGTCTCAAAAAAAAAAAAAAAAAAAAAAAAAAAAAAAAAAAAAAAAAAAAAAGTATGTTTATTCTTAGAAAGTTCATGAGCCTATTAACATTGGTTATCTTGGGTAATGGAATTGCAGAAGATTTCATCTCTGTATATTTTTTTCTCCATATTTTTTAAGTTTTAGGAAATAACAAATTCTTGTTCTTTATCAAAAATATCCTAACACTTCTGACCAAACCTCATTTTAGCTGGATACAAACTAATCAAATAATTTACCAGCTAAATATACTTTCTGCTGTTCAATTTTTTTCTACCAAACTTACGGAAAAGCAGTATTAATAATGAAGATATAAAGAACACTGAAATTTTTGAAAGATCTTTTCATTCCTTGTTTAAATGTTCATTTTTGTTACAGCCTTGGCAGTTCATTACTTATGCAGAGTGTGGGAAAAGCTCTAAGAACTGGCCGAGAGAGCGCCTGACAGAAACATTGTCCAGGAGGAATCAGCCACTAATGGCCACTGCCTTTGGCTCTCGGTGAAGTTTCGTTTCCCTACAGTACTCTTGGGTGGCTGTTTCAGGGATACATTTTGTTCTAGTGTGTTTGCCTCAAGGCCAAATATAAATGTTGAAGGGCTGTACATTTTTCTGGAATGTTCTTCACCAGCTGTAAAGTCTTGGGCTGGGATAGGGATAGGGGATTTTTTTGGGGGTGGGGGGGCTTTTTTCTCTTTATCTTATTTACTTGAATGGGAAGGAAAACTTAGATTCTTCCTTAAAACAATGTTATTTATTTTGATCTGTGATGTTTAAACATTTTCCACGGCATTTTGAAACCTGTAAACATAGGAGTACTTTGTTGTTGCTGTTGTTGGAGACAAAGTCTTGCTCTTATCCCCCAGGCTGGAGTGCGATGGCGCGATCTCGGCTCACTGCAACCTCCGCCTCCCAGGTTCAAGCGATTCTCCTGCCTCAGCCTCCCGAGTAGCTGGCGCCTGCCACCATGCCCAGCTAATTTTTGTATTTTTAGTAGAGACGGGTTTCACCATGTTGGCCAGACTGGTCTCGAACTCCTGACCTCAAGTGATCCACCCTCCTTGGCCTCCCAAAATTCTGGGATTACAGGCGTGAGCCACCGCGCCTGGCCAGGAGTGTTTTTATAGTGATTACAATAGTTTTAAAAATTAAAATAGTCTTTGTATTTTTACCACCTTAGAATCCCTGATTTTTTTTTTTAAATTTCTGCTAATACACATAGTATATGTGGTTTTTTGAATGGCTTATGAAGACTATATACCATCATAAAGGCATAAGTTAGTATAAAATCATCATAACAAAATACAAAAGTATTTTTAAGATATCTTTTTATTACTGAAATAATAGATGTTTTAGATCATATGGAAACTAAAGATGAATACAAAGAAGAAAATTAAAATCACTAGATACTATGTGACCCCGGAAACATACAGTTAATATTTTAGTGTTTCTCGGCCAGGTGCGGTGGCTCACGCCTCTAATGCCAGCACTTTGGGAGGCCGAGGCGGGCAGATCATGAGGTCAGGAGTTTGAGACGAGCCTGGCCAACATAGTGAAACTTTGTCTCTACTAAAAATGCAAAAATTGGCTGGGTGTGGTGGTGGGCTTCTCTAGTCCCAGCTACTTGGGAGGCTGAGGCAGGAGAATCACTTGAACCCAGGAGGTGGAGGTTGCAGTGAGCTGAGACCGCACCATTGCGCTCCAGCCTGGGTGACAGAGTGAGACTCAGTCTCAAAAAAAATAAAATAAAAAAATAAAAAATAAAAAAATAAAAAAATATGTGTGTATATATATTTATTTATTTATTTTAGTGTTTCTCTTTTAAGCCTTTTTTTTCTGTGCATGTTTCTTCATCTCACACATACATATTAAGGGCCAATCCTCCAATCTTAAACTGAAGATGTAGAGTTTTGACAGTCTCTATAATGACATGATGATGTTCAGCACTCTTGCAGCTTATGCATGTTGCATGGCAAAACATAAAATCTAATGACTGGTCTATAGTTAAAGCTGTAGCATGAACACTATCTGTTGCCCTGAGCTGTTTTAGGGGTGGGATGTTAAAGAAAAATGGAAAGGAAGAAAGAATTCAAAAATTTGTTTATTATAGCTGTTTCTCTTTTATGAATAATGTCTTTTTACAATGGAAAAATACCAGAAATTAAATTCTCATTAGATAATGTGCTTTCTGTTTTGTTCTGAAGGGAATTCCCATCACAGTTGCATTAATTCCCCTGAGAGACATCTCCATATGCTTCGGACAACATCTGATTTTACTTTTGTGTTCTGATTTCAGAGTCTTTGAAATACCTATCCCATAATGTGTCGCAGTGGAATGGATGTGGTTATTATAATCTTGGTTTTAAGTGTAATAAATTTTACTGGGCTGGGTTTGGTTGTAACTGATGAAAGCATATACTAGAGCTCAGCTTTCTTGGGGTCTTTGTATTAGCTGGATTCTTTACAATTCTATCTTGGGATTTAGGATCTGTTTCAAGAAGAAAAAGCGTTATTTCTATTTGATTATGCAAGCCAGTTCTTTAAGCCTTTAGGACATCAGATGGATGGAGGTGACTTGCTGGCCTTTGTTGCCTTTAACTCTAGTATTCGGCTTCTTTCTGAGGAAGGTGCCAAAACGGCTTCCGTATCTGCTGAAGGAAAAGAGGGAGTGGGAAGAGGGGAGAAATATTTCATTGGAAGATAAAAAAAGCTCTTTCCAGCAATTTCCTTTAGAAACTTGGGGGTTGCTGTTAGTCTCATTTGGGTAATGGGCCCCAAGGAAAAGTGACAAATGGCCTTCTTCTGGGGTTTAAACACTAAAGGTCAGTGTTGGCCCTTTTCACAGTTAAGAGGGAAAAATCTGAGCTGGGCTGGGTGGACTTTCTCCAACTAAGGGATTCTTCTGAAACTCCTAACCTGATGGGAATCATTTTGTTTGCAGGTGGCCAAAGCCCATCAAGGGAAATGCTTGATGGTTACTGTGCCTGAGCTGCCTGAAGCCTGGTGTAGGAGTCTCAACTTGATCTTGAGGCAGCTGCAAATGTTAGGTCTTGACACTTGGGATGGCAACAAGACCAGGCAGTGCCCAGAGTGGTCCCAGCGGCCTAGGTTAGAGGAGGGTAGGGGGCTGGAATGTGGCCTTAGCCAGTCCTCTGAGCAGATGAGAATACCTGTCACTATTTCAGGAGATGAGTTGTGGTCAGAGATATCAGTCAGGTGACTTCTCTGAGAGGGGCCTGGTCCTTCTCACAGCAAGATTGACAAGTCTGTGCTGCCAGTTGTCCCTAAATACCCAATTTATCTCCTGGGGTGGAGTTGGGGAAGTGCCTCTAGCCTGGAGCAAAGAGATCTGCCTGCCATTTCGGAAGGAAAGAAACCAGCACACATCCTGTCTTTCATTCTCTGTTTCAAAGGTAGGTTTTTGTCTGTTTGCTTGTTTTTAAATCAACACCCAGGGCTAAAGGAAATCCCGAGTTTCCCTGATAATCAGGATGATTTCTTATTTTGAAAGGCCTATTTTGCCTTCGAAGTGTGTGTTTCTGACATAGGTTTCATCCTAGTTCTAGAAATCTTGCTTAATTCATAAAAGGTAAAAGTTTAATTAGAGAGAAGGCTGATGTATCGTCTTGTTTCAAAGGGAGACTATTCTTGTCTGTCATTTGAATTTTTTATATATATTTTTTCCGGCTGTGAAGAAATATTTTATTGGTACATGTGTACATGCATTTTTTATTCTTAATTATAGTATGTATTTTCACTGGACTACACTCTTGTTAAAGGAAACTTTGTTCACGTGAAATAAACCTATCTTTAGTGAGTCATACTTGAGAACTGCTTCTCAGTCTCCTCAACTTTTAAAGTCAGTGGTATTTCATGTAAAGAGTGTATCGGTAGCTGGCCTATCTCTGGAATGTTGTGCAGCTGTGCAGAGCGTGAGTCTCAAATGTGCTAATTAAATATGTTTTTTAGCAAGAATGGAATGTAGCAGCATTTGAATGGCTTCAAAAAACATTCCATTTTGTTTCTGAAGAGGGCTTTTTTCGTTTTTGCCAAATATTAAAAATTAGAGAGTACACTGACTTTTAGAGGATGTATTGCTATGTTAAATTGTTCTGTTCACCAGAACAGGGTGGCATGTGCCTGTAATCCTAGCTACTTGAGAGGCTGACGTGGGAGGATCTCTTGAGCCCAGGGCTTCAAGACTAGCCTGGGCAGAGTAGAAAGAACCTGTCTCAAACCCCACACTGTTCTTTTCGCAGAGTTAATGGGGCTCATTAAATACTGAGATTATCCTTTAGAACAATCTTGTCCAACCTACAGCCTTTGAATGTGGCCCAGCACAAATTTGTAAACTTTCTTAAAACATTATGAGATATTTTTTGTGATATTTATAGCTCATTAGCTATCATTAGTGTTTTACTTTATGTATAGCCCAAGACACTTCTTCTTCCAGTGTGGCCCAGGGAAGCCAAAAGATTAGACACCCCTGCTTTAGAATGTACTCAATTAATAATCTTCAAAATGTAGGGATTAGGTGGGGTGGCTCATGCCTGTAATCCCAGCACTTTTGGAGGCCAAGGTGGGAAAATTGCTTGAGCCTAGGAGTTTGAGACCAGCTTGGGCGACATGGTGAGACCTGGTCTCTACGAAAACAAACAAAAAGAACAGAATGTAGGCAGTGGTGGCATGAGTAAGGTTCTAAGGTTTACCATCTTTAGTTGATCTTGCTCATTTCCCTTGGTATCAGTTCTCCTTCCTTACTTGGTGAGTGCTTAACCTTTCTTTGGGCAGTAAGGCATGACATTTCTCCCCAGGTTGAGCAGTTTTCTGATACATATTTTTTGGCTGAGTGTGACTTGTATCTTTTTGGACTAAGCTCCATTCACTCAGATGGTGGTCTGATTTTTTTTTTTTTTTCAGTCAGGCATTGTGCAAAGTGACCTGATGGGAATAAATGGCAGGTTGGTTGTGTAATGCAGCAACATCTTACTTGGTTGTCTTTAGAGATAAGTGGGACGTGATTCCAGCAAGGCTGTGCATCAAATGTTGGAATGTGTTGGAGAACTGCCAAGAGGTTGGGAGCAAGCTGTGTGACAAGCACTAATGCAGCCTTGGCCTGCCTTAAAATAGCTGCAGGTTAACAAATATCTTGAAACTTGGCATTTCTTTTGAGCAAAATTGCTCCTCTGAATGTGTTACCAAGAGGTGCTTTCCTCTTTTTTATCGATTTTTTTTTTTTTTTTTTTGCTGTTCCAACTGTCTTAAAACATCTTATGAGCATATGAAGAAGATATAATTCTCTGTAACATCTTATGTTGAATGATTTTACTGGACTAATTATTAGCACATTATCTGAAACTTCACTTGTAGTTCTTCTGCTCTGCTCACCCAACTCACTGAAAAATATATAGTCTTTGTAGTTTGAATAAAAACTGGGGCCCTGAAGATGTTTTTTTTTTTTTTTTTTTTTTTGAGACTGAGTCTCGCTCTGTCGCCCAGGCCAGAGTGCAGTGGCGCGATCTTGGCTCACTGCAAGCTCCGCCTCCTGGGTTCACACCATTCTCCTGCCTCAGCCTCCTGAGTAGCTGGGACTACAGGCACCCACCACCACGCCCAGCTAATTTTTTGTATTTTTAGTAGAGACAGGGTTTCACCATGTTAGCCAGGATGGTCTCGATCTCTTGACCTCATAATCCGCCCGCCTGGACCTACCAAAGTGCTGGGATTACAGGCATGAGCCACTGCGCCCAGCCTGAAGATTTTTTTTAAAAGTCCTATATTTTATATGTTTGATAGGCTTTTGGAAAGGAATTATTGATGTTTGAACACTAACACATTAGAGAGGCAGAGTCAGAGGCATTGGTTACTTTGCTGTGGAATCTTGTCTTAGCTGATTCACTTTTAGACTTCTTAGTAAGCTCATTGGTAGTTTGTCTGCAGTACTTAGTTCTTGTTTGTAATTAATTCACTGTCTAACTGTAGTCTCTCAATTTTTTTCAATAGAAAGGCTTGTTTTTTAAGTCAGAGTGGTAAAAACAGGGGGGGTTGGGAGTGGTCTTTGAAATGGGTCCTGTACAGACTTGAGCCTGATGGTGATGTGATCAAGGTTGCAGGGGGTGTGGGTACCTGGGTGGGGCTGGGGCTGCCTGTGGGACTAATCTAAACAGCCAGTTAGTTTGGGTGCTCTGAATATGACATTTTTAAAAATGCAGTATTTGGGTTAATGATTGGAAGTAAACTAAGAATTTCCAGGATTTATATGTTAAATAGCAGATGAAAACAGTGAGTTACATGTTAAATAGTAGATGGAAACAGTGAGTTAACTTTATTTTGAGAGGCTTAAATACAAACCAAGTTTCTATACTAAAGGATTTCCTAAAAGATGATATTAACAGATATGTTAATTATCCCATAACTTAAAGTCCTTTAGACGTTTAGATTGAGACTAATTGTGATAATTTCATAGCTCTGTAGCGTATCCTGAAAATGGCTTTGTTTCTTTTGTTTCACTGTCTTCATATGTGTAAGTCTTGAATTTTGCTTTGTCACTTTCCGTATTTTACATGTATTTTAGAGGTCCTCTCCTTGTATAGAAACATTATTTCTGGTTTTATGTAAGTGCCTTATACAGAGATTTATAATTTGTAATTACTGTACTTTTTGGTCAATAGAATTGAGGTTATTTGGGGTATGTTTTTAGAATATGTTAAAAACCATATTTTGTGTTTTTATAACATAGAAAAATATTTCTTGGAAAATGCGTGTGTGGGCAGCTTCTTTTAGATGTATTGATCTTTTCACTTTCAGATGGCAAATGAATTCTATATGGCATTGTTGCCATGTTGGAAAATTTCTTTATTGAGCCTATGACTTCTAAAGTATCAAAATTCTGTTTTTGCTTTTCCCTTTTATTGGACATCTCCAGTTTTGTTTTTTTTTTAAGCACACACGCACACACATACACACACATCCTTGGATAACTGAACTGGTAAATTGTATTGAGGAGAGGTGAACTACAGGCCACCATTTCCTTTTTACTTAGCATACCATTATCTGGTCCCCTCATGTGAAAATATATTTTGGATAGTTTTCACCTCCCACCATCTATTAATTTAGAGTGTGCATTCCTTTAACCTTGCAGGAGAATTCAGTCATTCATTATACGATAAGCAGGCAAAAAGTTAAATACTCAAATGTTCCTTTTCTGGATTATTGTCTGAATTAGAAAAACATTCATTTTAAATTTTACACATGTATATGGGATGTTCTGTCTCCTCGTCTGTATGCCTTGTACTGGCACAAGCTTATAGGACTAGGAACAAATAAGCTTAGCATTTAAAATATTCCAGACATAAAAAATCTATGGAATTTGCTTATATCTACTGGGGGATGCAGTCAGACAGACCCAGGGTTTTAACTGGCTCCTTCTGCAGTGTGAAGGCAGACGGAAACATTGGAGTCTGCTGCAGATGGCAGCAGGGTGGACAGGTGAGGCCCACATGGAAGTTCATACCACTGGTAGGTGGAGTAATGAGTTGGTGTATGAAATGCTAGCCATTTTAGATGTTTCTACAGCTGTTGTTGGCTAGCTGAAAATAAATTGAACTTGTTGAACTGGTAAAAGTTTTGCTGTCTGAATAGGCTTAGATAAAATAGTGCTTCAGATGCCTATAAAGATGTCTATTGTAACATTACTATGATTTTTTTAAGTGGTGATAACCTAAAAGTCCATCATTGGTAAGTTACAGGGTGGACTATATATTCTGGAGGCAATACAGTGTGTAGTTAAAAGTGCTGACCGTGGAGCTGTGGTGCCTGGGTCTAAAACCTGATTTCACCATGGGCCCACTTTGTGACCCTGAGCAAGTCATTAACCCTTCTCGGTCTCAGTTTCCTCATCAGTAAGATCAGGATAATCATAGTACAGACCATATAGGGTTGGTTGGATTAAATAAGTTATAGGTAAAGCAGTTAGACTAGTGCCTGGAAATATGTAAGTATTATTTACTATATTAATAAAAACTTTAATATTATTATGGAATACCTTCTAATAACATGGGAAGGTTTTTAACATAGGGAGAAAAAGCAGAACACAAGATTATATAAATGGAATTACCGTAACTATGTAGAAAAATATACAAAAGGGATAAGGAAATACTACAAATATTAAGGTTTTTGGGGGAGGGGAGAATGGATGAGATTCCTTGTGATTTTTGCTTTTGTCTCAGAGCTGTTTTGTATTTTCTGCTGTTCTACAGTAAGCATATGTTACTTCTATAATTTGAAAAAGTAAACTTTGTTTTCAAAAGTGGATGTAGGCTGGGCGCAGTGGCTCATGCCTGTAATCCCAGCACTTTGGGAGGCTGAGGCGGGTAGATTGCCTTCAGGTCAGGAGTTCGAGACCAACCTGGCCACATGGTGAAAATACAAAAACACAAAAAATTATAAAAATACAAAATATAAAATTATAAAAATACAAAAAATTAGCCGGGCGTGGTGGCACATGCCTATAATCCCAGCTACTCAGGAGGCCGAGTCAGGAGAATCACTTGAGCCCGGGAGGCAGAGGTTGCAGTGAGCTGAGATCGCGCCACTGCACTCCAGCCTGGGTGACAAGAGCGAAACTCCGTCTCAAAAAAGAAAAAGAAAAGTGGATGTATCCCTTGCAAACGGTTAGTTTGTCAATTATAAGAACAGCTTATTCTTTAAAAGCTTAGGGCCTTCCGTTTGGCAACAGTTTGTCTCCTTTTGGTTCCATAATACTTCCACATTCTTACAGAAGCTAATGGGAAATGCTGGATTAAACCACATTATCTATGCTGTTATCTATGTTTAGAAACTTTTAATGATGACAGATATGCAGTCCCTTCTCTCTGTGGTCACATGGGAGAATCACTCTTGCCTGCTCCCCTTGCATTTTGGTGGCATGTTGGACTAGTTCTGAGGAATGGCCTGTGTCCAGACTGCAGCCAGAGTCCTTGAGTGAGAATGGTAGAGCCTCCTGCTACCATGTGACAGGCACGTAACATGAGTGGGAAACATGCTTCTGTGAGTTTGAGCCACAGAACGGCATTCTTACAGAGTGCCTTGGAGTAATGAAACTCAAAACTATTTTTTAAATTCATCATTTAGTATTTTCCACTAATTCAGACTCATTGTTTAGTGAAAAGAATACAGCCATCGGTAAGGCACATGACTGTTATTAACAGTATGAATTTAGACAAATTATGTAATAGAGTTTTAGTTTTCTTGTGTCAAAGGCCTCACCTCCACAAACTACAAACAAAACTTTTGATGCTTCAAATTAGTCCATACCAGAGTGTTTAGTTTTAATTCACTGCTCTTTAGTGCTTGAAATGAGATTCTTTAGACCAAAGTGGCCTTAAAGGTTCATTCTTGTTGTATGCTTATTCCACATTTCTCTATATATTTATTTTGTCACTTCTGGTCACTATATATAGGTTTATTTAAGAAAAATTCCCTTCCATAGTTTATCAGGCAGGTTAGGCTGGTGCTGCAGTAACAAAGATCTCCAGAATCTCGGTGGCTCAAACTCACAGATGCGTATTTTCCACTCATGTTACTTGTCCGTCACATGGTGGCAGGGTGCTCTGTGCCATCCTCACTCAAGGACGGTGGACTGATGGGCTAGATGCAGGCCATTGATCAGAATAATCAAATGCCCCGCCCAAATGCTAGGGTAGCAGGTAAGAGTAATCCTCCCATGTAGCCACAAAAAGAAGAGACTGGGTATGTGTGATCATTAAAAGTTTCTAACTAAACATAGATAACAGAGTAGGTAATATGGTCGAATCCAGCATTTCCCATCAGCTTCTTTGAAGCACCAGTTTTGCAGTATGTTCACATGTACTGTTGATAAAGGGCATCTCCTGGTCAAGTAAATCTGGAGAATGCTGGGCTTAATAACATGTACTAGGCCTCTTTAGTGAAGGTCGTCTCCGAGCTGTTGTATCCTAACAGGCATTCTGGAGGTGGAGAGTAACATACGATGTTTCCCAAACTTACCTGACCTTTGAATTATTTTCTTACTTTTCATAGCCTCTCTCGGATGCAGGTTTTGTTGAACATGCTTTGGGATACCCTAATTTGTCTAACTTGTTCTCATACAAAGCAAGTATTTGGAATTGCATTTTAATTAATACTTGCATTGGGAAGAAGCTTTGTTTTTATTGTTTGTTAAAAGAGTTGACTATTTGAAGAGAGATTTTTTCTATTGCAAATCAAATTGCAGGCAGTGTTTTTAAAAATTAGTTATTACTGGTTACATGCCTGTGTTGAATCCATAGGACTTTTTCTTCATTTAGTTGCCTTTGTGTTCTAAACTTACCATTGAAAAGAGAAAGGTAAATAAACTTTGACCACATATCTTAGTGGTTATAAAAAAATTAAATTGGTTTGGACAGATGGTCCAAACACACCGAGTTTTTTTTTTATTGGCTTCAGTGTTTTTCTTGGTTCTCTTTGACTTTCTGTAACAAGTTTTCTAGAAGTTTTGAAATGAGATACTACTGAAATGAGGGCTCTGATAAGAAACAGAGAGATAACTTTTGTCAAGAGGTATTAAATATTTCTCTACCAGAAGACTTTGGATTTAAACACAACATTTGTTGCCAGGGATTTTATGCCTGCGTATGTAACAAATCTTAGTATGGAAGTTTTCACTTAAAATGGCTGTAAACTTCATGTAATAAACTTTAGGTAAGAAGGAGCAGCCTCCCCAACCCCCGTTTTGTAACTGTACATGGGTAAAACTTGATAAAGACTAAACTCTCTAACTCCCCAGACTTTCGGATTTGTGGCATTACCTTTTTTTTTTTTTTTAATTAATTAATTCACTTTCTATTAGAAATCATGTTAAATCCAGGCCAAGAATTCTTTTTTCATTTTCTGTTTTGTTTGCTTTTTTCCTTTGTGAGTAAACAGGTGCGAAGGACAATTGCTGTTTTATGACAGGAAACACACTTTTAAAGCTGTCAGTTACCTCACAGCCCCACCCTACCCTTTTCCTGCTGCCATTACGATTAAGACTGACTGGTAGGCTGGGCGCGGTGGCTCATGCCTGTAATCCCAGCACTTTGGGAGGCTGAGGTGGGCGGAGCACGAGGTCAGGAGTTCGAGACCAGCCTGGCTAATATGGTGAAACCCCGTCTCTACTAAAAATGCAAAAATTAGCTGGCATGGTGGCGGGTGCCCGTTATCCCAGCTACTCAGGAGGCTGAGGCAGGAGAATTGCTTGAACCTGGGAGGCGGAGGTTGCAGTGAGCCAAGATCATGCCGCTGCATTCCAGCCTGGGTGACAGAGTAAGAGTCCATCTCAAAAAAAAAAAGACTGGTAGTAGACTTTGCTTTTTAAAGGTGACTTGGGAGGATTTGAGGCAGAGAAAACCTTCTTCAGAGCCACAGTTCCCAGTCTTATCCTTTTTGTTGATACCAGTATTGTGGAAAAAGCATTCATGACCCATCACAAAAACATACATTAAGAAAACATTTTTCACATGGTCTGAGGCTGACAGGAATCAGGCTTAATGTATCCAGGGATATGACAAACATGGGAACCTGCACCAGTTGCCACAGAGCTGTCCGATCCTGGTCCCAGGGCCCTTGTCTGTGGCAGGTCTTCCCCGGGGAAGAGATTTCACTCTCTTATGAGAACGCTCGTGTTTCATGCCCTCAGATGCTTGTGTCAGGTTCCAGTGATGGTAGCCTTGGAGTAAGTCTGCCTTTGAGAGAGGATTGTTTTTTTTCCTCACTCTTCAAGGACCTGTAGTGGGTCCCCTGATGGGCCACCCTCTGGACCTGGTCAAATGTTGGGGAGTTTCGTGGAAGAGCAGTGTTTTCACATTACAGGGTGCAGCTCACAGTCAGAAAGATTGTAGAGGATCATAGAATTGGAAGTTTTGGGTCTGGGCCGAACCCTGTAGATCTTAGTACATCCACATGATTGTATCAAAGAAGAGTCCAGAGCTCCGAGAGGCTAGGTGCAATCACACAGCTTCACACAAGAGTAAGGGCTGAAACTATTGCTGTTAACAGATATGTGGAAGTACTTGGTGTCCTTGCAACTATTTCCAGTGTGCTGAACCTTGAAAGGCATCTTACTTCTGCTAATTGGAACCACTTGGGATGCATTTTAAAATTATATAAATGAAGTAAGCCTACAAGTTTATGCTCATGTTTACTGTTTTCATGTTGTCAAACTGTTAATAGCATGAATGGTTAAACATTTGCTGGGAAAATAGAAAGTGTTCTGAAAATACACAATACCAGAGATAAAAAAAGATGTATGTACGTATATGTGAGTGTGTGTGTATATATATGTGTATATATATATATGTTTTATTACTAGGGAAAGGAGGAAAGCCCATTGTGTATGGAACTAAAAGCCAGAACCTACTGCATGTCCACCTTTGTTTTAATAAAAATAACAAACAACTGAGTGTCCTGGCTGCCTGGCCAGGCTGAAGGAAAGTAAAGGTTGTTTTAAAATAGAAAAAGATCTGGTTAAATATTTGACCAGATACTTTGATTAAGTTGAAATGTTTAAACATTTTCAGGCCCAGGGATGTCAGTGAAGGCTGACTGCAGAGTCTTCTCTGCCTGCAGATGACTTGTGTTGTGTATAGCAATGATTTAAAGGCAAATAAAGTATAGTTATAGAAAACATGACCCTTACCAACCGCCTCCCCCCCAAGTTGGTTTGTAACCATGTAAGAAATCTAAGGTATGATTGGTAAAATTAAATAAATAAATCCCATTGTTCCAGTCCTCTTCTGTGGAAGGTAGGACTTGGGAGGGAGTATTTTACAGTGGTTAGGTTCTGTTTCTTGGAGCCACACTGCCTGGTTGGAACCCTGCCTCTGCTGGTTACTGACTGTGGTCTTTGGTAGGTGAACACATAATTTATTATCCAAACTAGGTAATTTATGAGAATGAAAGGAGACACTTTTAATAGTTGTACCAGTACAGCAGGCATAAACTAGGAAGGTCTGAGGCAAACCAGATAACATGGTCACTCTAGTCTTAACGAAGTTACCTAATCTTGGTGTCTTGGTTTCTTCACATTGTGGAAGGGACATGACTCACTTCCTAGGGTGTTAAGATTAAATGCAATAAAACATGTAAAGTTTTGCAATGTTGTTTGGCACATAGCTATTCAATAGTTGTAGCTATTTAAAAAATTATTTAGGGTACTTAATTCATGTAATAACCATTTAAGTATTCAGTTCGCTTTCTATTATCTTTATATTATTTCTCCCAAGCAAATTTTGCTTTTTTTTTTTCCAAGAGGCAAGGTCTCACTGTGTTGCCCAGGCTGGCCTCTAACTCCTGCGCTCAAGTGATCTTCCTGCTTCAGCCTTCCAAGCAAACTTTGCTTTTAATAACATTAATATTTACTAATGGCTTATTCCATTTATGGCACCTGCTCAAACTTAATTGCTTGCTTTATCTGAGCCCTTTCCTCAGATAAAGGCTCAGAAAGTAAAATTGACTTTTACTTTTTCAGCTACGTGTATATGTGGCACTTAATTATATAATTAGCACCTGTGGCCCAGAGATGGGTGCTGGGTATTGGGACACTCATTTATCAGGTTGTGTGTAATTAGCATCTACACTGGAAAGCACCTTTTGAACAGCTGGCGCTGAGATACAGAATGGTTGGGAGGTTGAGTGGGTGGGGAGTGGCAAAGCCCAACCTCTTCTGCCTCTTTTAAAAGTTGGATTTTTCCCAGAGTAGTGATATGCAGGGTTGCCAGATTTAGGAAAAACAAAATCAAACAAAAAAGAAGCCAGAATGCCTGGTTAAATTTTAATTTCAGATGAACAACACATCGTTTTTTAGTGTAAGTTTGTCTTATGCAGTATTTGAGACATACTTATCCTAAAAATTCATTGTTTATCTGAAATTCAGCTTTAACTTGATGTCCAGTATTTATCTAGCAATCCTAGTTTTGTAATCCGAAAGAATTTTTATTCTATTCAGTATAACCCACATTCAGATGTATATGAAACATGTAGTCCAGATCCTTTTATAAGTATTGTGTTAATTTTTTAAAAAATCCATGTTGTCTACCCTCCATTGGAATGGATGGTTGAGAAGTCATCACTGAGTTGCTGCTGCTGGTTCCCACAAAGGCCAAGATGAAAAAGAATTCAGTCTGGTTTGCCACAGCAGCAGGGATTTACATTTGCTCTTTGAGAACTTATTGGCTGTGAATGTGGATGAACTTAAGCCAGCTCTTCTTCCTTGCAGGGGAGTCCATTAGTTAAGGTGACTTATTGAAGCCCTGGCCAGCTCTAGGAGTTCTCGGTTTTATAATTGAATTACTTTAGTAATATTAAATAATTTGGGGAGGGGGTTAATTTTGGGTCATTTATATTTCACTTGTCAATGTAGAGGGAGCTACTTTTATTGTCATTAAGAGTGACATTCATCCTGGTGCCATGGTGAGCACCTGTGGTCTTAGCTACTTGGGAAGCTGAGGTGGGAGGATCACTTGAGCCCAGGAGTTTGAGGCCAGCCTGGCAACAAACAAAATCCACATCTCTAAGTAATAATGATGATGATGATAATAAAATCCTAGAAATGAAGAACAGGTTTGGAAAAAAAAAAAAGTAACCTTCAGATACTCTTCCCATTAGAATCTCTCTTGCTGTTTTTGATTTTCAGCAGTGCTGCCCAGAAAGTGCTGGTGAGCTTTTTGCCCCAGCTTTGGAACTCTATCAGCAGTCAACCCTGAAGGGCATGGCATGCCTTTGGGAAATGCTGATTGGAAGATTAGAGGCTGCAGAAACCTGAGTGTGTGTGTGTGTGTGTGTGTGTGTGTGTGTGTGTGTGTGTGTGTGTGTTTTGTTTTGTTTGTTTGTTTGTTTGTTTTCCAAACTCTGGATATGATGCCTCTGTTAAACCAAGTCCCTGAGGAAAAGCTTCACCAGATTAATGATACACTTGGTGAAATTAGTAATGGCAAGTAAAGGTTGAGATTTGTGCCTGCTGGACAAGAGTGAGCCAGAGCAAATGGATTTTGGACCAATACCGGCTTTTTAATTGCTGCCATTTAAAGAGTTTAATGTCCCCAGTGAAAAAGCACAGGTTTCAGATAATCTTTTGAAGAAAAATGCATAGTGGTAAGAGCTTACTGTTAGGCGCAGAGAGTGTGTGGATGGGTTAGCCAAGGGAAGGAATCCAATTAAAGCTGTTTGTTCGGAGTACTAGATTTGGAGGTGTGTTTTATTGTTAACTGGTAACTTTCCAGAAAATGAATTATTTGTATATAAAGATTGATACTAGCCAGGCTTTATATACTGACAGTTATTTGTAAAACCTCTTTGCTTCCTCCTTTTACCTTCTTTTCTGAGCTGTCTCTTTTCCTCCGCATGGCTTCCTTTATAAAGCAGCCCATTTTTTGGACATGGTTTTGCTATTGATGAGCCTGAGGTGTGGCATAGTACCACAGGATTGCATGATGAGTGGGATATTTGGCCTCATTATTTACATGGCTTAGTTTTTGGTGTTTGAAGTGCCTGGTCGGATAGGGATTGACTATTAATGGTAGACATTTTCACATTTTGGAGCACTGATCCTCAATCTTGGCAGCGCATTGGCATCCCCTGAGGAGACTTAAAAAAATGCAGGTGTCAGCCGGGCATGGTGGCTCATGCCTGAAATTCCATTGCTTTGGGAGGCTGAGGAGGGAGGATCACTTGAGTCCAGAAGTTCAAGACCAGCTTGGGCAACATAGCAAGACCTCATCTCTACAGCAGGAAAAAAAAAAAAAGAAAAAATTAGAAACAATTAGAGAAAAAATGCAGATGTCTGGGTCCCACTTCCAGAGAATCTGATTGAATTGTCTGGGATACAGAATGGGCACCAGGACTTGCAAGAGGTCCTCAGGTGATTGTAACATAAGCCAAGTATGCATGCTATCCTCTGGCCTCCCCTCAAAATTATGTCTCTGGCCTGTGCTGTCCAGTAGGGAGCCATGAGCACCAGGAAGTTACTTATGTTTATGTGAATTAAAATGAAGTAAACTGAAACTTCATTTCCTCAGTCACACTAGCCACATTTCGAATGCTCAGTAGCCACACATGGCTCATGGCTGCCCTGTTGGATAGTATAGATATAGAACATTTCCATCACAGCAGACAGTTTCATTGGGCAGCCTAGATCTAGGGTGTCAACAAAACATGGGAGGAGCATGAACATTTAAGAAGCCTGACACAGGAAGGACAGGCTTGGAATAAGTAATCCCACAGGACTTGGCAGTACTGAGTCACTCCATACTTTTTTAAGCAGCCTTTTTCTCAATGGTCTTTTGGCACCAGAAGCCCCACAGCAGTTGGTGCAATGGATTATGTGTCACATCTTACAGAAAGGCCCCGTTTAAAGCAGGCTGGCCCGAAGGGGTGTGGTGAGGACTGGGGGCAGGCAAATGTGACCCTGAGGAGGCCGGGCCAGGGAAGAGAGAATGCAGCTTTATTCTTTCAGAGCCGAGGAATGCCCTGGAAGGGAACCGAAGCCTGAGTATTGGGGTTAAACTAGGTGAGAGGAGATTTTTATCTCTTCTGCTGGAGAAAGACCTGCCTCAATAGTTTGCCTCTGCTGGCTCATCTCTAGTGTGTGGGAAACAAGGACAGTGCTAGCACATATTTCCCGTGAAATAAACTCCCATTATGGGCCCCCATGTTCTTGGAGCACTGGGCACCACGGGGTTAAGAATGGAATCAATTATGTTCCATGTTTGTTCAGACATAGCACATAAGATCCAAGGAAGGTAGGGTCACGGAAAAGCGAGGGGTTAGAGGAAACATGAAGTGTATACCAAAGGATGCGGATTTTCTACCCGTTGCTTCCCTCAGCAGGACCTTTTTGGAGATTGTTCCTCCTGCAGGCGTGAGAAACCCTCACGTGGAGAGGCTGTCTGGAAGCCCGCAGTCTGGTCTGTACCATCCAGGCTCTTTGCTGTGCCTTCCTGTCTCCTGCATTTCGCTGGACATTAGCACCTCCCCAGGAGCAGATTTCTGTTGCTTTCTGTGAGCCCACTATAAAGAAAATGCCAAGTGTTCCTGGGCACAGGAAGTGGGTAGGAAGAGCTCTGAGAATGCATGGATCAAAGGCACTTGGGTGATTTAGGGGTGTGACCCCCAGTGGCTTCACAGGGCCTGTGAGTCATTTCAAAGAGTTTCTCCTGTTTTGTCATTGTCTGCTGTTAAACCAGGGTGAAGTTTAAGTGCCTGTTGCAGACCTTATTGCCTTCTTGCTTTGTTCCGCTGGTCAGGTTAGTGTTCTTGACGGGGTTGTATCCAAATATCTGTATTGGGGCTGGGCATGGTAGCTCATGCCTGTAATTCTAGCACTTTGGGGGGCTGAGGCAGTCAGATCACCTGAGCCCAGGGGTTCGAGACCAGCCTGGGAAACATGGTGAAACTCTGTCTCTGCAAAAAATACAAAAATTGGCTGGGCATGGTGGTATGTGCCTGTGCCTTGGGAGGCTGAGGTTGGAGGATTACTTGAGCTCAGGAGGCAGAGGTTGCAGTGAGCTGTGATTGCACCACTGCACTCCATCCTGGGGGACAGAGTGAGACCCTGTCTCAACAACAAAACAAAACCAAATATGTCTGTTGGCAAGTGATAACTGCACGGTATTAACTGCCTTTCTCTGAGAAATAAATTATCGGGGCCCTCCTAGGACTTTTATATGCTTGGGAATTGTGTTTATTTTCCTCTCATTCACTTCAGTCCTGCTCTTGACTGCCAGAAGAGGCCTGCTCTCCTTCCTTTCCCATTGTCAGTAAATTTTAGACTTTTTGTTAGTACTCATCTGCTATTTTTAATTACATTTCACACTTTTATTTTGCCATTTTCTATATTCTCTTTCCTCAAGCTCAGAGAGCAAGGTAGGAAATGTTAACTTCTCCTAAGAACAGGAATATGGGAAGCTGGAAAGCCGAAAAAGAATGCTAAGAGGAATAATAGGAAAGCCAGCGTTGATGACAAGTGTCTTCTGTAGTTGCCATCCTGGTAACTCTTCAGGGTGCCACTATTCCTCTATGCTTATGGATGTTTGAGGCCTTTTATAGGATAGAATTTCAAAGGACAAGTAGAGAAGTGTTAACTCCTGGGAGTAGTTCGTTGGTTTTCCCTTCATCCTTTTGCCTGTACCCGGCGTGGGGTGGTTGTGTCGGAGACAAGCTCCCAGAAAGGCGCAATGTGGCTCATTCCAGGCCTCAAGCACCAGAATACGTTTAGCTTCAAAAATGACAAGTTTGATAAGAGTGTTCAGACCAAGAAAATTAATGCAAAACTTCCTGATATAGTATGTCAGCGCTATAAAGAAGTTCTTGAGTGTCGTGTAAAATACAAAAAATACAAACCATTATCAAACCTAAAAAATGTGTTAAATGTTTATGAAAGACAGTGAAGGATTCTTATCACACAGTGTGTAGACCATGCGCCTATGAACTTGAAGTTTGCACAGAATGTGGAAAGAAAGAAGACATTGTTATTCCGTTCAGTAAGGAACCAGAAAAAATAAAATATTGAAAACAATCGCCTCTCCCTCTCCCTCTCCCTCTCCCTCCGTCTCCCTCTCCGTCTCCCTCTCGGTCTCCCTCTCCCTCTCTTTCCATGGTCTCCCTCTGATGCCAAGCCGAAGCTGGACTGTACTGCTCCCATCTCGGCTCACTGCAACCTCCCTGCCTGATTCTCCTGCCTCAGCCTGCCGAGTGCCTGCAATTGCAGGCACGCGCCGCCACGCCTGACTGGTTTTCGTATTTTTTTGGTGGAGACAGGGTTTCACTGTGTTGGCCGGGCTGGTCTCCAGCTCCTAACCGTGAGTGATCTGCCAGCCTCGGCCTCCCAAGGTGCCGGGATTGCAGACGGAGTCTCGTTCACTCAGTGCTCAATGGTGCCCAGGCTGGAGTGCAGTGGCGTGATCTCGGCTGGCTACAACCTCCACCTCCCAGCCGCCTGCCTTGGCCTCCCAAAGTGCCGAGATTGCAGCCTCTGCCCGGCCGCCACCCCATCTGGGAAGCGAGGAGCGTCTCTGCCTGGTCGCCCATCGTCTGGGATGTGAGGAGCCCCTCTGCCTGGCTGCCCAGTCTGGAAAGTGAGGAGCGTCTCTGCCCGGCCGCCATCCCATCTAGGAAGTGAGGAGCGCCTCTTCCCGGCCGCCATCACATCTAGGAAGTGAGGAGCGTCTCTGCCCGGCCGCCCGTCGTCTGAGATGTGGGGAGCGCCTCTGCCCCGCCGCCCTGTCTGGGATGTGAGGAGCGCCTCTGCCCGGCCGCGACCCGTCTGGGAGGTGAGGAGCGTCTCTGCCCGGCCGCCCCGTCTGAGAAGTGAGGAGACCCTCTGCCTGGCAACCACCCCGTCTGAGAAGTGAGGAGCCTCTCCGCCCGGCAGCCGCCCCGTCCCGGAGGTGAGGGGCGCCTCTGCCCGGCCGCCCCTACTGGGAAGTGAGGAGCCCCTCTGCCCGGCCAGCCACCCTGTCCGGGAGGGAGGTGGGGGGGTCAGCCCCACGCCCGGCCAGCCGCCCCGTCTGGGAGGTGAGGGGCGCCTCTGCCCGGCCGCCCCTGCTGGGAAGTGAGGAGCCCCTCTGCCCGGCCACCACCCTGTCTGGGAGGTGTACCCAACAGCTCATTGAGAACGGGCCAGGATGACAATGGCGGTTTTGTGGAATAGAAAGGGGGGAAAGGTGGGGAAAAGACTGAGAAATCGGATGGTTGCCGTGTCTGTGTAGAAAGAAGTAGACATGGGAGACTTTTCATTTTGTTCTGTACTAAGAAAAATTCTTCTGCCTTGGGATCCTGTTGATCTGTGACCTTACCCCCAACCCTGTGCTCTCTGAACCATGTGCTGTGTCCACTCAGGGGTCAATGGATTAAGGGCGGTGCAAGATGTGCTTTGTTAAACAGATGCTTGAAGGCAGCATGCTCGTTAAGAGTCATCACCACTCCCTAATCTCAAGTACCCAGGGACACAAATACTGTGGAAGGCAGCAGGGTCCTCTGCCTAGGAAAACCAGAGACCTTTTTTCACTTGTTTATCTGCTGACCTTCCCTCCACTATTGTCCTATGACCCTGCCAAATCCCCCTCTGCGAGAAACACCCAAGAATGATCAATTAAAAAAAAATAATAAATTAAAAAAAAAAAAAGAAAATCTAAGTTCTAACCATAGAAGAAGCTGCAGAAGAAATGAAGAAAGGGATGATAATTTAGATTTTGATGTTGATTTAGAAGACACAGGAGGAGGCCAGGTGTGGTGGCAAGAGCCTTGCCGGGGTCTTCTGATGCTTGTATTGAAAAAACTGCTTTTGCTTTGTAACAAGCAAACATAAGTGTTGGTACTTTTGCTCTGAGTCATTTACGTGAGATCATTTATCAAACGGCGCTGAGGACCAGTTTTTGAGGCTAGCAATATAATAATGTCATCTTATTTTTATATGAGCTAGTTCTTACATAACCATCAATTCTGAATCTGGTTTACTTTGGTATTAGGTAATATACACAGTTTATATTGTTCATGTATAAAATTTGTTTTTCTATAGCTTTTTCTGATTTCCTCATTAGGATTTCTTTTTTTTTTTTTTTTTTTTGCTGCTTTTTAACTTTTTCAAAAATCAGCACAATTTTTCCCTTTGAAATTAAATAGATTACTTGGTTTCCAACATTTAATTTTGTCTATTATCAGAAAAAGTTTTCACGTAATGAAATTAAGCAATATAATATTAATGGAAAACATTATTCTCAGGACTAATTACTGCGCACCTTTGATGTGTACTTGTTTGCATTTACTATATGCATGACATACTACTACTGTACAATGAATCGCAGTGCAGAGTAATGATGATTCAATAAATGTAGATCTATTTTGCATATTTGCACAACTTAAGAAATACCAACATCATTTTCTCTGAGAAGCCTTCCCTGATTTTCAGCCTAGGTACAATTCCTCAGACATGTGTTCACAAAGCTGCATACTTTTCCTTCACAATATTATCTAATGTCACATTTCTTCATTAATAATTATTAATGTCAGTCTACCCACTAAACTAGAGTACCATTGCTTTTCTAGTGTTACAATAAATGAATAAATGAATCAGTGAAGTCATGTATCATTAGGATGTCGCAGTATCTTTTATGAAATACTCAAAGTCAAAAGTTGGTCAGAATTTCACATTCTTAAATTGGCTTTTAATATAGTGATATTAATTCACTTGATGGTCTCCTCCTGTGTCTTTTTTTTTTTTTTTGAGACGGAGTCTTGCTCTGTCACCCAGGCTGGAGTGCAGTGGCACGATCTCAGCTCACTGCAAGCTCCGCCTCCCAGGTTCACGCCATTCTCCTGCCTCAGCCTCCCAAGTAGCTGGGACTATAGGCGCCTGCCACCACACCCGGCTAATTTTTTGTATTTTTGGTAGAGACGGGGTTTCACTGTGTTGGCCAGGATGGTCTTGATCTCTTGACCTCATGATCCGCCCACCTCAGCCTCCCAAAGTGCTGGGATTACAGGCGTGAGTCACTGCGCCCGGCCCATCATATCCTTTATGAATAAGAATTTCTAGTCACTAGGTCCAGGAGTCTGTATTTTGAAATTCCTAGGTGATTTTGGTGACCATCCAAGTTTGAGACCCACTGGCCTTACCGTCATGCCTCAATTTTCAAATGAGGAAACTGAGGACTAGGGCGGGAAAGTGATTTCCTTGCAATTAAAGGCAGCCAGTGGTAAGACGAGACCAAGGACCTTTCGGAGGTCCCTTGCACCCCTGAGAGTCAGTGACTCTCTGTTTTCACCTTGGACTGCCGTGATGTCTGACTCATACTGTAGTCTTCTTCCTAAAATCCTCTTCTTTTTATTTTTTATTTTTGGCAGTGTGTTGAATTCTCCTCTAGTTTCATTCAGTGAGTGCTATTTCTTGCTTCATTATAAAAGGTGGTGTGTCACAGGTCCTGTGTGATCACACAGGCTAAGTGTAAGCTTTGAGAATGATCTCTTGGACCCTTTTTCTCAGATTTCAGTGTTGTGCATTATTATCTCATCGTGGTGGCTTCTTTGTGATTTAGTTTCCCCTCCTCCCTTCACCATAAAAAAAGTCTTATCTCCTGATGTATTTTTGGCTGCAGAATAACTCCAGATGGTACATTTTGTGTAGGGAAAAAAAATAACAGAATTTTTCACACTCTTCTGTGAATTATTTTTTGACTTTCAATTATAATGAAGTTATTAATCTTACAAAGGCTCGCTTTGTAAAGAGACTAATCTGAATAAACTTGCTTGTATACAATAAGTGCCATGGCAAAAATTAAGAGTACAGTTATTATCAGAGACTAAAATAACAATTTAATTTTCTAGAAATAGAAAATTAAGAAAAATAACTTTTAATGCTGGGATTTGACATTAAGAAATGAATGACAAAAATGGGACCAAATAAAATGCTGTAATTGGCCAGACATGGTAGCTCATGCCTGTAATCCCAGCACTTGGGGAGGCTGAGGTGGAAGGATCACTTGAGCTCAGGAGTTCAAGACTAGCCTAGGCAAAACCTGGTCTGTATTTAAAAAAAAAAAAAAAAAAAAAAAACCAGGCATGGTGGTGTGTGCCTACAGTCCCACCTACTCAGGAGGTAGAGGCAGGAGGATCACTTGAGCCCAGGAAGTTGAGGCTATAGTGAGCCATGATCATGCCACTGTGCTCCAACCTGGGCAACAGAGTGAGACCCTGTCTCAAAAAAAAAAAAAATAGTAAATGGTATAACTGAAAGTACCTTGAAAAAATATGGCAATATGCAGTTGCAAGTTGCTGATTTTTAGAATCATAATTCTAAGCCGGATGTGGTGGCTCACACCTGTAATCCCAGCACTTTGGGAGGCTGAAGTGGGTGGATCACTTAAGGCCAGGAGTTTGAGACCAGCCTGGCCAACATGGTGAAACCCCGTCTTACTAAAAATACAAAAATTAGCCAGGCGTGGTGGTGTGCATCTGTAATCTCTGTTCTTGGAAGGCTGAGGCATGAGAATCACTTGAACCTGGGAGGTGGAGGTTGCAGTGAGCTGAGATCGTGCCACTGCACTCCAGCCAGGCTGACAGAGAGAGGGCACCCTGTCTCAAAAAAAACCCAAAAATCACAATTCTGATTTGAGAGCTGATGACAGTTGCAGATGATTAAGAGCTTTTACAAAGAGCGTGCATACATTTAGCAATCTCTAATTGGGAATGTTTTGGAAAACACTCCTGAGAATGTAGGTTATTTATAGAAGATGTCCTTTACTTTGATATAATCTTCCTAATGTGGTTTTTATCAGTTGGATTTTTCTGGATCAACGAGAAGACCTATGAGCCTAAAATGTTTGTAATTCTAGCTGTGTTTCTATAAGAACATGAGAGAACCTCGGCATTAACCATTCTTGCTGGTCTCACAGAACACCCCAAAAATCTGTGCAGTTTTGCTGGAGTGATGACAGAGAATGGAAAACAAGTTTATGAATTTTTTTTTTTTTTTTTGTGAGGCGGAGTTGCACTTGTCACCCAGGCTGGAGTGCAATCTCAGCTCACTGCAACCTCCGCCTCCCAGGTTCAAGCGATTCTCTTCTTTCAGCCTCCTGAGTAGCTGGGATTACAGCTGCGTGCCACCATGCCCTGCTAACTTTTGTATTTTTAGTAGAGACAGGGTTTCACCATGTTGGCCAGGCTGGTCTTGAACTCCTGACCTCAGGTGATCCGCTCGCTTCGACCTCCCAAAGTGCTAGGAGTACAGGCAAGAGCCACAGTGCCTGGCCTGTTTATGAAGATTTTATAAACAGATTTCTAAATTCAGAAAGTATTTAAGGGATCCCCTCTGGTGGCACTTTAATTCAGATGGGGTCCACAAAATAGGAAAATATTTACTAGGAAATTTGAACAATCTTGAAATCACTGAAAATGGTGATGTGATTCTCCAGAAATTTCTGATTGGGAATAAGCACTTTGAAGTAATTGGCTATCTTATTAATCTGCTGTTCCTGAATTTCCCCTTAGTAGCGGACATGCTTTATTGTATTAAGTTGGATAACCACCTTAGTAGCAAAGATGGGCTTGGGCTTCAGTCTGGTCAATAGGCATCTTATTCAGGTAGATGCCAGATGGGAGGGATGGGGACAGCTTAGTGAAGAAGGATGAGGCTGGAGGTGACTCTTGAAAAATGATTAGTGTTAGTTGGAAAGATTAAGGTGTGGGAGAGTCCCACGCAGGGGAACAGCAGGCAGAAAGCCAGGGAGAGAGAAAACAGTGTGTTTTGAGGACCTCTTCTGCTGTGGCTGGAATAAAGAGGGCTGTGTTGAAGAGTGAAGGGAGCTGAGGCCAGGCAAAAACTCTTGCATGCCTTGAGAGGAGGTTTTACCCAAAAGACAAGTGAGGAGGGTGGTGAAACATTTTAGTCAAGCTTGTGTGTTCTTCAAAGCTCGTTTGAGCTCTGGCATGGAAGAGGATGGATTTCAGTTGGGCAAAATTCAGAGCAGGGAAACCAGTCAGGAAGTTGTGGCAATAATTTGGTTAAGAAACTCTAAGGGACCTTACTAAGGTCAAGGTTAGACTTTGTAAATTTTGGGGTCCAGAAAAACTGTTAATAAACTTAACCGACAGGAAGATTCCCCTGGCATCATAGCCTGTCACTGTGAGGATTTACCTTCTTTTTCACATAGTAATAGATTGTGAAAAGTCTCCAAAACCATACTCAAGGATTGAAGGTCACATTTTCTCTTTCGACCATTCTACACTTAGGTAGAAAAAAATTTCATTACCAACTAGATAATAGGATTTGAGCTGTTGTGGTTGACATTCTTGATGAAGGACTGATCAGAAATTCTTGGTCATCTTATGTAAGAATAACTTCTTGGAGTAAATATGTTCCTGAAGAGCTGCCATTTAAAGTAAACTTTTGAATATCATATCTTAAATGCTTTGTAATCATAAACATTTAAATTCTGTGGTTCAAGTAATCATTTTTAAGTAATTTACTTCTAATTTCTCTCTCTTTTTTTTTTGGAGACAAGGCTGTCACCCAGGCTGGAGTGCAGTGGTGCAAACACACTTCACTGCAGTCTCAACCTCCTTGGCTCAAGCAGTCCTTCTGCCTCAGCCTCTTGGTGTGGCTGGGACCACAGATGCATGCTGCCATACCTAGCTAACTTTTCTTTTCTTTTTATTTTTTGGTAGAGACGAGGTCTCGCCGTGTTGCCCAGGCTGGTCTTGAACTTCTAGGCTCAGGCAGTCCTCCACCTTGCCTCCCAAAGTGCTGGGATTACAGTCATGAGCCACTGCACCCAGTTTGTTTCTCTCTTTTTTAAATCCAAATTTTTCTATTAGGCTTTGCAAATAGGCCCTTAAAGAAATAGGCAGCATGGCTGGTAAACAAATTTTGTTCTTTAGATGTTTCCAGAGAAATAATGTGGTATTTTAAGAGCTTTTAACAAGAGACCTCAAGATAATTATTTTTAGGATATACCATAATTTAAAAAATAACTTCTGAATATGAGAGTAATACATTAAAGAATATTCCTGTAATCCTAGAGCTAAGCCATGCTATAATTCTGGTCCAGTTTACGGTTTGCGCTCACATATACACTCACATTTTTATACCCTTTGTTTTTATGGGTTGTATTCATGCTAAAAAATTGTTTTGAAAACACTTTTTATGGCTGTATAAAGTAGGTGTACCCTATTTCTAAAGTAGGTGTGCCCTATTACTGGACATTTAGTTTGTCTGCAGTTGTTTTTTTGTTTTTTTTTTTTTTTGCTACTATAGAAAAGCACAGTGATGAGCATCACTGCATTCATATTTTTATCTGAAGTTGCCTTTTCCCCTAGATCCCTGAAAGTGGATTTGCTGGGTCTGAGGAGTTTTACTTAACACCTTTTTCAAAGGCTGTGTCATTCCTGTGACCTCACTGCAGGTGGTGGACCTACTGCCCTTTGCACCAACTGACTGACTGCTGTGGTAGATGCCTTCGAACTTAGGCAAGCTAGTAACATTTTATATGGGGTTTGGTTTTTACTGAAAAGGTTTGCTTCTGGAACATTTATGTAAGTTACAGCAGTCTTCATGCTGAGGACACATGGACACGTCTCTTATGTCTCAAGCAAAGATACCCCCAGCCTGATGTAGAAATGTAATTGACTACTGAGTGGATTTCCTTTCATGTGGAATAGAATGAGATTTATTGGCTTGTATAAACTAGAGCAGAAAAGTTAATAGAAATAATAAAAGCTATCAGACTCTGTTTAGCTCTGTTATGCTATTACACTCAGATCCTTTAAAAACTGTGTTTAGAAAATTGTTGTGCAGTTTAATATGTCTGCAGAATATTGAATACAGTGTCCATCAGAAAATCTAATCCTTTTTTAAAGTTTAGATAGAACTAAATAACATATCTTTTTTTTTTTTTTTTTTTTTTGAGACAGGGTCTCACTCTATTGCCCAGACTGAAGTGCAGTGGCACAATCAGAGCTCACTGCAACCTCCGCTTCCTGGGTTCAAGGGATTCTCCCACCTCAGCCTGCTGCGTATCTGGGACCACAGGCACACACCACCATGCCTGGCTGATTTTTGCATGTTTTGTAGAGATGGGGTTTCGCCATGTTGCCCAGGCTGGTCTCAAACTCCTGGGCTTCAGTAATCCTCCCACCTCAGCCTCCCAAAGTGTTGGAATTACAGGCATGAACCACCGCACCCGGCCTAAGGAGCATATCTTGATGTTTCTAGTTTTCTTATAATTTCCTTCTGTGTTCTGGGTTGCTCTTACATATATATTCTATAAATTGTGTGTTTTGTGTTTTCTTTTTTGGGGGGTTGGGGGAGACAGTCTAACTCTTGTCACGCAGACTGGAGTGCAGTGGCGTGATCTCAGCTCACTGCAACCTCCCCCTCCCAGATTCAAGTGATTCTTGTGCCTCAGCAGAGTAACTGGGACTACAGGTGTGTATCACCACGCCTGGCTAATTTTTGTATTTTTAGTAGAGACAAGGTTTTGACATGTTGGCCCGGCTAGTCTTGAACTCCTTGCCTCAAGTTATCCACCTGCCTTGGCCTCCCAAAGTGTTGGGATTACAGGCATGAGCCACCACACCTGGCCTTATTTTTATGTGTTCTGAATTTAGGTTAAAATTGAAGAAGAGGGTCCAAGACTAAGTGCCAACATAGATATTTGCAGGTGAAATTGCTTTTCTTTGTGTAGCCCATGTTGTATTACTTAATAGCCTCTTAAACTGGAGACCCCTGATACCTTACATTCAAATGTGAGTGATGATAGGGTGTCTATCAAAGACAACAGAAGTTAATATAACTTCCCCAAAGTCACGTGAGTGGGTTACTCTCTTTACTTGGAACACATGCAAAGAAAGGGTCCTCCTTCAACACTTGAAGATAATCACAGTGTCATGCTCTTTCTCATAAATGCCACTGTAGAGAGTACAGAGAAAAATGCAATTAATGGTGCTACCCAAATCCTGAAAAGAATGAGGTACGGTGTAGGAATTGGACAGCAGACAGAGTGCAAGTTTTTACATAATTGTAATTAATACAGACATGACTTACTTGAGAAATTTAAAATGTGAATATTTTAAAAATTACAGAGGATGATTATTCACATTATAAAGTGACTCATCATCCCTTTTAAAAAGGACTTATCTTTTAAGAGGATATTCCTCTGGTGCATTTGAGTCCTTGTCTGCTCATTGTTTTAAACAACTTGCAGTTTTTTTAACAAATTACAGTATGACCTGTGATATTACCCAGACATTCAATTCCGAGGTATTTAACTAGAGATACCTAGGAATGAAATGAAAACACATATTCGTACAAAAAAAATACACAAATGTTTATAGCAGCTTTATTTGTAGTAACCCCAAACTGGAAACAACCTACATGTCCATCATGGGTGAATGGATAAACAAACTGTTGTAGCCATTTAATGGTATACTATTCAGCAGTAAAAACAAACTATTGGTATATGTAGCAACATCAGTGAATCTGAGAATAATTATACTGGGTAAGCAGCCAGACAAAAAAAGAGTTCTAACTGTATGATTCCATTTATATAGAAATTACAAACTAATCTCTAGCGACAGAAAGCAGATCCATGGTCGTCTGGAGGTGGAGAATAAGGGTAAGTGAGGATGGGCCAGGAGGCATGGACTCCAAAGAGGCATGGGAAACTTAGGAGTGATGGGTATGCTCATTTTGTTGATGGCAATGATGGTTTCACAGGTATATACATAGGTCAAAACTTGCCAAATTGTGTAATATGCACATTGTATATCAGTTATACCTGAATAAAGCTGTTTTTTTTTAAAAAAAAAAAAATGTCCTGAAAAAAGTTCTGTCTTCCCTTGTCTGCCAATTGCACCGTTCTTTATATCTCATCCAGCCTGCTCACAGTCAAGAACAGGGGCAGAAGTGGGCTGACAGGTGTAGTGCAGTGTGTGGAATGCTGTGACAGGTGTGGGCACAGAAGGTACAATGAAGACCCCCTGGAGGAGGTGAGCTTGAGGCGAGTGTAGAGAGGGCATCTCAGAGGCAATTCTGAGAATCATAGGAGGTTGCAGGTGTGTGGCAGAGGTTGGTCTGGAGGACAGCAGGGACCATACATTTGGAGCATTGTTTTGAAAGCGTTGTACATCACTGACGGGTGGTAAGCAGGGGACAGACAAAATCAACTCGGCTTTGCCCACTCTGGGAAGATGAAGAGGCAGGAATCCCAGGTTCAGAGCTCAAGGAACCCTTATGTGATGCCACCCCCTCAAATCTGTTTAAATCATATTAGGAGAACCTTGTTGTCCAAGAGGGCTCTGTCTTGCTAGACAGTTCTGCGTTGTCCAGGAAACTGCAGACTACATTGGAATCCTACCTGTACAAATACTTAAGATGTTTCATTTCAAAAATAAAGTGTTCTCTGTAGAAATTAAGGAAAATACACTTAAGAAAAATAAGAAAATTTAAATTGCCTTTAATCCCACCACCCAGTGCTAAATACTTTTAACATTTTGGTGTATATTGTTTCAGATATATGTATGTTTTAAAACAAAATTAGAATCATAATTTGCATGTGTTTTTACCTTTATTTCCTCTGAGCATTATTCCATGTTTTATGTAGACATAAAATATCATTGTTTTTATTTGATGCATGAGAGTCTACATATTATATGTATGGTGATTTATTTAACCAATAACCTCTTTTGGGGATTTTTTTGGTTGTATAATTTTGTTTAAAAATTCTGGGAAAACCATAATTACTTTATTAAAAAGCAAGTAAATCAAAGAATATAGTTAATTTTTTTATTAACAGGTGCAGTTTCTTAATTCATATTAAAGAAAAATAGCCTTGGTCTAGTAGACATTTTAACTAAATGAAGGGAGGATGGTCCCCTTCTAGAAGTACACATGGGCTTATACAGTAGTTCTTTGTTACCCAGTGATAATTATTTCATCTGTGCTATTCCCAAAAAGTAACCATCTATGGGAACTCTGTTGTTCCCAAAGGAAGATTTACTCCCCATATCAGAAATATGTTAAAAAAAAGTATAAATAGGCCAGGCACGATGACTCACACCTGTAATCCTAGAACTTTGGGAGGCTGAGGCAGGGTGGATTGCCTAAGCTCAGGAGTTCGAGACCAGCCTGGGCAACACAGTGAAACCCCGTCTCTACTAAAATACAAAAAATTAGCCAGGCATGTTGGCGGGCGCCTGTAATCCCAGCTACTCGGGAGGCTGAGGCTGGAGAATTGCTAGAACCCAGGAGGCGGAGGTTGCAGTGAGCCGAGATTGCGCCACTGCACTCCAGCCTGGGCGACAGAGTGATACTCCGTGTCTTAAAAAAAAAAAAAAAAAAAAGTATGAATAACAGTAACAGCTAACATTTTTTTTGGAATACTTTTATCTTCTACATATTATTAGAAGCATTTCACATGTATTAACTTATTTAGTCATCAAAACAGTTCTAGATGTAAGTTCAGTTATTTTTCTGTTTAACAGATACGTAGACAGAAGCACAGAATGTTAGTAACTTACCCAAATAAATGATCAACTTATATGAAAACATATCCATCATCACTAGTAAGCAGACTTGCAAATGATAATAACAAGCTATCACTTTGGAGACCTGCAGTGATCTTAGAAACTTAATACTTGACGCTGATTAAGGTAGAAGGAAACAGGCCCTCTGTACAAGGTTGATGGGAGGGTCCATTTCTGTAGAGCAGTTGGTTTCCTTCTAGAAAATTTATCCTATGAAGATAATTGGACAAGGTTATAATGATATTACTGTGCTCATGGAAGTATTGAGAATAGTGAACAACTATGTGTCCTGTAATAGGGACTTGGTTAAATAAATTTTGGTACATCCATATTGTAGAACACCATACAGCTATTACATATGATGATATGCGCATATGTTTATGGAAGTCGTTGCTCAGGAAATTGTAAATGGAGATAAACAGACAGCATGGAACATGAAGATACGAAATCTGCTTCTGGCTGTTGGTCTGGGGCCCCCACCAGGAAACCAGCACACCTGGCTTCCTTCTTTTTTACCGTAAGACCAGAGAAACCCTAGAGTTGCAGTGAGGAACTGTCTTGGGTTCTCTGAAAATGAGCATCATGAAAAATGCCTGGCTTAAAAGAAGAGAAGGAATTAATACATTTTGTTACAGGTATTATATTGGCTTCATTTAACAAATGCAGGAACAATTTTATAACTGGAACATTTAGCCACTGCAAAAACCATGAATTAGTTTTTTGGTTTTTTTCAAGTTTTCCACTAAGCTCACTTGAGTACTTTCTTCCTTCTTCCTTTGAGACTCACTCTAACCACCAGGGAGTCACCTCTTTATTGATCTGCCTCTTGATGCCAGGAATTTCCTTTCTTCTACCATACTTTACCTATGTTTGGTGAAACATTTGAATTCACATGTTACTGAACAGTGACTTGGTGTGTTAACCTTCTTAGGTTTTTAAACTTTGAACAACTGCCTTTCCTCAAAGGCAAAACTAACTTTTTTGGGAATTGCAGAAATCGTAACTCCCCAGGGACAGCTCACCCTCAGTCCTCCAAGCCATAGAATTTAAAGACTGCCTTGATGCCACCAAAAACCTCAGTACCTTTTGTTACAGAAAGAACATTGTGTGGTATACTTCCTATGTTTTGAAAAATATCTGCAAATATTTTGGGAACTGAATTTTGGGAAGGGCTACCCTCTGGCTGAACTCTGCTTACAAAATCCATAAAAACAGGGTTCCAGCTCTGCACAGCAGGACAGGTGCAAGTGTGCGCCAGTAACCTCACAGCCGGAGACCATCTCTACAAACATCCTGCCAGGAGAAGAGTAGAGAATAACAAAGGAAAAAAACAAGCCCTCCAGTTGGCATTCTTGTTGAGGAAGTCCATCAAGAATCAAGTTCCTGTCAACTTGTTTCTGTATTCTTTTGCTTAAAGAATCACAGTAGAGAGTCCCAATCTGAAAAAAACTTTGTTATATTTCTTAGGTTGGGGATACATACAGCATGGAGTTGGAACTTCAGTCTGTGGAGCCAAACCCAGACTGAAAGGCAGCAAGAGAGTAGCAGCTAAGAGCATAGACTAAGTGCTTCCACTGGGTGGAGCATGACCAGTGCATTCACAAGACGGGAATGTTCGGTAGACTTGCTGCCGGCCATGTGTGTGGCTTCTGAGCACATGTGGCTGGTGTGAATTTTAAATTTTATTTAATTTAAATTAAATTTAAATAGCTACACATGGCTTGTGATGACTGTGTTAGACAGCACAGGATAGACTTAGAAGCTAGACTACTTGGGTTCAAATTCCAGCTTCACTATCGTTTACCTCTGTGACCTTGGACAACATTCCCTGAGCGCTTTATGCCACAGTTTTCTCATTTGTAAAGTGATAAAAAGATAATAGTGCCTACCTCAAAAAAGGTTATTTTGAGGATTAAATGAGTTAATATTTGTAAAGGGCTTAGACCTGGGCACATAGTAAAAGCTATATCAGTGTTTCCTAAATAACGCAACTATATATACATCCCTAAAGTGAAAAATTGAACCTAGATCCATACTATATTTTTTTTCAAGAAGCTCCCATGCATCCATTGTCAATGCATTTTTCTTAAACACCCCTTAAATATTGGGGAAAGCAGAAAAGTCATTTATTTGATAAATATGTCTGGAGCCCGTACTTTATGCCAAATGCTGTGTTGGGTGCTGGAGATACATGTGTTGGTGCATAGAGACTTGATTCATCCTAATAAAAGGGTAACGGTCCCGCAGTGTTTTCACCTAGTGGTTAAGGAACTTTATAATACGAAGGGACTTTAAAAGTAGGGTAAAGGTGTAGATGTAGACGGAGAAACCCAGGAGACTTTGCATTTGCTCCTAGTCAGCTGGCTGGGACTTCACCCTTCACCTCCTGTTGGCTCATGCTTTTCCCTTTGCACCTGTGGAGCACAGGTGTGTCCTGAGGCCCTCACCAGCCATGCAGAAGCCTTCAGGTAGGGTTAACATTTGCCCACTTCTGGAAGGGATCGATCTGTTCTCAGATGACAGTGATAATTCTTGGCCTATTTTGACTCAATAGTGGCAATATTAGTAGTTTTTTTGTATTTGTTTTAATTTTTTTCTCCTTATTTAAGGAAAAGTTGGAAACTAATGTTGCTTCCTCCATTTTTTTTGTTTGTTTAAACTTTGCTGGTTCATGAGATTGAAAAGTCTGTGCTTAGACCATACCACCCGATGCAGTTTGTGTAAGCCTTAAAAAATAAATATTTCAGCCCCAACATTCATGTAGTACTAAAAGTGAGAGGCTTTTGAACCATAACTGATTTGACAAGAAATGGACATAATGGAGGAAGGTGACTGGTTGTTTGCGTGTTGATTTGCTTTCAGCACTTGCTAAAACGTGGAGCCAAGGGGAGAGAATCCACCAGGTTGCTTTACATGTGAAAAATATTAAAATGTCAGCACAGCCCAGCCACTGACATAAGAAAAACCGTTTCACAGTTAAGTCTCTAAATAATGTCCTAAAAACACAACATTTGTAATTATCTAATTAATAAAGGATACAGGTAATAGAAGTAATATGGAAGGCATTTTCTGGTAGATAAAGCTTCAGAAACCTTCACATCTGCACATGATTATGAAGCCCCTGTTATTACTTTGCTTTCCCCCTTCCTTTAGCCCATGTTTCTCACTATGAACTAATAGTACATAATAATAAAACCCTGGATGTCAGCCAACACAGAGTTTTGGCTAACTTTTCCAGTGTTTGTTAAAGTTGAAAAAGCATTGCAGCTGTTATGCTGGGTACTTTCCAATGGAGGATGTGTTTTCCAGATGAAGGCGCAAATGGTAATTGAAATGTAATCAGTATTTTTGGCATCTTGGAATTATAATTCTTTTTACGTTTGTAATGTTAATTGTTCATTTCTTAGGATTTGTTTTGTGTTTTTCTGTGATCTGTAATCTACTAAAAGTGAGAGAATGAACAAATGTTTTAGGCGGTTTTTCATTCTTTGAAAGAAAAATGGCAAGTAGTCACGTTTGTTAGGTGATGGCTTATTTTAAATAATCACAAAATTTATGTTTGAGACATTTTATTGTAAGACTCATGTTTCAGGCAACAGAAAACAGAAAATCTAAATCTCAAATACAACAAAATTTTAGAGATGAATGGAAACTTCTAGATCACTTGGATAGGCTGAAGACTCAGTGGGCCTCAGGTGTTCCCAGGACCAGGCTGCTGGAGATGTCCCTTTCTTTGAGAGATTTGTTCTGTTTTTTTTTCATCTCGATCCACTGTGTTAAGGAGGGGTGGGGTGTGTCTGCTGATGGTTTTATTGGTATTTGAGGTTTCTAAAGTTTTTTGTTTAAGCTAGAAAGAGCTCTAGCTGATTAGTAGCTCTCAATCCTTGGCTGGATATTTTATTTTTTGTTTTGTTTTGTTTTGAGACAGGGTCTGGCTCTGTTGCCCAGGCTGGAGTGCAGTGGCGCAATCATGGCTCACTGTAACCTCTGCCTCCCAGGCTCAAGGGATCCACCCACCTCAGCCTCCTGTAGTAGCTGGGACTACAGATGCATGCCACCACGCCTAGCTAATTTTTGTATAGATGGGATTTTGCCATGTTGCCCAAGGTGGTCTCAAACTCCTAGCCTCAAGGGATCTGCCTGCCTTGGCTTCCCAAAGTGTTGGGATTATAGGTGTGAGTCACTGTGCCTGGCTGGCTGCGCATTTTAAAGATCTTGATGCTCACTCATACCTGAGCCAGCATAATTAAATCACAGTATCTCCACAGGTGACAGTGATGTGCAGCCAAGAACAGTGTTCCTTTCCAGTCCTCTCTTTATAGACGAGGAAATTGAGGCCCTGAGCAGCTAGATGACTTGTCCAAAGTCCTCTGCTGGGACTGACCCAAATAAGGAATGGCTGATTTCTGGAAGGGATGTCAGATTCTCTGATTACAGATCTCTCGTGATCTTCTCTCGGGGCTCGTGGACTGTCCTGTCAACAGTCAGGCTAGGCAGCTGCAGAGAGCAGGACTCTGGGGTCCCCAGTGAGGAGGAAGCAAAGAGTCCTCATCTTCCTGTCCCCTTTACCCGAGTAGAAATTGCCCTTCCTTATCCCACATGAGCTACCAGAGGCATGATAAACTGCCTCTGGGGCTTTTTGGCTCTTTGGCTCTTTTTTTTTCTTTTTTATTCCTTTAGAAAGAAATAGGTTTGTAATTAGCTAACTAAGACTGACAAATACCAGACCAGTTGCTATATATTACAAAGGAGCTTCTTGAATAGCTGGTCACTTCTGCATATTGTAGAAACCTTCCTTCTCCCTTTTAGGGAACACTACACATTATTTAGGTACAGTGTTAGGGATAACTGATCATTTCTAATGCTGTGTATATCCATTAAGGGTAATTTAAAGCAATTAAATGCTAACCTGGCTGGACAGCCAGGTGTAGGTTTGTGGCATCCAGAAAGAGGAGATGGACTTGGTGGATTCTGAATTGGTCAGTTCCACCTCTTCGTGTTTTGGAGGCTTTGTCTCGTTACTTGCTCACCTTTCTGCTCAGTGCTCCTTGACATGGCGGGTCAGGTTGATGGGAGGTGGTACCTGGATGCCCTTTGCTGGCACTGGGCACTGCACCGGAGAGTTACCACCCCTGCCTGGGGATGGAGCCTCTCTGGGGAGAGGACAGTGCAAAGGTGGGGGACTGGGGAGTTGTGAGAAGTGGGAGCTAGAATATGGAGCAACTAGTGTGTATAGAGACTTCGTGAGAAAAGCTCGATCACGTTTTGGTAAGTATTTGCAGCTCCCTGAAAATTTGTGTTGGGAGGTGATCATTAGCATCTTCTGGAATATTTGCGCTAAAGCAAGACTAGATTAAGGAGCTTTGGTTCATTTCCAGACCTGTCCTGACAGCATCACTCTCCAAATGCTAAACTCTGAGAGAGAGAGTATGTGTATTTTTCTTTTCAGGATGTCAGTCAAATAATTCACTCATTCCTTTCCCCAAACACACTGGCCTTTGAAATGACACCCTACCCCTGCCAATAGTGAGACTGTGGTTCTGATCGGGGAGCTGGCGAGTTTCTGCTTTCTAGCCCCAAAGGCCTCACCCTTGCTCTCATCTGGAAGCTGATGGGAAGGTTTGTTAGTCTTCTCAGGAGCCTGTCACAGGACCTCAGGAACGTAGCCTGTAGTGGGCAGCTGGCATCAATTTAGTGCTGTGGGGATGGCAGGCTGTCAGAGTGGTTGCACTTTACCTGCACGCCCCCCAACCCAGCCCTCTGTGAAGGGTTGGTTTACATCAGGGATGGCTGCTCCTGACATAATTGTCTATTTCCGGCAACAGAGGAAGATACCTTCTGCCATTTAGAGAAGAGAAATAAATATTCACTTCAGAGAATACACTTTGAAGTGGGGCTGTGTGTGCATGGGTGACAGCTCCCTGCCTACTTTTCCTGCAAGGTTCTTGTACATCAGGAAAGGTTAATGGACTTCCCTTGAAGTCAGACAGAGATGTGTTCATGGAAAATCCAAGTGCAAAACCAAGGGCAAACTCTGGCTTTCCTGGGGGTTTTTTTGTTGTTGTTTCTCCTTTTAGAATGGACAGTGAAAGCAAGGTGAAGGGCTTCATTATTCCTCTTTTGTAAAGCCTGTTGAGCAGGAACCTTCTGGAGCTTCTAGATGGAGGTTCCTGGAGATTGTGTGAGTGGTGAGCAGTCTGGTTGAAGAGGGCCAGTGTTTGTTGGCTTTGCCCTCATTGTGTCAGGAATGAGCTCTGCACGGACTCAGAGAGCTAACAGATCAGCTAGGGTACCTCAGAGAAGAATGCACTCGAGGCTACTGCCATGTTCCCTCTGTGGTCATGAGGAAAGGAGAACTACCTGTGTGGCTTGGGGGCTTCCCTGACATAGTAATCACATTGGATTTTACAACTGGGTACATTCTTAGCCTTCAGTTTGGTGATCCCTGTGTTTAAAAAGAAAATCCTTTTGTTGTGTGGAGGTTAATCTGCTGAGCTTATTTTTGGTCATCCATTCTCACCTGCCCCACGACACTGGTCACTGGTGTCTCCATGCTGATATATTATGCTCAGCTTTTTTGCATGCTCCGCATGGAGATATGAACACAATTCTCATGGGAACTTGGCCCATCTTTCAGCACACTATGTCAGCCAGTTGCTGCCTTCCTGTTCATGGAGGACTAGGCGTAGTGTGGGGGTCTCATTGCTCATCTGGTTAGTGGCTTTGCAGTCAGAGCAAGCTGAGGGAACAGTGCCCCCTACCTGTCTGTTCTCCTGCAGGCCCAGTGTGGGAACAAGATGCTCTTCAGAGAAATCTCTTTGACACTGGCTGTCTCACCCAGCACCTACACTCTTGAAAATCTGAGGGCCTTAGCAGAATTTGAAAGTGTCCAAGGGTTAGAAATGAGAAGTCTCCATGAGCATGAAAGCGACCATCCTTGTAGGTCATTATTTTGATCCATGCTCTCATCACTGGTTTCACAAACAGGCCTTTCCTTTCTAGTCTTTGAACATACCAACTCTTTTCGAGTAACACAGCAATATTAAAAACATATACCCATTGCCAAAAAGCAAAACCAACCCACTTCTGGCTGAGAAACTGCTGAATACATAACTATTCATCCCTCAGTAGCTGAGTGTGGTTACAATGAATGGCTTTCCCATATTTTCTTGATGCTTCTAAATGTATGGGTTCACTTTTGGGGGGAATATTTTGGTGCTGTCATAATCTATATATGGAAGATGTTAAGGATATTTCCAGGAACTGCATTAAAACAGCCATAACAAACCATATTCTGCAGCCTTCAGGTGTAGTATTTTGATTGCTTGGTTTGGTTTATCACCAACTACTCTTCTGAGTATCCCCCACACTATATTAGGAATTTGTTACAATATGACTAATGCTGAATATGTGTGCATTGATTTTTAAGTGCACTGGGTGGGACTGACTTGTTCAAATCTCCGTTAAAGCAAATGTCTGATTAGGAGAAAAGTAAGGGAGTAATTTGTTAGGAAAACTACTTTCTGAGGTGCCCCCACCTCCCCTCCTTCCAACCTGAAGAGGCAGAGAGGTTTGTGTAAACAAAGGTCCTGCAAGGCACAGCTGTTTTACATTCTGATGTTCTATGACTTTCTTAAATAAAAACCTTTTGGATTTTCATATCTATTTAGCTAGTAGGAATATTTCCTCCTTTTTCGGAGAATAAAATCCTAGACTTAAGGATATTCCTTGGGTGACTGAGAAGTCATACCAGCCTAAGCAGTACAGCTGGCCCCCTGTATCCATGGCTTCTGCATCTGTGAATTCAACCAACCATGGATAGAAAATATTTGGGAAAAAAAATCCACAAAGTTCGAAAAAGCAGAAGCACGATTTGCTGCTTACTGAGAACTGCATTGAATCCATGTGAGTAAGGTGATGTGTAGGCGTTGTATTAGGAATTATAAGTAATCTTTAGGTGATTTAAAGTATTTGAGAGGATGTGTGTCGGTTTTATACAAATACTACACCATTTTATATAAGGGACCTGAGCGTCCATGGATTTTGGTATTCATAAGAGGTCCTGGAACCAATTGCCCATGGGTAGTGAGGGATGACTGTATTTTCTAATTAAAAGGTTTTTTTTTTAATAAGCAAATGTTTTACTTAGTACCTTATAATATTTTAAAAAGCGTAAAATTCCCAAATAAAGTAATTGGTTTAGTGATAAATATTTCCAGTGGCGTACTTAAAATGAATGTTTTCATCAGAATGCAGAAGCTGTTTTGAGAACTTTTTGCTCATTATTTTCAGTGGGGTTGTGAAATCCAATGAAAACGTGTATAAATGTTTGTAGAAGAATACTTTGTTTATAGAGTGCAAATATTTTCTTGATATGACAACACCCCAAACAAAGAATGGTTACAATTAAAGTAATGGTGATTCAGTTAAACATAGAGCTGGAAAAGCCATTATTTTGAAATATCTTCTGAGCCTCATTGAAGAGAGAGTGTCTTACACACCTTGGGAACCAAGTTTTGCATATTATAGTATTACCACATTGTATTCGATCACAAGAATGGTGTGAATACTTGGTGGTTAAACAAATTATTGATGCTTGTTAGTTGGATGAGATCTTGGAATGCATGCATCCCGGCTTCCCACACAGTACTCAGTTCTTTCTGTAGCTATCCTGTTGAATATATGGAGAGTACAGTATACTTTCAGGCAAGATGGTCATTTAACAGGTCATTATTTAAACATTGTTTCAGTGTGTGCTGTGAAAACAACAACAATAACAACAACAAATCGAATACCTCTCTGCTCTCTGCATTTTTGGAGCGCTCTAGCTGTTAGAAAGTACCTCCTAACCCCTAGCCACTGTGAAGTTGTTGCTCCCTGCCTGCTGGGAAATCTGTGCCAGCTCTCCCAGGAAGGCTCCTGAAGCTGCCTGCACATACCTGCCAGGTGTGTCTCCTGGACTTTTCCCCAGGGGTCCTAGCTCCTGGGCTGGGTCTCCTAGGTGTCTTACAGCCTGGCTGCCCCTTCTGGACACTCTTGGCTTGGTCAGTACCTGGGGTGATTTAACTTGGCGTCTAACAGTGAAGCTTCCTTTAGTTGTATCTTCTGCTGTTGCTTCACATTGAGCTTGCCACGTTTTCCTTGAATTGCTGTCAGTTTTTCTCTCTTCCAACCTTGGGAACTTTATTTTTAAAAATCTGGGCCAGGCGCGGTGGCTCACGCCTGTAATCCCAGCACTTTGGGAGGCTGAGGCGGGCGGATCTCGAGGTCAGGAGATCGAGACCATCCTGGCTAACACGGTGAAACCCCATCTCTACTAAAAAAACAAAAAATTAGCTGGGCGAGGTGACGGGTGCCTGTAGTCCCAGCTACTTGGGAGGTTGAGGCAGGAGAATGGCGTCAACCCGGGAGGTGGAGCTTGCAGTGAGCCAAGATCGCGCCACTGCACTCCAGCCTGGGCAACAGAGTGAGACTCCGTCTCTAAATAAATAAATAAATAAATAAATAAATAAATAAATAAAATCTGAATGCAAGACTGTATGTGTGCTTGAATAATTTGAATCCTCTCTTGGCCCTGGGACCTTCCCCGTGCTACATGTGCTTTCGGAGGTTGTGAGGAAAGGGCTGACCAGGCCATGGACCTGTCCCAGAGCCGGCACCCTTGAGCATGGCTGCTCAGACAGCAGTGAAAATTTGTCTTAGAAATTTGAAGTTGCTTTTGAAGCTTTTTGGTCAGTGAGAGAACTTAAAAATTCTCATGTAAATATAATTTAAAAAATATAGATGACTCAATCTACAAGAGCTTATCTGTTTGGTTTTTTTTTTTCTACTTATAGTTTACATTTGAAAAAATTTACCACTTGATGAACTGAGTAATTTTTTCTTCTTGATAGTAGAGGAATTGGTAGGGAAAGTGCTTCTAATACTCTTCGAAGCTGAGAAAATTTTAAGTATAAAGTTTGTTCATTAAACATTTGTGTATTGTTGTCTGGGAGCTAGACACTATATTTAGGGATACATTGATGAAAAAGAGAGAAATACCCAATAGTTCTTGGAGAGTACAGTATACTTTCAGGCAAGATAGTCATTTAATAAATACACAGGTAATTATTTAAACACCATCGTAGTGCGTGCTATGAAAAAACAACAAACCAGTAGGAACATAGAACAGGAGAGGCCCTGGGCTGGGACTAGGGGTTTCAGAAGAGTCTCTCCAGAGAAAGTAAAGTTTAGGTTGATCTGGTTCTCTCTCTTTTTTTTTTTTTTGAGCAACAAGACTGTTTATTTCACCTGGGTGCAGGCAGGCTGAGTCCAAAAAAGGAGTCAGCAAAGGGTGGTGGGATTATCATTAGTTCTTACAGGTTTTGGAATAGGCGGTGGAGTTAAGAGCAATGTTTTGGGGGCAGGGGGTGGATCTCACAAAGTACATTCTCAAGGGTGGGGAGATTATATAGAACCTTCTTAAGGGTGGTGGAGATTACAAAGTACATTGATCGGTTAGGGTGGGGCAGGAACAAATCACAATGGTGGAATGTTATCAGTTAAGGCTATTTTCACTTCTTTTGTGTATCTTCAGTTGCTTCAGGCCATCTGGATGTATACGTGCAGGTCACTGGGGATATGATGGCTTAGCTTGGGCTCAGAGGCCTGACATTCCTGTCTTCTTATATTAATAAGAAAAATAAAATAGTGGTAAAGTGTTGGGGTGGGGAAAATTTTGGGGGGTGGTATGGAGAGATAATGGGCAATGTTTCTCAGGGCTGCTTTGAGCAGGACTGGGGCAACATGGAAACCTAGTGTGGGAGAGATGAAGCTGAAGGAAGATTTTGTGGTAAGGGGTGATAATTGTCGGGTTGTTAGAAGAAACATTTGTCGTATAGAATGATTGGTGATGGCCTGGATATGGTTTTGGATGAATTGAGAAACTAAATGGAAGACACAAGGTCTGAATAAGAGAAGGAGAAAAACAGGTATAAAAGGACTAAGAATTGGGAGGACCCAGGACATCTAATTAGAGTGTCCAAGGGGGGTTAGTGTAATTACTTGCTTGGTTGGCAAGCTTTTAGGCTCTATCTTTGAGTTTTTTTTAATGTTGTCATATACCAGGCCAGATTGATTTAGGTAAAAATAGCACTCTTCATTTAAAAATATAGAGTCCCCTTTTTTTTTTTTTTAGCAGTAAGTCGAGACCTTTGTGATTTTGGAAGAAAGAGAAATGCAAAGCCAGCAATTGTTTGTTAAAGAAGGATTAGAAACGGCTAGGAGAGAGTAACTGAGATTGATAGTGTGATAGAGATAGCTGGGGAGAGGTAGAGGGTGGCATAAGAACGGGAATGAGAATAAGAGTAAGTATAAAAGTAAAGAATAGGACTTCATCAGGGTGAAAGTATTGGAGGGTACCTTGCCACTGAAGATCTTCTATCCACTTAAAGAGAGACTTAAGGGTGGCAGTTTGAGGAAAAACCAGGTGCCACTGAATACCAACAGCCTGAGAAACTGCTTGGGTGATTTGACTAGTAAAGGCCGGTCCGTTATCGGACTGTATAGAGGTGAGAAGGCCAAACCGAGGAACTATGTCTGACAGAAGGGAATAAATGACCACGGTGGCCTTCTTAGACCCTGTGGGAAAGGCCTCTACCCATCCAGTGAAAGTGTCTACCCAGACCAAGAGGTATTTTAGTTTCCTGACTCGAGGCATGTGAGTAAAGTCAATTTGCCAGTCCTGGGCGGGGCAAATCCCCGAGCTTGATGTGTGGGGAAGGGAGGGGGCCTGAGAAATTCTTGAGGAGTAGTAGAATAGCAGATGGAACACTGAAAAGTGATTTCCTTGAGGATAGATTTTTGCGATGGAAAGGAAATGAGAGGTTCTAAGAGGTGGGCTAGCGGGTTCTAAGAGGCGGGCTAGCGGCTTGCAACCTACATGGAAGAGGTTATGAAATGACGAATAGAATGGGCCTGTGAGACTGGAAGGAGATTTTTCTTTGGTCCAAGAACCATTTGCTTTGTGTGGGAAGAGATGGGTGGAAGTTTCAGCGAGGGAGTAGGTGGGAGTGGCCAGATGAGAAGGAGGAAAACTGCCCTGAGGGATAGAAGTTGGAACGCTAGCTGCTTTTTTAGCTATCTTATCAGCATAGGCGTTGTCCAGAGCAATGGGATCTGAAGCCTTTTGATGGCCTTTGCAGTGAATGACTCCGGCTTTCTTTGGAAGTAAAGCAGCCTTGAGAAGAGTTCTTATTAAAGAGGCATTATTGATGGAGGACTCTTGCATAGTGAGGAAACTTCTTTCTGCCTATATAACAGCATGGTGGTGCAGGATATGGAAGGCATATTTAGAGTCAGTATAAATATTGATGGGTAGTCCCTTTGCAAGAGTGAGGGCTCAAGTTAAGGCAGTGAGTTCAGCTTGCTGAGAGGTAATGGAGGGGGGCAGAGCGGTAGCCTCAGTGATAGATGTGGAAGATACTATAGCATAGCCTGCCTTTGCTGGTGAGTGGCGATTAGGCCTGGTGGAACTGCCATCAATAAACCAAGTGTGATCAGGGTGAGGAACAGGAAAGAAGGAAACATGGAGAAAGGGAGTGAATGTCATGTGGATCAGAGAGATACAGTCATGGGAGTCAGATGTATCCGGAATAGTGTGGGAGGCTGGATTGAAGTCCGGGCCAGGAACAATGGTAACTGTGGGAGACTCAACAAAGAGTGAGTACAGCTGAAGGAGCCGGGGAGCAGAAAGTATATGCATCAGGTGTGAGGAAGAAAATAGATTTTGGAAGTTATGAGAACTATAGAGAGTGAGTTGAGCATAGTTTGTGATTTTGAGGGCCTCTAAAAGTGTTAGGGCAGCGGCAGCTGCTGCACGGGGACATGATGGCCAGCCTAAAACAGTAAGGTCAAGTTGTTGATCTGGTTCTCATTTATCCATTGTCCTTATCTTTAAAATCACAAGATATTGAGAGTTAGCAGTGCCATTGCTAATGAGATTAGAAAGCCTTCATTAATTACAGGATCCTTGGATTGAGATTGGAGTTTAATGGCACAGAAGGCAGCTTTAGGGTTCACTTGGTGAATTAATCTGCTCAGGCTGCCATAACAGAATGCCACAGACTGTATGGATTAAACAACAGAAATTTATTTTCTCACTGTTCTGTAGGGTAGAAGTCCAAGATCAAGGAGCTGTCAGTTGATTTCTGATGAGGCTTCTCTTCCTGGCTTGCAGATGGCTGCCGCCTCACTGTGTCCTCACCTGGCCTTTTCTTTGTGCAAATGGGTGGGTGCAGGGGAACCATAGTGTCTCTTTGTTCCTTGCTTTCTTTCTTTTTTTTTTTTTTTTTAATGATAAGGGGTCTCACTCTGTCACCCAGGGTAGAGCGCAGTGGCATGGTTTCTGCTCACTGCAACCTCCGCCTCCCAGGCTCAAGTGATTCTCCCACCTCAGCCTCCCAAGTAGCTGGGATTACAGGCACCCACCTCTGCGCCCGGCTAATTTTTGTATTTTTATTTGAGACAGGGTTTCACCATGTTGGCCAGGCTGGTCTCAACCTCCTGACCTCAGGTGATCTGCCCAAAGTGCTGGGATTATAGGCGTGAGCCACTGTGCCCGGCCATTCTTTGTTCCTTTTCTAATAACTACACCAGTCCTATTGGATTAGGGCCCTACCATTATGACCGCACTTAACCTAGATTACCTCCCTACAGGCTCTGTCTCCGAATACAATCACATTAGGGGTTACTCCTACAACATGTGAATTTGGAAGGTGAGCACAATTTGGTCCATAACACTCAGGCACCACTAAAAATCCAGCTACTGCTGGTGCCCAGCCCCTGATACTTCTCTCTGTGCAGAGTCATAGAATACTAACAGAATTTAGTTCCCTCTAAATGTTCCAAATTGCCCTGACATCCGGTTCATTCTTCTGTGCTGCTGATTTTGACAACAGAAGCAACTGCTTTGAAAGCATTTTGAGATAGGAAAAACAAAGTGCATATTATGTTGCAGATATTTTGGGAAATAGAAAACTTGTTTATTAGTAACATATTTCAAGGAGATGAAGTTATGGACTTGATTTTGGTCAAGTAAGTAGTTGAAAAATGCAGTTTCAAAAATCACATCACCAGGGAGATTTTAAAGAAATTCAGAGTGGTCTGGATGCCCTGATCTTTTCTTCTAAGTTTTTTCCCCCTACTGGGAGAACGCAGAAACTTGCTGATTCCTTTTGCTCTTATACCTGATTGAAGACTTCACCAGCTAAGATCTTATTTTCATTTTGCAGTCATTTGAGCGATAGTAGGAGCCAGATAAGTTTGAATTACAAGCCCATGCAGCTTTGGACAGGCTGTGCATTATCCTGTGACTTTCTGGAAAGTGTGGTGAGGTATCCCCAGCCTGGGTGTTGGGCTGATTGGCTTGGTTGGATTAGGGTCTGGCCCCACAGTAGACATACTTAACATACTTAACTTATGGCTGTCACCTATGATAAATGCACTGTAAATCAGAGATCTCCTTTGTGGTTCTAAACTTATGGCAATATTTTAGGCACCATCGCTCATTTTTCTTGTATACTCATGTTTAGATATTCTGGAAGCCAAAGTGAATCCACATTTACTTTAACTGACTTTTGTTACCAAGCTTGATATTGAGTTCCTTTGAAAATAAGCTTTTAAGCAGTCATGTGCAGGCCTCTAATGGATTCCAGACTGTGTAGACTGTATTGTTAAACAATATTTTGTTTTTAAAAATTTTTTTCTTCGGATTGATCAGGTTTAAACAAATTTTAGTAATAGAATAGTGGTCTCCAACCTTTTTGGCACCAGGGACTAGTTTCGTGGAAGACAGTTTTTCCACTGACGGGTTGTGGGGATGGTTTCGGGATGATTGAAGCACATTACTTTTATTGTGCACTTTATTATTATTACATTGTAATATATAATGAAATAATTCTGGCCGGACATGGTGGCTCACCCTTGTAATCCCAGCATTTAGGGAGGCCAAAGTGGGCAAATCACCTGAGGTCAGGAGTTCGAGACCAGCCTGACCAACATGGTGAAACCCAGTCTCTACTAAAAATACAAAAATTAGCCAGGTGTGGTGGTGGCGCATGTCTGCAATCCCAGCTAGGGATTGCAGAGGCTGAGGCAGGAGAACCTCTTGAACCCAAGAGGTGGAGGTTGCAGTGAGCCAAGATCATGCCACTGCACTCCAGCCTGGGTGACAGAGCTAGACTCCATCTCAAAAAATAATAATAATAATAATTCTACAACTCACCATGATATAGAATCAGTGGGAGCCCTGATCTTGTTTTCCTCCAATTAGATGGTCCATCGGCAGGGGTGATAGAAGACAGTGACAGATCGTCTGGCGTTAGATTCTCATAAGGAGCGCACAATCCTGATCCCTGTCATGTGCAGTTCACAGTAGGGTTTGCGCTCCTATGAGGCTGTAATGCCACCATGAATCTGACAGGAGGCAGAGCTCAGATGGTAGGTATAAGCAAACTATGGGGAACAGCTGTACTTCGCTTGCTTGTCCGCTGCTCACCTTCTGCTGTGTGGCCTCGGGGTTGGGGACCCCTCTAATAGAGGTTTGATCATGTTAAAATGATAATTATTTGAATGTTTTTTCTAGGATTGATATTCTCTTCCTTTCAAGTATCATAGGCCAATCTTTACTCATTTTGTTTATTTGAAAGGTTATGGATTTCTAAGTAAGTCTGGGAAACATTTACCAAGCATACAAAGGGGAAAGGCTTGTTGCTGCAGTGTTAATGCAAGCGATGGTAGTTATTTGAACAGCTCTTTGAGAAAATTTAATAAAGTGTAAATCTCTGGAAATCTGGGTTGCCATGACAGTGTAGGACCTATTTAGGATATTTTACAAAGAGAAATGATCTTAAAATCGTCTACATTTAAAATAAATATGTTAAAAGGCAAATGCTGGTGAGATTGTGAAATTAGTGATTACTGCAATCCTATCCAAATATGACCCCTCATGTTTTGCGACAGTTGAAAATAAATTTATAATTTTATAACTTACAAATTTATAACCTTCTCTGAATAAATCTGAGTAAAGAGAAGGTTGTTCCTGTGTAACAATGAGAATTTTACTGGGATCCAAAGTACATACTATTTAGGTAGGAAGAAGCACTATGTTTTAGAGTTAGATTACTCTGCTGCAATACAGCTCCTACCATCTGTGTTGCATTTCACAATTGTTTTTGAGCACCTGCTATGGCTTAGGTGCCATGCTGGTTACTAATGGTTTAAAGATGAACAGAATAGGCTGGGCACGGTGGCTTAGGCATGTAATCCCAGACTTTGGGAGGCTGAGGCGGGCAGATCACTTGAGCCCAGGAGACCAGCCTAGGCAGCATGGCGAAACCCTGGCTCTACAGAAGATACAAAAATTAGCCAGGCATGGTGGTGTGTGCCAGTGGTTCCAGCTACCAGGGAGGCTGAGGCCCTGGAGGCAGAGGTTGCAGTGAGCCAACACTGCACCACTGCACTCCAGCCTGGGCAACGGAGTGAATCCCTGTCTCAAAACAAGCAAGCAAACAAAAAAGAAACCACACTAGAACAGAACAAAGAGGATGCTGGCCCTTGCAGAGCTTGTGGTGGTGGGGGGAGGTATATGTGTCTCACATATCACTTAGTATAGTGTTGGTTTTCAGTGTAGTTTTACATATTTGTTTCATTTCATTCCCTTCCAGGTAATTGAGATATGCATTTCCACTTGATAGATTTGCAGAGGATTTTGGCATTGGGTTGCTCTAGGAGAAGTCAGATTACAAATAAAAAGTGCTTTATTGCTCCTGTGTTGTTCAGGCACATATGATACTAACTTATGAAATTTCACAACAAATAGGGCAGTGAAATGCCAAACTCACTGAAATTCAGGACTGGTATTTTGGCAGCAGCACCATTAGAACTATACTCTAATGTAATTTAAAACTATTTGGAAGTAAATGTAAGACCAAATTGTTATTTGTGGTGGCTAGAAACCCCACATTAGCCATAAGACCATGGTGCTAGGTCTGTATTGAGTTAATAGTTTCTATTTTTAAAAATAATTTAGTCAACCAGAAGACATCAGTTAATTTCAGTTTTTTAATAGCTCTTCTCTGTATGTGGAACAGAAACAAGGATGGCCTTGAACTGCCATGTATATGAGAATAGCTGTGTATTTATTTGGTAGGACTTAAAAAATATTTTAGTTGGTTCAAGTTAGGTGATTTCAAGATTTGTAACTGAACATTGGAAAAATTAACTTTTCTCTCTAGATCTATCTACTTTCAATATTCAGCTGATTTTTCAAAATATTAGGACTTACAAAATTATATTTAGATTTTAGAGAGTATTATATGTAAGCGGAGAAGAAGTACTTTAAAATTTTAATGTACGAGTAGTAAAGAAGGATAAATTTCTATGCAGCAGATAAAGAATTTTCTTCTCAGGGACTCAAATAATAAATCCATTTGTAATATCACTGTTCCTTGTGCAGTTTGCTCTGTAAAATGGAGGAAGGTGAGAGGGGTGCCATGTTTCTGTCTCATACCGTTTTTTGTTATAGAGTGTATTCATGGTTATACTGTATAATAATGATAATAAGTTCTTAAACCGTGGTGATGAGATCTATTTGGCAGAATGTTTTAAAATAAACAGTGTATTTCCCACGAGTGAAATCTTAAAAAACAATTAATTTCCATTATAGTAAGGGTGAATTTTGCTCCTTCAAAGAGTATAGAGCCTGGTTGAATTTGCCCATTAAGAAAAAAAAATGTGTCTATTGGACTGTGTTGTTTGTAAAGCTAGAATCACCTTCCAGTGGCGTTTTCCATCCTTACAGGAAAGAGGTTTATCTCTGAATATTGAGAATGGAGGTTCATAATGGGCATTTTAGCGTTTGAATGTTGTAGGAAGAAGATGGCTAAATCTTCACTGCTCCCCTAAAGTACACACGTTAGTTCTGGTGGGGAGTAGCCACTCTGAGATTTTATATCAGAGACATAATGAATGGGACCCATGATATGTGAAATTCTAATTCTTTAGTACAGAGAAATGTGCTCTTCATCTTTCTGTCTTCTGAGGCTTTTTTCAAGTGTTCGAAACTGCCGTTGCAAAACTCTAACTGAGACAGTGGAAGAGATCTGTACTAACCAACTCCATCTTGCTTCTAACCTCCAAGCAGTCCTTGCTCTTTCCTGGGCTTAGGCCAAACTAACTTTGAGAGGGACTTAGTTTGTAGTTTAAAACAAAGATGATAACAAAACCCCCTTCTTGCCTGGGGACTAGATTGCTTTTGTAGGACTAGCAAATTAACCACAACATTAGAAAATATGGTTTAGGAGTCATGCTGCTGGAGGCTGCAAGATTCTAAACCTCCCCAAATGGTTCCTGGGAATAACATCACTATTGCAAAACCTAAGATGAGTGCTTGTGACATTTTGCAGACCCTGTCCTCGATGGATCATTTGGCACCACCCAGATGGATAAACTGGCTTATCTGGTCTTGTGGCCCCCACCCAGGACTGACTCAATGCAAGAGGACAGCTTCAACTCTGTATTCATCTCCACCCCTACCAATCAGAACTGCCAACTCAGTGGACCCCTACCCAGCAAATTATCCTTAAAAACTCCAGTCCCCAAATTCTTGGGGAGACTGTTTTAAGTAATAGCAAAACTCTGGTCTGCTGCACAGCCAGCTCTGTGTGAATAACTTTATTGCAATTCCCCTGTCTTGATAAATAGGCTCTGTCTAGACAGTGGGTGAGGTGAAACTGTTGGGTGGTTACATCTTCATTAAAGGAGATGAGCATTTTTTTCTTTAGCTTGGATAGTGTTTTTCATCATTTTTTTCATTATTCCCATCCCTTATCAGGAATTTTTTAGATTATTTATTTATTTATTTATTTTTGTGACAGGGTCTTGCTCTGTCCCCCAGGCTGTAGTGCTTTGGCATGATCACAGCTTACTGCAGCCTTGGCCTCCCAGGCTCAAGTGATCCTCCCATTTGAAGATGAATGGCTGGGACTACAGGCATGTGTCACCACACTTGACTAATTTTTAATTTTTTTGTAGAGACGGGCTCACTTTGTTGCCCAGGCTGGTCTCGAACTCATGGCCTCAAATGATCCTCCTGCCTGGGCCTCCCAAAGCACTGGGATTACAGATGTGAGCCCCCTCGCCCAGTGTGACCCTTTTTTTCCTCCTAATTGCCCACCCATGAAATTTTCATGCCATAGATACATTATATATCTATGCTAATATGAAAAAGAATACAATTTTTTGCCTCATCCCCAAAATGAATTTTCATTCCTTGTGGGGGCAATATCACCCCCATTGTGTATGTACAAGGAGACCTGGCTGGGTGGGTAACTGGCCTAGGCGTAATTAGACTTTGATGCAGGTCATTCATTTCCTTATTTATTTAAGAGCCTTGAGTCTTTTTGATATTTTTCTGACATAGACCACTATTAAAGGGTTCTTGCCTTAGAGGGTAGGCCAATTTGTTCATTTAAAGCATGGGCTTTGGAGTCATACCCACTTGGTTCAAGTCCTCTTGGTTTCTTCATTTTTTTCCTGTGCCACCACCAGCAAAACTTTAGTTTATTCACCTGTAAAATAGGGCTAATAATAGTATCTACTTCAAAAGGTTGCTGAGGAGGATGGAATGAGAAAGCAAATAAAGCACCGCACCCCAGAAAGAGTAAGCCATCCTCCCAAAATGTAATTTTTAGCTGTGTTAGGGTTTAGAGTCATCACCTCTGCATTTTAAAGATTAGGTTGTGTTCTTATGGTACAAGATTCAATAGTGATGAAGATATTATGATAAAAGCATCATAGCTGTGTGACTTGATTGAGTTGTTTAACTCTTGGGGCCCCAGTTTCCATATTTTTGTTAATTATGATTGAAAATACAAAATAAATTGACTGAAACGTCAAATATGGTAGTAATCCCAATAAATGCAAATGGATTATGCTTGCCGACTAAGTGACAGAGGCTCTTGGGTTAGATTGAAACAAAGAGAGGCATACCTAAGACAAAGTGACTCTAGAAGTGTGAACTCAAAATGTCTGAGACAAGTCTCAGTCAATTTAGAAAGTTTATTTTGTCAAGGTTAGGGACACACCAGTGACATAGCCTCAGGAGGTCCTGATAACATGTGCCCAAGGTGGTCAGGGTACAGCTTGCTTTTATACATTTTAGGGAGACACAGTACATCAATCAGTACATGTAAGATTTACATTGGTTTGACCTGGAAGGGCAGGATAGGGGCAGCCTTCCAGGTCATAGGTAGATTTAAATTTTTTCTGATGGCAATTGGTCGAAAGAGTCATTATCAGTAGAAAGGAATGTCTGGCTTATGGTAAGGGGTTGTGGAGACCTAGGTTTTATCATGCAGATGAGGCCTCCAAGTAGCAGGCTTCAGAGAGAATAGAGTTTGAGTATTTCTTATCCCACTTAAGGTCTGAGTTGATGTTAATGCTGGAGGGGGATGGATAGTGAGGCATGTCCATCCTCCCCTTTTCCATCATGGCCTGAAAGAGATTTTCAGGCAACTCCGGGATGCCCTTGGCCAAGAGGGCCCATTCAGATGGTTGGGGGCCTTAGAATTTTATTTTTAGTTTACAGAAGGTTTGAAATAAGGGGATAGAAAAATACATACCAGGCAAATATTACTGTCAATCAAAATAGAGTTCATATGTTAATAGAGATACAACAATATTTCATAATATTAACAGCTCATCTGGAAGATAAAATAATTATGATCTTGTAACATACTCAGGGAATGAGAAAGAAAATCTGATAATCATAGTGGGAAATATTACTATACTCTGTCATTGATAAATAAAAGTTAGTACAGCTATAGATTATTTGAAGTCCAAAATACTTTATTAACAAGAGTTTAGTAATTTAATAATTATTAATAGGTCTCAGAGAACCTTTCCCTGTCAGGATGATCTGATTTTGTGAATTTTGGCTGAACTGTATACAGCTCTATGGTGCCTTTTTTTTTTTTTTCTTTTGAGACAGAGTCTCGCTCTGCCACCCAGGCTGGAGTGTAGTAGCGCTATCTCAGCTCACTGCAACCTCCATCACCCGGGTTCAAGCAATTCTGCTGTCTCAGCCTCCTGAGTAGCTGGGATTATAGGCGCCCGCCACCTCGCCCAGCTAATTTTTGTATTTTTAGTAGAGACAGGGTTTCACCATGTTAGCCAGGCTGGTCTCGAGCTCCTGACCTCATGATCCGCCCGCCTCAGCCTCCCAAAGTGCTGGGATTACAGGCATGAGCCACTGTGCCTGGTATTGTTTTTTTTTTTTTTTAAACAGTGGATATGTTTCTGTAAAGCTGCAGTACACTGGATTGTTTTAAAAGTGAAGGCTACTTTAATAATAGACATTATATGCTTGTGACTTTTCTTGTGTTGTTAATTATCATGCCGTGACTTTTCATGTGTGTCTTTATATTTATGAGCAGAGAACTCTGAATGTTTGGGATGCAATCTCGGTCCTTTTTTGGCACTAGCCCCATGTACCTGAGTAATAATAGGTCAGACAGGTTATTAAGAAACAGTGGTTTCTTGCATGTTCTCACTCATAGGTGGGAATTGAACAGTGAGAACACTTGGACACAGGGCGGGGAACATCACACACCGGGGCCTGTCATGGGGTGGGGAGATGGGGGAGGGATAGCATTAGGAGAAATGCCTAAAGTAAATGACGAGGTAATGGGTGCAGCAAACCAACACGGCACACGTATACATATGTAACAAACCTGCACATTGTGCACATGTCCACTAGAACCTAAAGTATAATTAAAAAAAAAAAAAAAGAAACAGTGGTTTCTTGTAGATACTCCTTTTTGGCAACTGAACAGTTGAGATAGTTGAAGCAAAATTCTCAGACACACGATTTGCAGTTTGGTGCCTTCAGAGTCCTTAGAAGGCCTTTTTAAAGATAGCATACCAGCATCCAGTGTACACTTTTTCAAGTCTTTTATGAATAAAGTGGGAGTGTTTTAAGTGTTTGCAGAACATTTGGGTCTCTGAATTCTGCCAAAGTAATTGTTACATAGTTTTCTTCCTCGAAAAGGACTGGCAAACATTGGTCACCTTCTTCATTTTATTTAATTTATTTGAGCCTTTTAAGATTGGGTATTAAGGAAGTGTGTGTATATGGGTGTGTGCATATGTGTAGTGCCAATGAAAATTCCATGTATTCTCTATTTGTTGCTTTACTCTCTGAAATCTGAGTAGTTCAGACAAAAAATAATTTTTTTACAAGGGTAAAAACTAAATTTAAAAGGGAAATCTAAATTTTATTATGTGTATGGAGAGGCACCTTATAAAATATTCACTCTTTCATTAGCAGCCTATTTTAAAAAATGTGACTTCCTTGAAAGCAGAGTGTCTACCAGATCTATCTAAATCAGAGGAGTATATGTTTCAGGCGTTGTGACTGATGGAGATAGTACCAGAGTGGCAGCTCCAATTGACTTTGCCCCTGTGCTCTCACCTCCCAGTCCTCCCTCTGCCACCTGTCCAGGCAGCCCATTTAGAAACAAATAATTAGCAAGCACTTAATGTTACCAGGCACCCTGCTAGGAGTTATAAAGACAGAATGATGGGATCATGACCTCAAGAGGCCATGGCTTATTGATGGTAAGTAAATAGAAGGTTTGTAATTATGAAGCAGTCTTTTAATGATAGGTCAGCGGTGCATAAGGTGTCGGAGGGAGTGCATGTGGGCACTGTCTAAGGTTGTCTAATTCAGACCAGGTGGTGGTGGTGGTGAGTGATTTGAGGAGGTTCCTGGATGTAGTGATACCTGAGCTAGGATTTGCAGGAAGAGCAAAGAGCTGTTCCAGGTGATAGGTTTGGAACTGAGACAAGAACATGATTCTTCTCTCTCAGGAGTTGCAAGAGCTTAGGACATGGATAGTGGGACCAGGCTAGAGAGATGGGCAAGGTCCTCGTGAAGAATCTCATTTTCTCTCCTAAGGCTTCTTGGCATTATTCTGATGGCATTGGGAGCCATTTGGTAGATTTTAGTTTTTAGGGGGATAAAATAACTGGAATTACATTTTAGCACGGTCCCTCTGGTAGCATTGTAGGGGAATGGATTAGGGATTACAATGAGAGATGAGGAGCTGGAATGAGAAACTCCTGCTGGAACTAACTCATGAGATTTTCAGGAGGTACGAGTTACCTTAGGGCCACCCTGTGGAGCGAGAGGGAGAAATGAAAGGTGACTGCGAAGGTTTGTGTCTGGGGCGGCTAGGAGAAGTGGGGATGCCATTCAGCGAGGGAGTGGTGGAGGAGATGCAGGGCGTAGAGGTCGGGGCTGTGAGTTCGGTGTTCGACAGGCGGAGTTAGTGATTGTTAGGAGACACCTGCACCTTGCAGGGAGCAGCTGTCAGCACCGGGTAACCAGCAAAGACAGAGAAGTGGATGATGTCACCAAGGAAGATTTTGTAGAGTAACAGTAGAGGATGCTGGAAAGTAGCCTGGGGATTATTGTTTCTTCATAAAACAAAAACCTGCAAGTTTATCTGATAACCTGTGCGACTTAGATAATAAATGTGGTATCTTGGGAAGTAAGAGAACAGGTAAAGTATTTTCCCTCTGGGCTGTTCCAGGTATTGACTTTACGAACTTTAATCAATATAGAGGAGAACTAACAGAATACTTACAAAGCCTGGCATGGTAACATTCCAGTTTCTTTCCTAATGGTTATGACCTGTGGTAGCTCATGCCAGAGCTGTAGAAGCCTCTTTACCTCAAAGGTACAGGATGATAATTTCCACATCCATTTCTGCCTTGATCCACCTGTTTGAAGAAATGAATTTAGTGTCTGCTTATTGAAGCAGAAAATAATAAAGCATCTGGAATTTCTGTGCATCTTATGGAAAATTCCAGTTCATAGGATGTAGGATTAGAGAAGAGTAATTTGAGGGGGAGGATCTTGGCTTTTCTACATATTCCTTTTTATACATACACACACCCACACCCTACCCCATGCCACCCCACCCCCCACCCCACAATAGAGAAGAGCAGGGAAAGTAGATAGGCACTTTCCTATCTTTTTGAAACCTAGTCACAAAGAACATGGGCATTACCCTTGTCACACGCAGGGTATTACTGTTTTTATTCATTCAAAAGTTATTTAACGAGCTCCTACTGTGGTGAGCAAGTCCAGTGGAATCCAGGCCCTTGCTCTGCTATTAGAGGGATGAGGGCCTTTCTCTTCAAGGGGAGATTCCCTTTCCTTGTGTCAGCCTTACATAGTCCTTTCTGGGTTTCCTAATGGTGGAACCACCAGGCAGAGTTCCAAGATGGCCAAGCCTTCCTCCCTTCTCTTCCTAAACTTCCCACAGCTATTTAAGAAGTACAGATGACTTCACAGCCCACGGGAGGCATGGCCAATAGCACCTTGAGAAAACCCAGCCCTTTTTAGATAACCTCCTGGGACACCTGTATGTGTGATATAAACTGTCCTCACAGCTGGCCCTAGTCCCATGTGGAAGTGGGTTAGAGGATGATGATGTTTGTAGCATGCTGGAGTTTGGAGTCTCCATGCCATGGGCACACTCTTCCATACTGTTGCCCTCACTCTGACTTCTTCACCCTCACGTCACTCCCTTGCTGCTGTTGAGTGCCTAGAAGGGACCTTTCCATGATGGCTATGGTGGGAGCGAGGGATGTTTTGCCGTGAAATTGCCTTGAAAATAAAATAGTGGGTTCTATCACTGTAAATACTCAGCTTTCTTTGGACAAAGGACATTGTCTTTGAACAGATGGAGAATATTGAAGAAAAAAGATGTCTCTACCATCAAATTCTGGACACTTGAGTGAAACAGTTGAATAAAAAGAACTCAGAGCATTGCTTTTTTTTTGAGACGAGGCTCACTCTGTTGTTTGGGCTGGAGTGCAGTGACACGATCATGGCTCACTGCGGCCTTGACCTCTTGGGCTCAAGTGATCCTCCCACCTCAGCCTCCCAAGTAGCTGGGACTACGGGCACGTGCCACCGTGCCCGGCTAATTTTTATAGAGATAGTGAAGAAGGGTTGGGAGGGTGTCTCACCATCTTGCCCAGGTTGGTCTCAAACTCCTGGGCTCAAGTGATCTGGCCACCGTGGCCTCCCAAATTGTTGAGATTACAGGTGTGAGCCACTGTGCTTGGCATATATTTATTTATTTATTTTGTACACAGACTAGTGGATAATTTGGATACTTTGACTTCCCATTCACCTTTCTGTTTTTTGTTTTTTTCTTTTGAGACAGAGTCTGGCTGTGTCACCCAGGGTGGAGTGCAGTGGCACAGTTATGGTTCACTGCAACCTCCACCTCCCTGGCTCGAGTGGTCCTCCTACCTCAGCCTCCCAAGTAGCTGGAACCACAGGCGCATGCCACCACAGCTGGCTATTTTTTTTTTTTATTTTTGTGGAGATGGGGGTGTCACTGTGTTGTCCAGTCTGGTCTTTAACGCCTGGGCTCAAGTGATCTGCCTCCCTTGGCCTCCCAAAGTGCTGGGATTACAGGCGTGAGCCACCACTCTTGGCCTAACCTTTCCGTTTTAAGGAACAATAGTAGTGTTTTTAAGGAATACCATTAAGAAAGAACATTAGGAAAAAAGGTGCTTTAGTTCTCTGAGTGACTTCTTTTAAGCTTAAGACAAGAATTATCACTTACTTACTAAGTAATCTGTGGGCTGGGCAAGGTAGGCTCGCACCTGTAATCCCAGGACTTTGTGAGGCCAAAGCAAGCAGATTACCCGAGTTCAGGAGTTTGAGACTAGCCTGGCCAACATGGTGAAACCCCATTTCTACTAAAAATACAAAAATTAGTCAGGCATGATAGTGCACACCTGTAATTCCAGCTACTCAGGAGGGTGAGGCAGGAGAATTGCTTGAACCTGGGAGGTGGAGGTTGTAGTGAGCTGAGATCATGCCACTGCACTCCAGCCTGGGTGACAGAGCGAGACTCTGTCTCAAAAAGAAAGAAAGAAAGAGAGAGAGAAAGAGAGAGAGAGAGAGAGAGGAGAGAGAGAGAGAGAGAGAGAAAGAAAGAAAGGAAAGAAAGAAAGAAAGAAAGAAATCTGTGGAAAGCAGTTGTTGGTTCAGTGATAGAAAGAGAGATTCGCAGGTGGGGGCAGGGCAGGGGCCAGGCTGGGCTTCTGCAGGAGTCAGGTGCGGTGGATGTTGCAGCGCAGGTATAGCAGCCCTGGGGGTTTCTTCTCATTGGTCAGCAGGTGGCACCAAATAGCTAAAACTTATCTGGGGAGAGGCATGCCTTGCTTGGGTTTTACCTTGGGTTGGGTTGGATTAAATTTTACTTTCTGTACTTTCAGAATTTGGGATTAATAGCACTTTCACATTTTCTCCCTAGAGATAGAATCCTCCAAGTTTGAATTTTATAAAAGTCTCTGATATTGATAATAGTCATGAAAGTTAACTATATTCAAGATCAGATGATTGCATGACATTATTAATTTTCATTTTTTGGAAGGGTTTATGACTTTGAATGTTAAATGCCACTGTAAGATCATTCAATGGAATATACTTACTCGATTAGATTTCTGAAGTTTTTGTGTTTTTATGAAATCCCATAAATAAATTGCTAACGTAGGTGTGAAAATTAATACACCCGTGAATGTACTTAATTGAGATTGAGTATGTCTCTCTGATGAGAATCCAGGATTTTACTTCCATTCAGGATTTTTCTATTAGAGCAGAGATGGGTGACAGTTTGAGTCACAGATGTTGTGGCTCAGTGGTAAAGTGGATTCAGTGCTTCTTCCTCAGGAACATGTGGGGTGTGTTGGCTGTGTTCTTGGATAGCATGTGAGAAAACAGCCATGACAAAAGAGCAGGCAGTTGTGTGCTGGTACCACCCAAGAGCCTACTGTTTATTTAAGGTGCAGTTAATTTGTTTCAGCTTATTTACTATGGAAACTTGGTTGCATGTGGCATGTGTGGTTATGTGCTGGAACTTTTAAAAAGCTGCATTTCAAGCACGATAAATGTTTCTTTTCTACATATATGGGTTTGTTTATTTTTTGTGTGGTGGCATATGTGAGGGGGAAGAATCATCTCTTGAATGATCCTTCTGTGTTGCTGAGTGGTGTCTGGTTTGGTTAGCACGCAGGCTGTGGTGAGGAGGCCTGCTGACTCTGGCCTAGGTGCACATCTTGGTGCACACTGAACAAGGCTTTCACTAAGTGAGCATCCAGCTACAAAAACCTGACAATAAATTTTTGAGTTTTAAGATGTTGATAACAGCCGGGCATGGTGGCTCACGCCTGTAATCCCAGCACTTTGGGAGGCCAAGGTGGGCAGATCACAAGGTCTAGGAGTTCGAGACCAGCCTGGCCAATATAGTGAAACCCCGTCTCTACCAAAAATACAGAAATTAGCTGGGCATGGTGGCTCGCGCCTGTAGTCCCAGCTACTCGGGAGGCTGAGGCAGAAGAATTGCTTGAACCCAGGAGGCGGAGGCTGCAGTGAGCCGAGATGGTGCCACTGCACTCCAGCCTGGGTGACAGAGCGAAACTCCATCTCAAAAAAAAAAATGTTGATAATTTATTTTTTTTCTTGGGATAGCTTCATACCACTTTAAAAGGGGTGTTGTCTTTTCACTCCTTTCTTCCTACATTTGCAGATTAACAACTTACTTAGATAGCTTCATATGCCTGACTGAGCCTGTTTCCCCCCAGTGAAATTTAAAATATGCGGGAATTTAACCACATTTAACCACACCCATAGGCATCAGGCATAGCACTAGCTCAGTTTCTCAATGTCTCGGGTCTAGTCAGTCCTTCACCAGGCCCTGTCAGTTCTCCCTCCAAAGCACATCCACCTCTAAGCACATCCACCTCTTAACCATCCCCGCTTCTCCACCCAGAGCTGCACCGCCATCATTTCTGGAGTAGCCTCCCAAGTGGCCCCTGCTTCCATTATTGCCGCCTAGAATCTGTTTTCCACACAGCCCTGGGAAGAATATTTTACAAATACACTCAAGGGTGGTGTCGGTTATTAGCTTAAAATCCTGCAGTTGCTTCCCGCCACACTTGGGCTCGCCCACCTCCCTCCCTAACCTTGTCTCCGAGTCTCTCCCGCTGCCCACTAGACTCAGCCACATTGAACTTGCCGTTCCTCCTGCATGCTATGCTGCTTCCTTTGCCTGAAACACTATTATTCTTGATCTGTGCGTGACTCATTCCTCTTGACATTGAGTTCTCAGTTTCAGGACCCACTCGAGAGGCCTTCCCTGATCACCAGATCTAAAAATAGTCACATGACTCTGCTGTCATTTTTTTTTATTTAAACTATCTTGCCTTTTCTTGTGTGCTTTTTGTCCAGCTCCTACCACTAGGATATAAGCTTCCCTAGAGCCAGGTCCTTATTGCGTTCATTTTTATCCCTAGCATCTGGTCCAGCACAGAGTACGTAGTAAGTCTTCATTGTATTTTGGTTCAATGAGTGAATAATAGCTATATTGAAGGGAGAAGCTGTGTTTAAAGCTTATCAGTTCAGGATAAAGAATAGCAAGCGTGTATTGAGCATCTACCATGCACTGGTACTGTCCTTGGTTGCCATACACTTACATCTTAATTTTTTTTTTTTATTGGAGTTTTGCTCCTGTTGCCCAGGTTAGAGTGCAATGGTATGATGTCGGCTCAACCAAAACCTCCGGCTCCTCGGTTCAAGCAATTTTCCAGCCTTGGCCTCCCAAGTAGCTGGGATTATAGGCATGCGCCACCACGCCCAGCTAATTTTTTATTTTTAGTAGTGATGGGTTGGTCAGGCTGAACTGGAACTCCCGACCTCAGGTGATCCGCCCGCCTCAGCCTCCCAAAGTGCTGGGATTAGAGGCGTGAGTCACTGTGCCTGGCCTTACATCTTAATCTTAAGCATCAGTTTTCTAATATGTAAGTGAGATGTTTAGATAAAATGATCTGCTAGTTCTCTTATATAACATTTTATGAATTTCCAGGAGAAGCTTAAAGATTATAATTTATGGTGATACACAATGGGAATAAATGAGTTCATTCAGAAGCCCCACGTAGGTGTTGATCTACCTCCGATAACATTTCTTTTTTTTTCTTTTTGAGACGGAGTCTCGCTCTGTTGCCCAGGCAAGAGTGCAATGGCACGATATCGGCTCACTACAACCTCCGCCTCCCAGATTCGAGCAATTCTCCCTGCCTCAGCCACCCAAGTAGCTGGGATTACAGGCATGTGCCACCACGCCCAGCTAATTTTTGTATCTTTGGTAGAGACGGGTTTTCACCATGTTGGCCAGGCTGGCCTCGAACTCCTGACCTCAGGTGATCTGCCCACCTCGGCCTCCTAAAGTGCTGGAATTACAGGCGTGAGCCACTGCACCTGGCCCTCTGATAACATTTTTAAATTGCAGAGTTTAAACTTTAGAAAGAAGGAATAAACCCACCATTTTGGGGGTATCCATCATCTCATTCAGTCCTGTCAACAACCTCTGAAGTATCTTCCCTCTTTAATGGTTGGGGAAACTGAGGCTTAGAGATACTAAGTAACTTGGCTAAGGTCACACATCTATTATGAGACAGTGCTAAAACCTAAAACCAGCATTGCTCCAGAAGACCTATTCTTGGCAAGCACTGTTTTTATTTTCTGCTCACTCTTATCCCAGTTGGTTCCGTGGGGACTGTATACACTTCAGACGTCTAAATGTTTTTCCTTTTCTTTCTCATAGAACTCTAAGAAGGAGCTGATGTGGAGGAGCAGCTGAGACAGTTCAAGATGACGACCACAGTAGCCACAGACTATGACAACATTGAGATCCAGCAGCAGTACAGTGATGTCAACAACCGCTGGGATGTCGACGACTGGGACAATGAGAACAGCTCTGCGCGGCTTTTTGAGCGGTCCCGCATCAAGGCTCTGGCAGGTGAGTCCTTCACACCTGTCACAGAGGCCCAGGATGCCTAAAATCAGGATGCCCCTTAAAATCATCCACCCTGTTCCCATGACGCTGTCATGTTCGAAGGTTGTCTCACTTCTATTTAAATGTGTCCTTGAGAGCCAGCTGACCATTTTATAAGGTAGTCAGTTCCATATTTGGAGAGCTGTCAACTCTAATGGCCAAAATTATTCAGAGCACAGAGTGTTATTTATAGCAATTCAAGAACAGCTGCCCTAAGTTTGTAAGAATTCTTTTATTTTTGACAAATCTTACATTCCAAAATATCAAAGCATACTATTCCTTATACTCAAAAATATACAAATTAACCTGTGTACTTAGTGCCTGTGATACATTAACTGGCCTGACCTGTACCAAGATGGGTTAGTATTACACGCAAGGATTTTACATCTGAAAAGCAAAAGCTGAATCTGGTAAAGGCACATTTAATACAGTAACGAGTAAGTTTGCCATTGGTCCATTAGTTCGTGGAACATGTCCTTACTTTGTGATTTCTCATTCCCTTGTTGCTGGTGAACACCTAGAGCACACTTTCTCCATGGCCCCAGTGAGGGTGAGGAGTGTTTTACCCTAAAATTGCCCTGAAAATCAGGAAAGCGTTCTGTGGCTCTGAAAACTCAGCTGTACTGAATATATGTAAACCAAGTATCAAAACCGAGTTTTTTCAAGGTCCTGCATCTGTACTTTGAGATTTCAAATGAAATTTCAGATGAAGTTTATTCCAAATGATTTTTTTCTAATGTCTTTAATTGTGACAAGTAAATCAAAGTCATGACTTGAGAAGTTAAGTTTACTGTTAATTCTAACTACATAACTCACATTTTTGTTGCCTTTATAGTGGAATCTGATTATGAAGCATGCATCATTTAGAGTCATCTTGATTGTGGACAAAGGAAACCTAACCCAGAGTGGTTTAAGTGACAAAGAGGATTTATTGGTCACACAGTAGGCAAATTCAGTCTTTAAGCAAGACTTACTCCTGGACTTAAATGGTGTGACCAGGATCTAGTTTCTTTCTCTCTACTCTGGCTTTATTTTCTAGTGCAGGCTCTGTTCACAAGCAGGCTCCATCCTGTAGTCCCAAGATGGCTGCCCCAGGTCCCTGGCCCCCTTGGACTATGGACATCCAGCAGAAAAGAGGATGCTTTTCTGCTTACCATGGCCCGGATATATCAGTCTCACTGGCGTGATTGATCATGACTTGGATCATGTGCTTCTCCCGCTGGTGTTGGAGAATCTCATGTGCTGTTAACTTCTAAACAGGATGCACCCCTTAGAGTGAAAGTTTGGTCAGTCTCAACCAAACAAGTTGGCTAGAAAGATTGGAATATAACAGAAAAGAGGAAGAGGAGAATGGATGTTGGGGGTACAGCTAACAATGTACTACAGAAAAACTATTCAGCTGCTTTAGGATAATTTGTCTCTTGAGTGGTGTTGATTTAAAGATCTTTCTTGAGCTGGCCTGAATGAATGATTAATCAGTCACTCTAGAATTGGGGCTTCATTATCATTCATTAACATGGAACTCTATGGAGATCATGACCCTGGCTTGTGCTAGTAAAGTGATTTGTATTTTAATCTCTCACCTCTTTTTCTTGTATTTTCATTTGAGTCTTTAGGCCAGTATGCTAGTGATGGCCAGTTACCTTTGATCTTGAGTCTTACTTTCTGATTCCAGGCTATGTATTATCTCCTTTCTAAAGGACCATTTTGTTTGCAAACTACAGAACAGTTCCTTGTTCTTTGCATGTGGTCTTTCCTACAGTTTGAGAGGAGAGCCTCCAGCTGTCCTTAGTATCCATCATTTGTCTTAACCTTTCTAGGATGTTTACCTAGGTCCCTCAGTAACTGTAGTCATAATAATAGCAAGCACTCAATATAGTACTTATACTGTGTGCCAGGCACTGTGGGAAATGCCGGCATATATTAACAGTTAATCCCATAACAATCATATGAGAGAGATTATTACTGTCTACATTGTATAGATGATAAAACAGGTTCCAGAGAGATTAAGAAGCTTGCCCAAGGGCTTACTGCTGCTAAGTGGCTGAAGGCATACTAACTCTGCAGTGTATACTCTTTTTCAGTATTCAGTAAAGTAAAAAAAAAAAAAAAAGATGTAAAGCTCATTGGCAGAGAGCATTGCTAGTGAGGTAATTCAAACATGTTAAAAAGATCTTTGGAATTCTCAGGAATGCATCCTGTGGTCTAGAAGAAACCAGGGCAAAATATTGAAAAGGAAAGATGCTGCTTCCAGGTTAAATGATACTGGATGGGGGGGCAGGAATTGCATTCAGTGAATTTACAAGATACCAGGAAACCCATCTGTTGGAGGAAGGTAATGAAGGAAATTATCTTATCCTACTTATTATTTTACTTCCTTATTCTGTGGGACAGAAGAATCTCTTGAGTCCTCTAAAAAACTATATGCTGATAGCAGGAGTTACAGAACAATTCAGTAGTGTCTGGAATAGAACAGTGGTTTGAAAAGTAGAGGGCTTGTTAAAGCACGGGATGCTGATTCAGTAGGCCTTGAGTGGGGATAATTTACATATCCAACAGGCCAGGTGATGCCCTGGCTTGGGGATCACATTTTGTGACTGATGCAGAGTACTGATGGTCATCCAGTCCCCTTCCTTCGGTGTTTGAGACCACTTCATCTGGACCGAGCTAAAGTCTAGGAAGAAATAAAGTTTCAAACCCAGTAGAGTTACCTCAAAGATACACTTGAGACCCTTTTCAGAAGATGGCACCGAAAGTGAAGAAGGAAGCTCCTGGCCCGCCTAAAGCTGAAGCCAAAGCAAAGGCTTTAAAGGCCAAGAAGGTAGTGTTGAAAGGTGTCCACGGCCACAAAAAAAAGAAGATCCGCATGTCACCCACCTTCCAGCGGCCCAAGACACTGAGACTCTGGAGGCCGCCCAGATATCCTCGGAAGACCACCCCCAGGAGAAACAAGCTTGACCACTATGCTATCATCAAGTTTCCTCTGACCACTGAGTTTGCCATGAAGAAGATAAAAGACAACAACACCCTTGTGTTCACTGTGGATGTTAAAGCCAACAAGCACCAGATCAAACAGGCTGTGAAGAAGCTCTGTGACATTGATGGGGCCAAGGTCAACACCCTGATGGAGAGATGAAGGCATATGTTCCACTGGCTCCTGATTATGATGCTTTGGATGTTGCCAACAAAATTGGGATCATCCAAACTGAGTCCATCTGGCTAATTCTAAATATACATATCTCTTTTCACCAAAAAAAAAAAAAAAAAAAAAAAAAAAAAAAAGGTCCACTTGATGTGGGAGTGGTGTGGTAGGCTAACCACTTGACTTTGAGGAAAGGGAGATATCTTCCTGTCCCTTATAGGGGAGTGATACAGTGATAGGCCCAACAGGAGGGAGTGCTATTGTGGGGTTTCTGCTGAACATGCATGTTCTAAAGCGAGACATTTTGCTTAGAGCCATAAAAATGTACATATCACATTTCCTGTGTCCCTCTAGGGCTTTCGGTAGATACAATCTAATCTAGGTTTCAGTCTGAATTCTGAGGCAGATCTGCAAAACATGTAGGAATTCATCTTTTAATGGTGTAGTTCATCTTGTACTGATAGTGGAACCACCACCTGTGCCCTTTACTAAGCTGCTTTCAGGGTTTATGTATCTAAGGAAATAGGGTGAGGTAAACTACTTGTTACTAATTCTCACCCAGTTGACAGATACTTCCTATTATTAGGTTATCTGTGAATTGTAAAAAACTTTTTTTTTTTTTTTTTTTTTTTGAGACGGAGTCTTGCTCTGTCGTCCAGGCTGGAGTGCAGTGGTGCAATCTCGGCTCACTGCAAGCTCCACCTCCTGGCTTCATGCCATTCTGCTGCCTCAGCCTCTCAAGTAGCTGGGACTACAGGCGCCCGCCACCACCCCAGCTAATTTTTTGTATTTTTCGTAGAGACGGGGTTTCGCCGTGTTATCCAGGACGGTCTCGATCTCCTGACCTCATGATCTGCCCGCCTCGGCCTCCCAAAGTGCTGAGATTACAGGCATGAGCCACCGCGCCCGGCTTAAAAAACATTTTTAAAATAACTTTTACTTTACGTGTCTTCATCTTATTCACCCTCAGGAATTGCTTTTAATTCAATGCAGTATAATAAGAAATATATTTGGTCTTTGTTCTGGGTTCCTGGCATAGAGCTCCTAAAACCAATGGAGTCTGCCGAGTGATGGGAGTGTCTTTTGTTACCCATAAGGTGTCCCTTTTCTGACACCTGAGTTTGTGCTAATTCCATGACTTTGGGTGGGGATAGTCTCCCATCCCTAGCTAGCCTCAGGATGATGCTGTGCACCCAAGACTGAGCAGTTAGAGAATTGGAACTTTCAGCATCATCCACTCATCTGTGGGGGGAGTTGGTGTAGGTAGGGTGGGGTGCCCTGAGAGGACATGGAAGCCCCACCTCACCCCAGTACCTTGCCCTGTGCACTTTTCCATTTGGCCGTTCCTGAGTTGTAACCTTTATAATAAATTGGTAAACATAAAGGGGAAATTGTTTTCCTGAGTTCTGTGAGTTGTTCTAGCATATTATTGAACCTGAGGGGGTTCTTGGGAACCCCTGAATTTACAGCCTGCGGCCTGGGACTTGGAACTGGCATCTGATATGGGGGCAGTCTTGTGGGACCAAGCCCTTTATCCTATGGGATTTAACAATAATGTCAGGTAGAGGTGTCAGAATTGAATTGAATTGTAGCATACCCAGTTGGTACTGGGGAATCAGACTACTAAGATATTTCACAGGGGAGATAGCATCTCTAGTATAGTAGGCAGGGTGTCAGCTGGTTTTCTTGTTTGTTTAGAAATGGGGTCTTTCTGTGTTGCTCAGGCTAGAGTACAGTGGTAGAGTCATAGCTAACTACAGCCTTGAATTCCTGATCTCCAGTGATCCTCCTGCCTCAGCCTCTTGAGTAGCTGGGACTATAAGTGTGTGCCACAAAGCCTGGCTATATCGGTTTTTGTTTTTTGTTTTTTTTTTTTAATGTAGAAATCAGGCCTGTGATCACTTGTCCAGTACCAGCTTATCATTACAACAATGAATCGGCCAGCAATCAGTCACTTCCAGTGCCTAGTTCTTTCATTTTCCTTAAACTCTGCTGCTTGAAAATCAGTCTGATTCATATCTGCGTCACTCATCGCCACCCCCAGCTCCTTAGTAGCCAGAAACATCAGCGTGATGATCAGGAGGAAATACAGAGAACTTGACCTGGAGCACCTGGCAGGATTGAAAGCAACAGCTTTTTCTCCAAGCAGAGAAAAGCTTCATCTGAAAGCTTCCCCCTCATGCAAGTTGAATGATAAGAAACCTCAAGTCTTCAGCTTGTAAAAATTTAAGACTTAGATGTGTTTTAAGAAAATAATTAGAATTGCCGGGCGCAGTGGCTCACGTTTGTAATCTCAACACTTTGGGAGGCCGAGGCTGGTGGATCATGAGGTCAGGCGTTCAAAACCAGCCTGGCCAACGTAGCGAAACCCCATCTCTGCTAAAAATACAAAAAATTAGCTGGGCGTGGTGGCGGGCGCCTATAATCCCAGCTAGTTGGGAGGCTGAGACAGGAGAATCGGTTGAACCTGGGAGGCGGAGGTTGCAGTGAGCCGAGATCACGCCACTGCACTCCAGCCCGGGCGACAGTATGAGACTCCGTCTCAAAAATAATAATAGTTAGAATTAACATTGAGTATTGTCATATACTCCAAAATTTTATGTTTATATCCAAGAATATTTATAGATATCCAAAATATATTAACATGCAATCCTCATGAAAAGTTATTAATGAGACACTTTACATTTTTTATACTACGTCTTTGAAATATACATCTTTTGTATATGTAACAGACTGGCAAGATATATACTTATTCCTAAAGTGGAATGTGGAGTGAAAACATGGTAGATGGTACTTCCCCACTTCTGAGGTGTTACTGTTTACAGTTTGGAAGGAAGCTGAGGAGAGCGTTGGTCAATCCTGTTAACTAGCACAGTGAAGTAGTTTTTATGTTTTCTGTAAATGATTGCTTGCATCCCGTGATTGCAGGCCCACTTTCCTGACCTCTGACCAGTTGCCTTGGTATCATGGAACATGCAGTGATTCAAACTAAGCTGGACTTTTTGGAAACCAGCATTTTATTTGAAGTAAAAAGAAAACAGTTACACAATTTTTTAAAGACTACGTCTTCCCCTAATTTGTGTTGATTCTACTGTGAGACAAGAAAAATGCATTTCTGCTTGAGGTGCAGTAACAAAACTAGCACAAATTTCTTTCCTTCTTAACTATTTCTCGGATAGAAGATTCATTCTTAACATAGACCTTATCATTATAGGATTTTTTTTTCTTTTCTTGTTGAGAACTTTTACTTTTTCACTTAAAGGAAGCATTTGACAGTCGCTTCTTTTTAGCATATCTGAATTGCCAGCCCAGGGCCATTATTAAGTCAAATAAGGGTTACCTGACAGTTAATCTGATAATCAAGACGGCTGCTAAGTGACTAACAGGGAGCGTCTGCAGTGTGTGTCTGCTGGACAAAGGGATGATTCACATACCAGGCGGGATGGAGCGAGATGGCGCAAGATTTCATCACAGTGCTCAGGATGGCATGCAATTTAAAACGTATGAATTGCCTATTTCTTCAGTTTTTCATTTCATATTTCCAGACCATGGTTGACTGAAGGTAACTGAACCATGGAAAGTGAAACCCAGGCTAAAGGGGACTAGTGTGTGTGTGTGTGTGTGTGTGTGTGTGTGTGTGTGTGTGTGTGTCTAAACCATTTGACTTCTAGTGAACGAACAGAGCCAACCTCTTCCTGAATATGTAAAGAAATCTATAAAACATGGCCTAGAATGATCTAATTAGGAGGAGGAAACCTATTTACATGAGACTATATATGTATACAAGTGCCTGGAAGTTAGTATAGGCAATGATTGCTGTAGTAAGATGGAGTTTCGCTCTTGTCACCCAGGCTGTAGTACGATGGCGCGATCTTGGCTCACTGCAACCTCCGCCTCCTGGGTCCAAGTGATTCTCCTGCCTCAGCTTCCCGAGTAGCTGGGACTACAGGCACCCGCCACCACACCTGGCTAATTTTTGTATTTTTAGTAGAGACGGGGTTTCACCATGTTGGCCAGGCTGGTCTCGAACTCCTGACCCCAGGTGATCCGCCCGCCTTGGCCTCCCAAAGTGCTGGGATTACAGGCGTGAGCCTCCACGCCCGGCCTGCTGTAGTAATTTAGGGGGAAAGATTGATCTCTCTCTCTGTCTCTCTCTCACACACACACACACACACACACACACGCACGCACGCACACAAACACACACACCCCAGTCATTTTAAGGGGTAGGGTCTAGTGACCTAAAGAGCACTGGAACTTGGAGAGAGGAATCTGGGACCTGAGTCTCGTCGTGGCTGCTTCATTTTCCACTGCAGCAAAATTGAAGAGGCTAGGCTGCAGGTCTCTGAGAACACCTCTCCTTAAAACAGAAAGTCTGCTTTGGGCTGCTTAAGATAGTATATGCCATCTCACGCCTGGACTCATTGTCTAAATCATGTTAGGGCTCTTCTTGTTCGCACACCTAACATTCTGTTCAGAGGTGACACTTTCCTGCCCCAAGGGAAAGAGAACAGCTTCTTGCATGGTGGAATGGGTTTTTACAGAGAGGATTAACAGGGATTTAATAGCTACCCATTATTTTCCTCATCTACTCTTCAGGCTGTATCCCTAAATTATGCATTATTTGGGACTATTTGTGAAAGAGGTGTGGCCCCTAGCACACAGTAACTATACTACCATTGTTTGTGAAATCTGAATCTGAAAGAGCATTTTATATCCAAGTTGTTCATGAAAGCTATTGAGAGAAAGTCTGTTGAGGTCTTTGCACGTAGTCCTAGATTATACCCTCAATTTATTTTTCACATATAAATGGTTTCCATGGTTTTCTCACCATAGAGGTGGAAGAATCTTTGCTTTACTTTTTTAGGTGTAGTTTTCCTCTGGTTCCTTCTCCCTCCTCTGTCTGTTCACCACTATAGACCCAGTTTCTCCCCTGCTTCTGAAATCAGCTTGGATTCCTTCTCCTGTTCTACCTCAGACTCTCTTCTCACCTCAGCAATGGCTGAAATCTCACAGTCGCTGAGGTGAGTGATCCAGGCATGGGAGAACATGCAGATGGAAGCCTCGTGCTCCCAGAGTTTCTGACTATTCACCATGCACTCATCCCCCTTCCTGGCCCAGCCCCTATTCCTGCACCTCACTCTTTGAGAGCCCAGGTTCTCCTTCCTCAGTCACCTCAGAGAACCTCTCTTGATCCTCATTCCCCTTTTTGTCTCCTGTTCCACCCCTAGCCTTTGTCTGAACTCCTCATTCTCTCCACTCCACCAGAATTCTTTCCCTAAGTCACTCACTTACTTTTGAGGCGCTCCGTTCTTCTGTGAAAAATCTCATAGAATTGAGAGTTGATTTATGACTGAATTAAAGGAATACAATTGCTCTTCATTTGGGGACTGCCTGTGTAAGCAAAAGAGGAAAAATGTATGTGACCTTTCTGCCTTCTTATCCTTTTCCTGGCTCTGTCTGCATACATGTTCTCTCACACACACATATCAGCTTTATTGCAGTACAATTTACATACCATAAAATATACCCCCTTTGAAGTATACCATTCAGCAGTTTTTAAAATATACTCAGAGTTATGTGACAATTACCACTAATTCCAGAGCATTTTTATTACTTCCCAAAGAAATCCCATGTACGTTAGCGGTTACTTCCCATTTTCCTTTCCCCCAGCCCCAGGCAACTACTAGTCTACATTCAGACCCTATGGATTTGCCTATTCTGGACATTTCCTAAAAATTGAATCATGTAATCTGTGGCCTTTTTGTGTCTAACTTCTTTCACTTAACAAAACTTTTTCAGGTTTCATCCGTGCTGTAGCATGTATCAGTACCTTATTTCTGTCTCTGCTCTCTTAGATAAGTAATAGTGGTAGATTAGAGAGAAAGAGCAGAAAATACTCTGTAAAAGCTACTAGTACCATAGTGCTGTGATTTTTATTTGGTGGTTGCCTGGAAACAGATGGCAAATCTGTTGTAGGCATCAGAAACTACTGTAGGCCAGATGCAGTGGCTCACACCTGTAATCCCAGCCAAGGCAAGTGGATCACCTGAGATCAGGAGTTCATGACCAGCCTGGCCAACATGGTAAAAACCCATCTCTACTAAAAATACAAAATGAGCCGGATGTGGTGGTGCACACCTGTTACATGTGAGTAACCACCTATTCAGGAGGCTGAGACAGGAGAATCACTTGAATCTGGGAGGCGGAAGTTGCAGTGAGCCAAGATTGCGCCATTGCACTCCAGCCTGGCTGGGTGACAAGAGCAAGACTCTGTCTCAAAAATAGAGTAAGTACTGTAGACTTAGGAAGTTTTTCATTTCCCCAAATGTGGTCATCATAAAGGCCTATTGGTGGGTGTTTGGTGTCTCAGATGGTTCTATTTGTTGCCGTTATTAAATTCACTTACACAGTTAACCCCTTTGCCAGTTTTCTACCAAAGTGGACCTGTGAGAAAGTACTATCATAGGATGATAAAAGGTATAAATTTAATTTATATATAAGGCACTTGTAAAGTTATGTGTATTTTAAAAATAAAACATGTCCCATGATAAAAGCAAACTCAGAATGACACAAAGTATATTTTTAAATTTAACAGTGCAACGCAGCTCTCTAGAATTTTATTTAACCTCCATCTTCAGTGATACCATTCAATTTAATTTTCTAATTAGGAGAGAAAATTGATGCTAGGTAGATGTTAAATAGTTTCTTAAGTTGCATTTGATTTTTGATACCAAGTCAATTAAAGAAGATAGTTGTGATTATTAAGCTATAAATTCACCAGTAGTTTGACATGATCATATTCAATAGCAGTCCAGTGGAGAGGGGTCCAGGTGACAGCAGAGCTAAATATTTGGTCTATGTCTAATGATTGACTTCTGAAAAAAATCATGCTTAGAAAATTATTTTTGGTTAGGTCCTTCTGGTTGTAAGGAATACAGATTCACTTGAGTTCTCTGAACAACAAAGATATGTGTGTGGTGGATATGGGGTAAAAGAAGGAGAGGCCGGGAGCTGTGGTTCATGCCTGTTATCCCAGCACTTTGGGAGGCTGAGGTGGGAGGATTGTTTGAGTCCAGTAGTTAAAGACCAGCCTGGCCAACATAGTGAGACCCTGTGTCTCTGAAAAGTAAAAAAAATTAGCTGAACACAGTGGCACACACCTATAGTCCCAGCTACTTGTGAGGCTGAGGTGGGAGGATTGCTTCAGCCCAGGAGGCTGAGGCTACAGTGAGCCGTGATTGTGCCACTGCACTTCAGACTGGGTGACAGAACAAGACCCTGTCTTTAAAAAATAAATACATACATACAAGAGAGTTATTACAAAGTTTCATGCAAATGAGCCCTGAAAAATCTATGTGACAGTGGCTGCTGTGGACCTGGAGGCATTACTTATATTTCCGATGGGCCATGCGCCTCATTCATTGGAACCCTCTGCTTAGTATCTGCTCCTCCTTGACTCAGCTCACATGTGGCTTTGGTATACTGTCATTCCAACCCCAGCTCTTGCCTATCCTTTGCCTTTTGTCCTCATTGCTAAATGACTGAATATCCTTGTTTCCTGTAGTTCAAATGTCTGTAAGGTTGGGTACAGAGATGGGGTTTTGATTGACCCGGAAGATCCTTTTATACCAGATCATGGCCAACCGGATACTTAGAGTGGATACCTTCAGAAGAGGTGTCCCCAAACATTGGTGAGGAGCTGGAAGCCATATGTACAGAACACATCAGCTCCATCCATCCATAGCTCAGAGGCATCTGACTGGCAGTTGGAGGATACTGTTGGCATGCCTAATGCAGAAGAATTGTGGTGGGGTGGAGGAAGGCATTTTATAGTAGGACTTTTGGGGAAAGAGACTGGAGTATCTTGGATGATCAAGGGAAGGGCTAAATAGCCAATCTGAAGAAAGGGTGAAGGGCCCCTAGGACAACAGAAATTAAGGCTTTTCATCTCTCCATCTCTTGTTGTTAGTGACCTTGTGTAAGTGGGCTTCTGTCTCTGCCCCTTGTAGGTAGTCTTCTAGATGACAGGAAACATGGCTGCCATCTGCTCCTGGGCTTCACTCTCTACCACCTTTCATTTTTTCTGGTTCCAGTTGGAAATATTAGGGGTGTTTGGGAGAAAGGCTGTAATTTACCAGGCTTTACTCAAATGTCTAGAGCAGTGAACTGGAGTATGGAGTGTGGAGGGACATAAGAGCATGGCAGCTCTCCCTGGAACCACATGGAACTGTTTCCCCCAAAGGGGAAAGTTTGCTGGGAAGATGACAGTAAGTAACAATGAATGTTTACGACACATTTTCAGATAGACTGATGTTCTTGATTCAGAGATAAAGACATTTTATAAAATGCAAGGTGATGTTTACCATTGGTTGGTTACTTAAAAAAAAGGAGCCCAATAATGGACAGTTTCATTTAAGATTTTTGAATAAACAAAATTAACAAAGAGAAACAAACATTAGCGTTTCAGTCTTTAGAATATGCCTTTAACATGGTGTTTCATTTGCATTGAAGTTATTGTCTTGTGAATATGTGTGGTTGATAACTTGGAAACAGTCTATCCCAAGCTTGCATCTTTGGATTCTCAAGAACCAAGCATCACTCTTAGAGCATGACAGGTGCTTAGTACTAGAGTGCCATTCTAGATTCTTTAGCAGTACAGTGATATAAGTACTCTATTAACACTTTGTTCCTTACTCACATGTAACCTCTTTTGGGGAATAGACAATGTGTATAAAACAAGCAATGAATTAATATGAAAGTGTTGTGATACTTCCTGAAAACCTGAATCTTAGCCTTTTCATCCTCTGGTTGAGAAATACATCTGTTTTCTACAATTCTTATTTCTTCTGTATTTTTATTAGTTAATCTTCAAGGGAATTTGCAGAGCTCTGAATTTTGACCTCTTTGCTGCAAGCCTGTGAATTTTCAGAACTCTCAGATAATGACATCATTGACTGATGGGTACCTGTTATTGGGTGAGGCTGATAAGAATTTTGCCATTCAGGTTTAAATTTCTGCAGACGCCTTAGACTTTTTGAACATGTATGTGAAGTCGCCTTATTAGTCACAAGATTGTGTCTTTAGGCATCCTAAGAAACAGATGGACTGAAGTCGGAGATGCCGGGCCATTTGCGGGTTCTCAGCCCTTCCCTGTGTTACATGTTTACCTATTGGTTCACTCTAAGTTTGCAGGAAACCCAAGCTCTCCCCACTGCCTCCACTCTGAGCTCCAGCCCTGGCCAGGAGCCCTCTTGCCTGTATGGTTCACAGTAACCTTTCCTCTTCAAGAAACTTCCTTGGCCCTTGCTATTCTGTACCCCATGTTCTCTGTGTCTTATTAGTGTCATGTGTGTACTTAGGTGGGTGTATCCATAGTCTCCCTCCAGCTGATGACTAAATTCCTTGAAGACAGTGACAGTGGTAACATTTGTTTCCACATTCCCTACAAGCACCTCACCTAAGTCTGAATGCACCTCTGCTTTTTATTGAGTGCTTGTCAGACTGAAGAACTCATTCATGGTCAGAGCTATTAATTATCACTTTCATCTGGGGAAAATTTCCTCCTAATTTTTGTGATACCTATTAAAGATTTCTTTGTGTTTAATAATTTTACATTAAAATGCATTATAAAATCATGTATTACATTGTACATTACAGTGCATGCATTGCAAAAAAAAGTTCAAACACTGCAGAAGTGGACAATAAATGTTTCTCTTTCCCCAAAGCCTTTCCCATCTTTCTCCCTAAAGATAATTCCTTTTAAAAGTTTGATGTGTATCTTTTGAGATATTTTCTGTGTACTTTTTTGTTGAGACAGGGTCTTGCTCTGTCATCCAGACTGGAGTGCAGTGGTGCGATTTTGGCTCATTGCGACCTCCACCTTCCGTACTCAAGTCATCCTCCCACCTCAGCCTCATAAGTAGCTGGGACAACAGGCACACACCACCATGCCCAGCTAATTTTTATATTTGTTTGGTGGAGACGAATTTTGGCCATGTTGTCCAGGCTGGTCTTGAACTCCTGGGCTCAAGAAATCAGCCCACGTTGGCTTCCCAGAGTGCTGAGATAATAGGTGTGAGCCACTGTGCGTGGACTCTGTGTACATTATTGAAAACATTATGAGCTGAATGTTTGTTCCTCCCACTCAAACTCATATGGTGAAATCTTAACCCACACCATGAGGGTGTTAGGAGGTGAGGTCTTTGGCGGGTAATTAGGTCATGAAAGTGGAGCCCTCGTGAATGGGATTCATGTCCGTATAAAGTAGACATGGGAAATGATCTTTCTCCCTACCATGTGAGAATCTGAGAGGATGGCTGTCTGTAAACCAGGAAGAGGTCCTTCACCAAGAACCCAACCATGCTGGCACCCTGACTTCCAGCCTCCAGAACTGTGAGAGAGAAATGGTTGTTGGTTAATCTCCCAGTCTGTGGTATTCTGTTTTAGCAGTCTGAACTAAGATGAATTTTTCTTTTCTAGTAATAAACAGAAGTAAGACCAGCTGATTGATAGAATCCTGGAGTTTAATCTTTCTCCTACCAGAATATTTGTCTTAGATTTTCATTCTGGCAGTGTCTGTATGATGTTAACATGCTGCAATGTTAACTTGGTAGAGATGGGTTTGGGAAATTTAAGGCATTGTTTGCTAGCTTAGTAGAAGCCATTACACAGTGACTCACACGTCCTTTACTGTGGATTTGGCCCCTGCCTTCTTTTGTGCTCCAGGTATCTCACCCTAAGGTTTTTACCCTTTTTGGTTAAAAGAACTAAAGCTAAAGATTTCTTTAGTTTTCTCTTCCTTCCTTAGGTCACTGGGATGTTTCTGGAGCTCTTCCCCCTTTGCCTCTTTACCTTCCATGTTCCTTGGATATCAGGGGCACTCAGTAGAGGGCATCTCTAAAGAAACTATCTCCCCAAGGTTGGCCTGCAGTTTGCCTGTGTTATTCTCTGTCATCATTAGCCTGGAGTACATGTTAGCAGTTGAAGTTTGAGAATTTCATGGTTAATTTTTCCAAACGTTGGCCACAGTTTTCCTGGAGAACTGTATTGTGACAAGGACATACAGAGTATTAGGTGACTATAGTGACCAAGCAAGATAGGGAATGGAATGTTAAAATTGTAGTAGTTTATACGTAGATTACCTCTATTTTGCTGCAACAGCCAAAGGCCATTCATCTGCCCCTCACTGTAGAGCACAAGTGGAGGAGAATGTTGTCGTCGTTTTAACTGATGTGTAATTTAAGCCTTTTTTCCTGTGGTTAATAACAACAAAAACAATCTAGTAACTTCCTAAATCCATGCCACTAGCAGCATGTTATTTAGCCAGTGTGGCTCTCCAGTTAGCTTTTACCTTTTTCTCTAGCCAGGGACATGTATTTGACAGTTCCATGGATTGCCAGTCCCAAAGCTGTTTTATATGCCGATTTTGGAGAAGTAAGCCTACAGACCAAATCTATTAGCCCCATTATATGTCTCTACTATGAACATACACACTTTTATGCCTAGAACTGCAGAGGATTTGTGTGTGCTTCCAGCATTTGCCCTGGGCCCCTATACACACTGTCCATGGAATTATACTCATTGTCTCCAAGCATTTGAAGGAAGGCCAGTGTTAGTATGGATGCTTGTAAATAATGTAGAGGCATTCAAGACTACCTTGAGAAATACAGGATGGAGAAGAGGCGAGGCTGGAGGATGCACTTGATACTAATGTGAAATCTAAAACCCCTCACACTGAATTAACAGTTGTTCCCGTGCAGCTTTGTTTGTGCATTCATTTAATCAGTCGTAATCTTCAGGCATGCCCACATGTGGATTTTCTTTTTAACTCCCTCACATTCAGGGAGCCATTTTAATTGACATACGCAACACAATTATTGTCCGAACTGAATTTTATGATGGGGGATGATGTTTCTATGTTTTAAAAAACTCAATGGATGACTTCAGAGTACTCATGGAGATGTAACCTATAACTGACTTGTGATTTTGAAAGAAATAATTTTCAACCATTTCAGTAAGGAATATATTTTATATGGCAATATAGTACACATAAAGGTATGTATATTTGAGAATATACATACACATAAATGTATGTTTATGGGTGTATTTGTGTGTATCCACACACATTTAAATTTCACAAAGTAGTGTTTACGTGTACCACATGAGATGCTCTGATACTTTCTATTCTATTCCATTTTTTAAAATGCTAGCATTGATCTATTAATTCAATTTTATTACATGGTGTTGGAATATCCTGTGGTAGTTAGGTACATTTCAAAGTACACCTAAGTGATCTATTTTTAAGCTTTATTAGAATGAGTGCTTATTGATTTTGTTTCATTCATTTATTAGTGAATGAATGAGTAAAATATTTGAGTACTTAACTATGTGCCAGGCACTGTGATCGGTGGTAGAAACACAGTTAGGTGATTAAGTGAAAACAAGTCTGTGGTCAGCAGAAAAGATTTTCAGTTTTCACAGAGGAGAGTTGTTGTCAGTAGATGAAAGGGATTTCAGGCCAAGCAAGCAGTGCCATGAATGGCCTGAACATGCATGGCTATGTCGAGATGCCATGAGAAGAGCTGCAGAAGGAGCTCAAGGCAGGACTATAGGAGTGAACGAGGAGTGCCGTGGTGCCAAAGAGTTTAGCCTTTATCCTGTAGGCCAGTGGTTTCCAGAATCTATCTCAGGAGAATTTTTATTTTCAAATAGAAAACTGTTAATTAATCTCAATATGTAAAACTACCAACTTGGAGTTACGCTAGAAGCAGCAGAGGACCCTCCCCTAGATTTCCATCCCCAGGGGGCTCAAGGCCATTGTGACTGCCCCTGAGAACCACTGATGTGGAATTTGTCTCAGAAGGATCCCTCTGGGGACACTGTGAAGGAAGGCACAGGGAGGAACGCCATTTTAGGGGACTGTTGTGTTCTTCCAGGGAAGAAACAAGGCCCTGAAGCTGAGATTGTGGCTGAGGGCTTGAGAAAGCAGGGCCTTTTCAACTGTTGAATTAGACTTCCTAGGACATGCTCTCCAAGGGGATGGGAAAGGGAAGAGGAAGGAAGAGGAATTTGGTTTGGGTTCTGTGAAGCCTCTGGATGTTGGATGCTTGGGATAGATGAGGGTCGTGAGGTATTTTGGTCACAAATCTGCAAGGTTTCCCCTTTCTATCGTGTGGCCTCTAGTTTTTAGGATTATGTTTTTCTTAGCTCATATTTGTCTGTATTCTGTCCAGCCTTTGGAAACTGTATGGGCCCTGAGGCTCTCTCAGTCTGCCTGTCTGAATACACTTTGGAGGTCCTCCCACTGCTGGAGCACCTGAATGTTCCTGGGTTTGGATTCAGCTATCCAGGACTGTCCATCTCGGGGCTGATGCTGAGGAAGGAAGGATGGCTTCAGAGGCCTGGAGTCCCACATGAGGTCCCTGCTCTGTCGCCTACTAGCTATGCGATGGTGGGCAAGTGACTCCTTTAGGATGAGGATAATATCCACCTTATGGGAATGTTGCAGGAACTTAAAATAATGTGGAAGATTCCTAGCTCGGTGTCTGCACACAGTGGGCATGCATGTGAAGTGTTAATTATAACATTTCATTATGGAAATAAATCTTTTGAAGGGAGGGCTTCTATTTCCTCCCTGCAAAAAGGCCTTCCATATTGAGAAATATTGCATTCATGCAAGGGAAGATGAGGAGAAGCCAAGGAGGAGGCAGGAACATTCAAAAGGCACATGTTCTGATGGCCTGACGACACTGGGGACCTGTGGCTTTGTTTGCTGTGAAGTTTAGAGGGCATTTGTGACCCTCAGTCCTTCTCCTGGGAAGCAGGAAAAGCACCAAAAAATACTTGTTTTTTTTTTAATTAAAAAAATTAATATGGTCTTTGCATTTGTATCTTCTCTCACTGTACTTTCCTGTTTCGGATTTGCACTCAATGCACATTAAAATGATCCTGCATAATCCTAAACATTTATTGAGAGAATGATTTAATGGAAAAATACAATAAAAATATTTTAAACTTTTGATAAATTGGTCCCCCCTCCCACCCCAAAAAAAATGACTGAGGTTGGAGGAAGAGACAGATGGGAGTGGGAGATGCATGTTCTTTGGAGGGAGAGAGACATGGTCAGTGTAGAACAATCCAAGTCAGACAGGCTGGCTCTTACCGGAAGAGGGTTGGTCCTTCATGGGGGTTATTTAGCTTTAGTGCTCTGTTCCTCTTTGTTGAGACAGCTGTAGTTAGGTATAAGGGGATAATAAAGAAGAAATATTACTAAATTCCCGGGAGGATTATTTATAATACTTAAAATGTGTGTATCACTTTCATCTTGGAGAACATTATAGAACATTACTATAATACTAATAGAAGTCTTTGGAAAGCATTATATCCCGTGTTACAGATTTCAGTCTGAGATTTTCTGAATCAGGTTGTTGTTTACCCCAGCTTGCTCTAGTGGTAATATAAATCAGAGGCTTCTGGGTTCCAGGCAGTAATTGAAAGCTTCTGATGCCTATCTTTGACCTGCCTTTTCCAACCTTCTTGGAAATTGCCTTCCTTCACATAAGTATTTGTAGGGCTCTGAATACTCTTTAATTAATGGGGGGAAAATCTTCTACCTCTCCCTACAATTACTCCATATTAGCAAATTATGAGTAAGACTTTGAGATACCTCAGGTATCTCATTTGTGATGTCAGAGTGGTTATTGAACTTACTAAACCTTTCCCAGAAGAGCCAGACCTTGCCTAAACTTAACGAAAAGGTTTAGAGTTGAGAATCAGATACTTTTACAGGGTCATTTTTGTCTGTTTGTTTCTGACTGTCAAGCACAAGAGATACACATGACTAATTTAAAACAGGAGGCCTAAGAGACCTATTAAAAAATGTCAAACATTTATTTGTACTAAATACTACATCAAAAAGATATGGCAATATGAATAAGATATAGAGATATAAAATATATCCTAGATAGGATTTTTGGTAGGCTATACAAACTTGAACAAAGTTTTAAAAAGGAGTAAACTTTTATTTTTTTATTTTTATTTTTTATTATACTTTAAGTTCTAGGGTACATGTGTACAACATGCAGGTTTGTTACATAGGTATACATGTGCCATGTTGGTTTGCTGCACCCATCAACTCATCATTTACATTAGATATTTCTCCTAATACTATCCCTCCACCAGCCCCCCACTCCCCAGTAGGCCCCAGGGTGTGATGTTCCCCGCCCTGTGTGCATGTGTTCTCATTGTTCAACTCCCACCTATGAGTAAGAACAAGCGGTGTTTGGTTTTCTGTCCTTGTGATAGTTTGCTTAGAATGATGGTTTCCAGCTTCATCCATGTTCCTGCAAAGGACATGAACTCATCCTTTTTTATGGCTGCATAGTATTCCATTGTGTATATGTGCCACATTTTCTTTATCCAATGTATCATTAATGGGCATTTGGGTTGGTTCCAAGTCTTTGCTATTGTGAACAGTGACACAATAAACATACGTGTGCATGTGTCTTTATAGTAGAATGATGTATAATCCTTTGAGTATATACCCAGTATACTGTTGGTGGGAGTGTAAATTAGTTCAACCATTGTGGAAGACAGTGTGGCAATTCCTCAAGGATCTAGAACTAGAAATACCATTTGACCCAGCAATCCCATTACTGGGTATATATAAAACGGAGTAAACTTTCATTTAAGGAAGGATGAAGTTAAATAAGCAAAGGTACCCAGAGACCCCACTAAGTGATAGATACTAGCTGAATGCTTTATTTAACAAGCCTACTATTCTATTGCTAACCTGCCATTAGAAAAAGCTGGCAGATGGACATTAAAATCCAGCAAAACTATTTTTAGGTAACAAAGCTTTTTGATGGCATATACAAAAATGGATTCAGATGGTGGTGGGTGGGGGGCATTGTCAGTACTGTTACTGCAATCAGGAGCTCTGGGAGTCCACTGGACTTCTCTAACTTGACTTTAGAGAACTCCATCTAGCCTCTCTGTCTCAGTGTCCTTATCTGAAAAACAAGGGGGTGGGCTGGATGGATTCTGAGGGCCCTCAGACCTCTAAGATTGTGTATATGCTCTTAGGGAGTTAGCATGCTAACGGGCTGTTGCTACCAAGGTAAGTTTTGGCATTTTTTTCCTGGTGGTTTCTGTGTACACAGTGAGACACAGAGTGTGTATTGGTACAGGGATGATAGCAACCTTTGTCCTTCTACAGGAAATAATGCCCTGTGACTCTGACTCAAGACCTAGTCTCTTGTTAATTTTTGTTAATGTTTTATGCTTGATGAGTCAGAAATGCAGGCTCTTGTAGAGTGTTATTAACAAGAACTAGTGTAACTTTGATTATAATCACTACAAATTACAGACCTCTTTCCTGTGTAATGATTTTTGCCATTTGCCCTTCCGTGATCTCTAATAGGCCAACTACAAGGACAATTTTTTGATCAGTAAGAACCTTGGTCTGTTGCTTCATAAGCCCTTATTATGGCAAAATTATTCGTAACAGCAAACTATGTATGTACCCACATTGACAGAATATCAGTGTTCTTTAGCTGGCTGGGCAAAGTCTAAGTGTTTCAGGATAGTTGATGATGGGGGTATCACAAAAACTTCAGAGTAAGAAAAACTTGTCTGATATCTGTTAAAGTGATCTGTATACATGTAGGCATTCTCCTGTATATGTGCATACACACACTCCTAAGTTGTGTAAATGTGTACCTGCCTGCTTGAGTATGATGCATTGCTACTATTTCTAAACTACCAATTTATTTCCCCTGTGTTTTGAGGACTCAATCTCAAAGATGCTGACTGAAAAATAAAGTTTTTGAACAATTTCATGAAGGTTGGGTTGTCGAGATCATGAGTTCTGACTCTAATGACAACTCTGTGGGAAATGGATAAACTCTGATAAACTCTATCGCACTGCACACAAATGTGAGGCTGGAAGGCAGTACGTAATTTATGAGGCCTTTTGTTGTAAAAATGAGAGTTGGCAGGATTCCGAGTAAATATCTTTTTTCCTAAGGGTGGAAGATAGGACTTGGAGAGATCAATGTGTTGGTTGACAGCATTTGAGAATGTTTGATTTGAGCTTCAGCATCATAGGTGGGGAACATGTGGCTTTATAGATCTGCTGTTTCTTCCCCTGCCCAGTGGTGCATTCCTTGTCTTTACTGAAGTATGTTTTTAAAATTCATTTTTAATGGTGGTAAAAAAAAAAAAAAAACCACATAACATAAGGTTTACCATGTTAACCATTTTTAAATGTAACTTCAGTAGAGTTAACTATGTTCATATTGTTGTGCAGTCAGATCTCTAGACCCTTTTCATTTTGAAAAACTGAAACTCTACACCCATTAAACAATAACTCACCACGTTCCCCTTCCCCCAGCTCCTGGCAACCACCATTCTACTTTCTCTTTCCATGAGTTTAACTACTCAACATACTGCATGTAAGTGGAATCATGTAATATTTGTTTTTTTTCTAACTGGCTTATTTCATTTAACATGATGTCCTCAAGCTTCATCCATGTTATAGCATATGACAGAATTTTCTTCTTTTTAAGTAATATTCAATTATATGTATATGCCACATTTTGTTTATCCATTCATCCATTGATGGACATTAGAGTTTTCACCTCTTGCTATTGCGAATGATACTGCAATGAACATAGGAATGCAAGTGTCTCTTTGAGATCCTGCTTTCAGTTCTTTTGGATATATATCCAGAAGGGGAATGGCTGGACCATATGGTAGTTATATTTTTAATTTTTTGCAGAACCTCCATACTATTTCCCACAGCAGCTGCACCATTTACATTCCTACCAACAGCGTACAAGGGTTCCAATTTCTCCATATCCTTTACTGAAGCTTTTAGAATGTTATTCAAAATACGATATAATGGAAAAAAGGCACCAACGTGGTCTCAAATTGTGTTTTTCTTGGTAGATGGTAATTAAAAGGGTAATGGTGATTAAGGTATCGGTGATAAAAATAGTAATGAAAAGAGGTGAGTGGAGAGGTAGTTATAGGTGAGCTTGGCAGGTATTAGAAAAGAGCTTAGTCTTTCTCTTCTTTCTCTTCATTCTTCACCTGTCATTAAAATTCTAGTTGTGGCCAGGCGTGGTGGCTCACACCTGTAATCCCAGCATTTGGGAGGCCAAGGCGGGCAGATCACGAGGTCAGGAGATCGAGACCATCCTGGCTAACACGGTGAAACCCCGTCTCTACTAAAAATACAAAAAATTAGCCAGGCGTGGTGGCGGGTGCCTATAGTTCCAGCTACTTGGGAGGCTGAGGCAGGAGAATGGCATGAACCCAGGAGGTGGAGCTTGCAGTGAGCCAAGATCATGCCACTGCACTCCAGCCAGGGCAACAGAGCGAGGCTCCATCTCAGAATAAATAAAATAATTCTGGTTGTGATGAATAAATCCATTTGTCAGGTATTTTTTTAAGTGCCTCCTGAGTAGGCTATTCCTCAGGACACCATAAGAATAATAAAGGAAAGATCAATGTATAAAACTGAGAAAAAGGATTTTTAAACAACAAAGTTTGCTGAGGCCAACTTTGTGTATGGTTCTACACTGGGCTGGAAAGATGACATGGAAGCTGTGCTTGTACCGCATCCTGGGCTGTCATTCTCTCTGAGCTGGTGCAAGTTGGACATCAGAGAACATAAACAGATATCACTCATCTAGCACTCAGGACAGGCCTTTTGGCTCCACCTTTGTGGTGGATGCTGGAAGGCAGTGGGGAAAGGACATTAAGGTGAGTTTTCCCTGATTCCAAGCCCTGGGCCCACTTCATTGACTGGCATGAGAAATGCACGCTACTTCCTTTGTGCTTAGCTTCCTCTTCCTTCAGGTTTGCTCTAGAAATGGCAGCAGGAATTCAGAAGGCCTGCTTTCTAATCTCCAGCATGCCGGTAGCTTGCTTTGTAACTCTGGGCACACGGCTCTGTGCCTCATTTCTCATTTTTCTTACTATAAATGAGATGGGTTGGCTTAGATAGAGGAATTTTTAAAAGGAACTTCTGACACCTGTTAGGACTTTCAGCTATCATCTTCTGACTGTGAAAGATTAAGGTATGCATGAGGGGGTGTTACCTAGGCTGGCATAGGCTCTCTGAGTCACCATATGGTGCCACCTCCCTCACAGAGTCCTTGTTTTCATCAGTGTTCAGCTTTCAAAAATGGCTAAATCATTTTTAACTGTTCCTTAAAGATACTGGGCTGGGGGTATAGGGTGAAGGTTCTGTAAGACTTGCATTTGGCTGGGCACGGTGGCTCACGCCTGTAATCCCAGCACTTTGGGAGGCCAAGAAGGGTAGATCACTTGAGGTCAGAAGCCTGGCCAATGTGGTGAAACCCCATCTGTACTAAAAGTACCAAAATTAGCTGGTGTGGTGGTGCGCGCCTGTAATCCCAGCTACTCGGAAAGCTGAGGCAAGAGAATCGCTTGAACCCTGGAAGCAGAGGTTGCAGTGAGCCGAGATTGTGCCATTGCACTCCAGCCTGGGCAATAAGAGTGAAACTCTGTCTCAAAAAAAAAAAAAAAAAAAAGACTTGTATCTGTCCTAAAACAGTTTATAATATTTTCCAAGAGCATTATGTCCTCCATGCTGCAGCATATGACAGGATTTCCTTGCTTTTAAGTAAGATTCTGTTGTATGTATATACCAATTTTCAGAGATTTTCTATTTCGGATCCTTTGGTTTTAGGGAAAACATTGGAAAAGCCAAGTGAATGGCTCATGGTCACATAGCCAGTCAGTGTTAAAAGCTGAGAATGGAGTGTGCCCTTCACTTCTCTTGAGTCTGTGTCTGGTGTACTTTCCATTATTTTAATTAAGCAGATAAGACTGGTACACAAGAAGAGATAAGCAATGCTCTCATAGAGTGTATGATATGTGCTGGACGACGGAGGCTGACAGTGCTGGTGTAGAGTTTCTAAGAAGGAGCCATCATCCCAGCTGGGTAATCTGGGAAGCCTTCCTAGAGAAGGGAAGGCTTTGAGCTGGGCTTGAAGGATGAATGGACTTGGGACTAAAAGGTGAGGGGAGGGCCAAGAGCAGAGGCATGGAAAGCCCAAGACAGGTGGGGCACTGATCAGTTTGGGTGTAGCAGAGGGGACAGTTAGGAGGAAGAGATGGGGACAGACATTTATTGAGGATCTGTCTTGTGTTGGGCACAGTATCTGGTCTTTGCCCATGCCATCTCAGTAGCCTGAGCATGGGAATGCCATCCTGGTCATGCACTTGTTTGAGGACATCACTTTCTCCCTACCCCTTGGGACTTATCTTCCTTACAGTAAAAGTCAGGTGTACTTTGATCCTGCCAGAAATTACCTGGTTTAAAATGGGGAGATAAAGCAAAGAGGGAAGGGTGTTTTATGGTGTCTGTAAAGAAGGTCTCAGAGGTAGCTATAGTATTTATTTTACAGTAATCTGGAGCCTGCCTCCTACTTACGAGGCAGCTGGCAGGCCTTGGCGCTCCTGAGTGACTGGGCTGTCCATGAATTATTCAGGGGCTGTGCCCAGCGAGTGGCTGCCTAGCAAAGTCCTATGGCAGGGAGGCTGTGCTATCTCAGTGAGAGATCAGCAGAAGCTCAGGTGCTGAGGAGGAAGAAATGACTGCACCCTTAAAATATTTCACATTTTAACACACCAGGGCTGCACATGTTGTTCCATATCTCTGCAACTGGGTAATCGGTACCTGTTTTTCAAAGAGCAAGAAACACACCCCACACCCCCAACTATATTACCTACACTCTCATGTTAGAATGGCACATGTCAGCAGGGATTTGGTTAGAAGCAACATTAAAATTGCATAGATAAGACCGAATAGGAACAGAGAGTGTTTGTGTGGAAGAAATCCTGCTCTGATATTTTCTCAGCCAAGTAGAGAAATGTAGTTGTTGCTTAATTTAGAATGGTACTTACTGTAACTATCAATAGCTGTTACTGTCACTAACCTGTCATTTGTTACATATTACACCCTTGTGTTTGTGTATGCATGTGTCCTAGTGTGTCTGATTTCCTCAGCTAGGTTGAAAGTCCCTGCAGAGAAGAAATCAGTTCTCACCATGTCATGGGTCCCTCCAATAGCCTATGCCCATGGATGGGGCTGAGAACGTGTCAGATGAGTTGACTTGGGCTCTCTGTAGGGGAGGAGTATGTCTTGACGATGAGATTTGCATGTCCCTCACCTTTCTCTTTTCTCCTACCCTCTCCAAGTGCCTGCCCTACCTGCCCTTTTCACATTTTCTTTTCACAGCTCCTGGAAAAGGTAATATGGGTGTGAATATACTTGAGGGCAGGACCCAGAGGCCTATTTTCACAAAGAATAGATTTGTATTTATTCCTTACCCATTTCTTTCTCATGAGCTCTGCTACCCAGGGAACAGTATCTTCTCACTGCCCCATATCACTCTTGTAAAACTCTGGCCTGGATGGCTCTGAACACCTGTGTGTGTCAGCTGTTCCCCTCCATGTTGGAGGTGAAAAGCAGAACCAAGAACTCTGGGCAAGAGCAGGCCTGGCCTCAACTGCATTCCTCAGATGTTCTTTTCCTTTTAACCACTCTACCTGCAACAGAGGAGCCCAGCCCTGGCTCTGGCTGCTGTTACATTCACAGGCATAGCACCACCTGTTTGGCAAAGCCAGGGCCTCTGGACCGGGGCATTCTTTTGTCTGTGCAGGGAAGCTTTGCATGTGTAGATAACAGACACGGTAAGAATGCAGGGATAAGGTTTGGCTGGGGTAGAAGATTCAATAAACTACATTCATTCCCCAGGACCTTGGGTGCTTGTTTCCAGTGTAACTTGCCGTTTTTCTCCTCAGCAGTGATCTCAGGTGTTTTGTATTCAGGTCTGATATGACCAGTTAGGCAAGAAACAGGAAAAGGATATAAATGGAAACCAGCTTTGCCCTGTTATTTCAGATTCGGCTGTATACTTAGATGGTTTTATGGGTGTGGGGGGAATGGGGGGAAGGTGTAAAGAGAGGGAGAAAGAACCATCCATATCTTTCATGGAACAGAGATAATAATTCCTATGGATAGAAAAATATCTTTTGTCCTCTCTTTTTTTTTCTTGTTATTTTGAGTCCTGAACTATCAAATCTGACAGCCCCACCTCAAATAAACATTGGCTTTTCTAAAATATAGGACTTCTGTAACTTGTTTCATAGTAAGTATTGTGTTCTGGTTATCTCTGAGGTGTCACTGCTATAAAATGTGATTCTGAGTATGCCTTTCCCAGTGCATAATGGGCTGAGTTAAAGAGAAGGGAAGGGAGGGGTATCAGTACATCCCAGAGGGAGGACTGGTCCTGCCACTGAGAAATGCCCTTTGCCAAAAATCCAGAGGAGTGGTCACCCTTGTTCCCAGCCTAAGTTCTGTGATTCCACATGAAACGCAACATCGTGCAGCTGATAGCTTCCTTGGTGAAGTAAGAGATGGCCAAAAGTGGGATAGAATTAATTTTTGAAATTTCTCCTATGAGGAGATAAAGCCTAGCAATTATAGCCACGAGGACTGTACTATAATAGTATCTTTGTAGACATGTATCTCACTTAATTTATAAATTAATTGAGATAATTTATAAATTATCTCAACCTCTGTGAGGTTGGTCCCATTATTATGCCAACTTTTTAGGCACAGAGAACCAAGGTTAAAAATTGGCAGAGCCAGCTTCTTAGGTCCCAGGTCTGCTTTTTTCTTTTTTTTTTTGAGATGGAGTCTCGCTGTCACCCAGGCTGGAGTGCAGTGGCGCGATCTCAGCTCACTGCAACCTCAACCTCCCAGATTCAAGCGATTCTCCTGCCTCAGCCTCCTGAGTAGCTGGGATTACAGGCGCCCACCACCACACCTGGCTCATTTTTGTATTTTCAATAGAGACTGGGTTTCACCATGTTGGTCAGGCTGGTCTCCACCTCCTGACCTCGTGATCCACCTGCCTTGGCCTCCCAAAGTGCTGGGATTACAGGCGTGAGCCACCACACCTGGCCCCAGGTCTGCTTTTAACCACTTTTTCTCCTGTAGCTTCACATGTCCAAGCCCTGATTCAAATGCTTACATGGGCGGTACTCTGTAAGTTGAGAAGTGGTCTCACCCATGGTTTTCTAAGAGTAGTGTGAGTCGTGAGGGGAGGGGAAGTGCTCCTGACTGCTTCTAGCTGCCCAGGCCATGGGCCTTGAGTGGGAGGTGCCACTGGGGAGAAAGGAGATGTTCTAAAGAGGTGGCAGGCAGGTAGCAATGGCATAGAAATACCAGTGTCAAATGTGCTATGCCAGTAGGGCTTTTGAAAATTGTTCTTTTGGGGGGAAAAGGAGGCTTCATATAATTTCTTCTGTCTTTTCTTTTTTGCTGGATTTCATTGTGGTATGCTTGGTTAGTTGGTTGAGTTTTCTGGTTAGTGGGGAAATTTCCATTGAAAAAGGACTAGGTTTTTAACAGAGGCAGGTTTTAGGGAGAAAAGAAGGTGGCAACTAGTAGTTAGGGAGTGGGAGGCTCTTTGGGAGTTAGTGGAAAGAAAAGAATGATCTCAGTTAAGGATTCAAGAGTGGGAGAGGTGGGCAAGAGGTTCCTAGGAAGGGAGTGGGTGGGCCAGAGAGGTAAGACAGAAAGAGAACTAGAGAGATGAGATAGAAACATAATATAAACCAGTGCTTAGTGCAGCATAAATGCAGTGGCATGGTTTGGAGCCGCTTCTCTATCTGGCCACGCTAATGGAAGAGGATTATTTTAGCATTATTTTGGTTTCCTGTAAAGAAATGCTTAGGAGAAATTGGCTGTGGTCATCCAATGCCAAGGGACTTGACACCGATGAAGAATGAAAGACAGATGTGGAGATGGCAGTAGAAAGCAGCAGAGAATTTGACAAAACACAATCCTATATGAAACTTTGTTTTCTGTCCCTCCCTGTTCCCATCACTTCTTTCCCAGCTCTCGGATTGGTTTTTCAAATCCCAAGGTTGAATGTGTACAAATCCCATCACATTTTGTCATTTTGGACATCCTCTCCCAGACACACTGAGTCTTGATAGTGTCTGGATGTTCAGGAAATGAACATCTAAAGTTTACCCACTCAAGCTTGCTGTAATGCAGGAAAAGCATTCATCTTTCTTTCCCCTCAAGACTGTGTAAAGCCTCTTAGAACAAACAGAGGCTTAATCTTACCTTGCCACATGCTAAGTCATACAGAATCTTAGTGTACAGGTCCACCAAGTATGAGAAGAGGAACAAAACCAAACAAGACCTAATAAAACCCACTCAGAACCACAGAACACTTCAAGCAGCAAGCTCTAGGTGAACTAGCAGAGCATGTGCCTAATCCTGACTCAAAACTAAATGTTGTAGAGGTTCGTGTAGAGGCCTGCTTGGGTTTTAGGTTAATCTTGATACCACTTACTGAGTTCTGTGATTTTTCAGAAAAGCTTAGAAACCCATAGTAAGCTGGATATACTCTGAGCATATGGGAGAAACAGCAGAGGTGGGGAGATGGGGAGCACGCTGACTTGGTGGATCTGGGGTCCATGTGTTGGTTGTGCCACTCACCAGCTGGGGCCCTGGGCAAGGCACTGTATTTCTGTGAACCTCAGCTACCTTGGTTGCAAAATGGTGACCATACCTGCCTCACAGGGTTAGTCACTTGAGAAAATATATGTGGAAGCATTCTGTAAGCTACCAAGTGTGATGGTTCTGGTTATTACGGCCATTCAGTTTAAGTGGAGATTGATGATAACTGGGACTGCAGTTAGAAGTGGGACCTAAGCAGGGTGAACCCAAATCACTAATACATTTAATACTAAACATTCCAGAAGGAATTTTTTATGACCATAGATTCCAAACTGTTTGGTTTATAGACGAAGATTGAGAGGCCCAGAGAACATCAGAAACATGCTCAAGATTACATAGCTCCTTGGTACTCAGAAATTAGGGTAAGCCTGAGTCCCTGACTCTGGACTTGAGTCTTTCCACCAGCCCACAGCACTTTTGATCTGTTCCATCCATATCTTTGAGCCATCTTCCCACTGGCCTTTTCCTACCTATGCCAACTTAGGGCTGAAACCTGTGCACAGAGGACATACTCAGTTGGGCCCTGCCTTGGAACATCTTCCCCTGAGTCTGATAACCCTCATTCACTAGTCTCATCTTCATAGCTTCTTCTTCGTCCTCCTCCTCCTCCTTTCTCGTTATTTTCTAACTCCCTGTAACCCAGCTTTTGCTTTTATTAACCCAGTTGACCTGCTAATTGGCACACCACATGCCTTTTCTCTAAGTTTTATTTTTTAGTTTGTTTGTTTTGCAACACTTAAGACCATCTACCCTCTTTCCTCTTTGAGTCTCTCTCCTTAGATTTTCATTCTGCAACTCCCTGGCATCTCCACTGGTTTTTCTTCTTTCTCCCAAACCCAGGCCTTCCCCAGGGCTCCATGCTTAGCCCCTTGCCTCTTACTTCCTTTCCTAGATTTAACCCCACAACTATCTCAACTCCCACCTCTGCACTCAGGACTGTATCTTCAGTTTTGAGCTCTAGTTCCACATCCCTGACTGCTCCAGACATGTCACCCAGTGGTATTGCAGGTAACTCAGATTCCACCTGTCTAGAAGGAAATGTGCACTTGTCCCCTGCACCCCTCTAGCCAGATGTAAAACCCTGAGAGTCTTCTTTGTCCCTTTCCTTTGATCCTCCCACATACAGTTAGTTACCAAAGTCCTTTGGATTAATTTTTACGTCAGCCCATTCTTTTTCATTTGATTGCTCCTTTGACCTGGACTGTTGCACTAACCACCCAGTTGACCTTGCTGCCTTCATTTCCTCTCCTTTCTGCCCATTCTTACATACCACTTCCAGATTAATCATCTCTAGAGTCCAGCCCACACCCTCTACTCCCCTGGCTCAAAAGTCTCCAGTGGCTCCAGACCAGGCTTAGTTCTAACTTGCTTTTCGGGGCTTTCCTCCCAGCCTGACGGTTCCTTATCCTCCAGCCAAACTGCAGCACTTGCTGGTGCTGTTTCCTGGGCATCCATGCTTTTACTGTGCTGCTTGAGAGGAGGCTTCTCCCTTGTTCCAGCCTGTTGATGTCTACCTGTGTTTCAAGGTTTGATCAAAATGCCAGTCCCTCCTAGAGTTCTTCCCACCTACCTTTCTCCAAAAGGCAGATGTGTCCTCCTTGTCCTCTGAATTCTTAGAGCTGTCCTCCCCTGGCCCTTACTATATTCTTTTGGTACTTTACTGTTTGCACATTTGTCCCATTTCCTTTGGCTAGCAACACTCCTGGTCACTTCTGAATCTTCTAAAACACCTGGCAGTGTGCCTTGCACACATTAAATACTGTAAATACAGAACAGTAAACACTGAAGAAATAAAGAATGAATACCTCTGGCCTTCCTTTACCTCCTCCCCACTTCTGAACTGGAGGTGGTCAGATGGGCCATCAGGGATCTGTCTTATTCTTCCCTGGTCCCATCACACCAAATGGATTCCCATTTCTTACTTCTTATCCCCGTGGGGTTATTAAACCCTTCCCCAGTGTCCAAACCTTTCTAATACTTGCATGTGTTCACTCTGCCTGGTTCATTCAGTGTTGGCTTCACAGGATTGAGTGTGGCTACGTTCGTCCCAGCTCTACTGCCATCATATTATGTGCAACCTGGTTAATTAAAAATTATTTCATGTACTAACCCATACTAGAGGGAGCTGAAAGGGAGATACTGAGTGGTGACTCCCTTTCTTCATTAAGTGGCCCAATGATTAAAACGTTATAAGTTGGCAAAGCACTTTGTAATCTCATTTTCAGTGCCATAGCTGGACACTTAGAGACTTATCATTTCACCAGTATACTTAGTTGTGAAAAAGGGCTTGTTAAAAAGATCTTCATTGAGACGGTTCCCAATTCAACTTCTCTTGTAGTCTTGATGTGGTGTGTGTGTGTGTGTTTGTGTGTGTGGGCGGGGGGTGATGAAAGGAGGGGTGCATTTTGAAGAATATACTCTTAATTTTGAAAGTATGATAATTTTTAGAACATTTCCACATCATCTCCTCAGTGACCCTGTGGAGGTGGGCATTAATTATTACTCAGTCTGACAGCTGAGGTTTAGAAAGAATCCAGGGTTTCTTCTAAGGTCATAGGGTAATTAAGAGGCTTGGCCAGGACTAGCAACTCAGGTCTTGGGAATCCTAGTCAAGTGCTTTTTCCAAGACCAAGTGTTTTGTAATGCTCTGCCTAGCCTCCCATCAGCATTGTGAATTGGCAGCACTTAGGGGCTTTAAAAAATGTTCTACATCTTAGATGATAAGAAATGTTGTCTTCTTCAGGTTGGGCCTGGCTTTCAAAAGCCAAAGGTTGACATGTGGAAGTATTAAAAACCTAGTTATGTGGCTGGAAGGAGTTGGGGGTTGTTCAGCGTTGAGCAGTTAGCTAGGCTCTGGGTTTAATTCTAAGCCTGGACAGGATGCAGTTACTTCAATTACAAGTGCCCTGGGGACTGAGGTGAACCTGGGGTGGGGGACCACGTCTTTACTACATATTGGGATCCCTGAGGAATGAAATTACCTTCTTCAGTGAGTATTGCTGTAGGGCTCCAAACTGGAAATGCCAAAAGTGTAATTTGTTGTCTGCCTGTTTAGGTAGTGAGGAAAAAGGGGGGACAGGAGGGTGGAGAGAGAGGGGGGAGATCTAGAGTCAATTTCCCAAGAATACATTTTGATCATTCTCTTTTCTATGTGGAAGATTTCATTTTTGGTTGAGATTGGTGGGAGAAGAAGCTGGGAAGGAGAGATTTAAAATTTTGGAGAACCACAAGTTTAGAGGCCTTGTTTTACAAATCAGAGTAGGAATTTGAGGGTAGTTTCGGTTCCCTCATCTCCCCTCCGGATCATAAACAACTCCAGGTCAGGGATCTCGGCGGTGTTTACCTGTGTACCTTTTTCCCACAATGCCTTGCAAATCGGTGCTCCCATAAATCTTCCTTGCGTCGAATTCCTATCATAGGCCCGTGTTATTCCAGGAAACCACCGCCTTCATATCCCCTGATGGCAGCGTAAGTCAGCCGAGATTCTTCACTGAGCCCGAACTTACACCTCCCCTGGCTGTGGCGCTGCACAGCGCCCTGAGAGTGACTTTGTCTGACTTCTTCCCGGTGGCTCGCCGGGCCGCCGCCGCGTGGTTGGCGCCAGCGCACTGGGGCAGTCGCGCGCGCCCAGGTGCGGGCCGCGTTACCTCAGCAGACGCTAGAGAGTGAATGAGCCGCGCGGGCCCGGGACCCTTGGGGCTCTTCACTCTCCAGGCCGTCCCGTGGGCGCGCTAGCCTTTTCAAGTGATAGTAATCGGAGACTTTTCCGTTACATGAGGCTCAACAAAAGATTGTAATTCCAGCAGCTCTGTTTGGGAAGGCACTACCGCGGCGAGTCCAGGGCCCGGCCGGGGGTCGGCGGCTGCCGGGCGGCTGGGGCGACCGCGGACCGTGCGGGACCGGTAGGGGGTCGCGGGCCGGCTAGGCTCCCCCGCGCCCCTCCTCGTGGTATAGCCTGCATTTCTAATACAATGCTGTTATGCTAATCAGGTGACATCACCGCCCAGCACACGGCGAGTGGCTCCTGATAAAATTACAAACCGGCGGCCGCCGCGGGCAGCTGGGAGGAGGTGTGCGCGCTGCGCCCGCGAGCTCCCGGGCTCGGCAACCGTGGCATGCTTAGGATTGGCCATATTTAAAAGTTCTGAAGTAGAACCTGCGCCTCCTCTCTGCTTCTCCCTCCTCCTCAGTAATTTATTTCGAGCTTCCAGGCAAGGGCCACGGAAGAAGGGAAAGCAAGAAATTAGATGCCTGTGTGGTAACTCCTCGCGGAGCTAAGGTGGACTCTCTTGCAGCCAACTTCCCATCAGATCACCCTGCTGGACTTGCAGACCGGAATGGGGCTCGCCTAAGGAGCCGAGCGCTGCGGAGGCTGCTGCGTGTTGGATGGGAGTGGGAGGGGGCTGGAGCGAGATTTCCAGGGCGCAGTCCTCCGGGGCGTTACGCCGGGCATAATGGAATTGCAGAGGACGTCTAGTATCTCCGGGCCGCTGTCGCCGGCGTACACGGGGCAGGTGCCTTACAACTACAACCAGCTGGAAGGCAGATTCAAGCAGCTGCAAGGTAAGCCCCCTCCCAAAGGCCGGGCCTGTCCTGGGTGCCAACGGGGGTTCTTGGAGGCTTTATTTGTGACCCTAATGAAGACGGGCGGCTTCACAGCTCGGCCCCAGACCCTGTGGTTGGCTGCGGGCACCCCATTCACGACTTAGGGAAGGCAGTTGCTCATACTCCACTCCAGAAGAGCTACCATTTGGAGTCCCTGTCTCTCCAGCACCTTTTTGGCTTTCTAGGTTGTCAGATAACTGCTGCACACACATTTTCTTTACTTTTAGCTAACTTTACCTCCTAGTAGATCAGTGCTCATAGACTTATTAGTATGCAGGTATTTGATTCCGGGTCGCCTCTGGCTCCCAGCCCCCAGCCTCTTACCTCTGGGAAGCTTTAAAGGTGTAAAGTGCCGTGCTCAGACCCAGTCCTGTAGAACAATAGCAAAGGGGAGGAGGGAGGGGTCTTTTTGTTCCTAAGCCTTTGGTAAATTACAGTTTTTTATTCAGAAGCTTAATTTTAATTTTTCTGATGTGTTGGGAAGAGCCTTCCCATCTATTTAGTGGGCTATATAATTTCTAATGAAAGCCGGTTATTGTCATTTCAACCCTATGGGTTGGATTAGTTGGATCAATTACAGGTTTCTTGGAGTCTTTTTAAGGCTCAGACAATTGAATGAGTCCAATATTTTACTGAACATATTTTTAGGGAGAGCAGAAGCCTGTGTGTGCACCAGTGTGCTGTTTTCCCTGCGGCCCCTGCACCCCTCAGCTGTCCCTGCCCAGCCAGCAGGCCCTGGCCAGCAGTGTCTCAGAGCTTATACATGAAAAAAGGTTCCTAACTGAAAACAGAACTCCTTCCGTTTGGAAGCCCCTGGAGTCAGTAGTAGGCTGGGAATGGCTCTAGCACTGTAAAAAAGTAGTATTCGAGGACTGTGTGTTTCTTATTTTAACCTCCTCAGTGCTGCAAATGTGGTTCCTGTGAGGAGGAGGAAGGAAGGAAGCCGCTCAGCCCTAGAATGTTTTTCATTGGGAAGAGGGGGGAGGATGTCTTTCATTCATTGGTTTATTTGTCTTGTGAAATAGTTGACAGTAATGACACTTCTCTGGAAAACGAGGCAGAACAGGACGTGATTTTAAACATTTGCTGGGCTGTGCCACATTCCTCTGGCAGTTAGCTCAGAGGAAGCTCCCTTCGCTCTGGGGAACGGTTCTGTGTCTCTTTGGTTCATTTCTCTTGAGCTCTTCGGCAGTCAAATTTGCTTTTTTGAAAACTTAAGCTGGGGGCGCTTGCAAGTAGTAAATAGAGGAGTTGGGGTGGGGGGGGGCGTTCATTATCTAGGTTTGTTAGGGGCCTCACGGTTTTCGGGTCGGAGAATCCACTGCGTGCTCCTCCTCTTCCCCTGGCCCGGACTCCCAGCTTCATTGTGTCATCCCGCCTGGGGGAAAGCACCCACCGGGATCGTCAGCCCACTCCACCGCCAGCCTAGCCTGGAAGTCTCAGAAAAAAAGCAAAACTGGGAGAAAATAGAAGGTGTGAGGGAGGAGTGCACCCCTAGGCCCACCCATAACAAAAGGCTGTTATTCCGAAAGGGCTGAGGAAGGTTTTAAAACTGCTCGCCGAGAAGGGTGGAGCCTACACACAGGAAATGTCTTAACTGTCCTCTCTGGACAACGTAAAGTTTAAATTTAAAAAAAATCATGTGCCCCTGATATTTTACCTCATACGCTGTTTCTCAAGGAAATCCCTTCGAAAGGGGTAAGCTTCGTGTTTTGTGTGGTAGCTTTAAAAATAATTTTTTTTAGTGTGACCCTTGTCTCCTAATTTAGCCCCAGTGACTTTCTTATTTTTAAATATTGTGGTTTAGGAGTTGCACAAGTTTAGTGTTGGTATTTCTGTAGCAGAAAACCACCCATGTTGAGGAATTGAGAAAGGGTGAATTAACTTTCAAGTATGGTGGACCTCAGGAGAATTACACACATTTGTCAGCATCCTTCAGAACAAATGAACCGATTGCATTTTAAACAATCCTAGGAGAATTTTGATTAAACACACACACACAAAACCTTTCTTTAATTCCCATCCCTGGTTTTGTGTTTTGTTTGGTATTTGTAGTTCTGATTATCACATATTTTTGATAACATATAATTTCTATCTGCTGATTTAATTTTGTACATTCCTGCAAGGGTGCCTTTTTTTACTCTTCTGAGTATAATCTTTCCTAGCACATAATCTCTGAATATTGGCAAAATGCTCCTCTGAAACTGTATTGGGTTTTTTGTTTTCGTTTTAAGAGACAGAGTCTCACGCTGTTGCCCAGGCTCTAGTGCAGTGGCACAATCACGACTCAACAGCAGCCTTGAAGTCCTGGCTCAAGCCATCCTCCCACCTCAGCCTCCCAAGTAGCTGGGACTATACCATGTCTGGCTAATTTTTAAATTTTTTGTAGAGACAGAGTCTCACCATGTTGCTCAGGCTGGTGTTGAACTCCTGGCCTCAAATGATCCTCCCGCCTTCACTTCCCAAAGTGTTGGGATCACAGATGTGAGCTACCTTGCCAGTCCTGTACTGGGTTTAATGCCTCTGATATGAACTTATTTATGTATTGTCTGTGCCTGATAGTGCTATGATTTTTCTGGAGTTGTTTCTGCATTTTGGCTGGTTTCAAGTTACTTTCCACACTGGGTCCTAAAAATTTCAGGAGGTGTGCCATAGAATGAGATTTGGAGTTCTGGCTAAGGAGAATATAATTTTAAAATGAGTCTGGTCTATTTAGATAAAATGGTTTATAGCGATTTATAGTTTATAAATTTATAGAGATATTATAAATTTATAGTTTAAATATAGTTATATATAAATATAAATCGAGTTATATATTTATATATAAATATAGTTATATATAGTTTAAAATAAAAATAAGGATAGTCATAAATATATAGTTTATAGAGATTTATGGTTTGTAGAGATTTATAGTTTGTAGAGATTTGTGGGTCAGTAAATAAGTGTGATTAAAAAAAAAACCTCATTGAGATACAAGAGTGATGGCTTTATCACACGAAGCCTCCTGGCATAAGAAGACAAGCCCTTCAACCTCTGATGGCTGTAGCATTCACCACCAACACCCAACACCCAACACACACACACCCACCCCTTCCTCTTTTTCTTTTTCAGATTTTCACCTGCAAAATTAAGTTATCACTTTCCTCAGAATCAGTTCATGTATCGTATAAAGTTGTATTTGATGTTTTTTTCTCTGTTAAATAAAAGAGGAATGTTGAAATACAGCAAAACCCAACCTCCCATATTTAGAGAACTGTGTAGTAACAGAGGTGCAGGTTCATGATAACCATCTCTCCACTTCACATCAGCCAGCTTAACTCCTCATGAGAGAACACTCATCATGCCACTTTCCCCCTCAGAAACAGTTGCTTGTGCCATTGTGTAAATGAAGTTCCAGAGTCTAGCTTGGCCTTCAAAGATTCTCCGTAAAATGGCCCCACTCCACTTACTTCTTATTCTAATATATTCCATTCAAATCTGGTAGGCAGGCCTACAGCTTTTTATAAAACCCATCCCTGGGTTTCACGCTTATCTTCTACATTTTGCCTCAAATGCCTACTCTTCCATTTCATCTATAGAAATGCTTACTTTTCTTTTCTTTTTCTTTTTTTTTTTTGAGGCAAGGTCTGCTTCTGTTGCTCAGGCTGGAGTGCAGTGGTGTGATGATCTTGGCTCACTGCAACCTCTGCCTCCCAGGCTCAAGTGATTCTCCCACCTCAGTCTCCCCAGTAGCTGGGACTACAGGCACTTGCCACCAAACCCTGCTTTGTGTGTGTGTGTGTGTGTGTGTGTGTGTGTGTGTGTGTTTTGTAGAGACAGGGTTTCACCATGTTGCCCAAACTGGTCTTGAACTCATGAGCTCAAGTGATTGGTCTGCCTCGGCCTCCCAAAATGCTGGGATCACAGGTGTGAGCCACTGCACCCGGCCTAGAAATGCTTACCATTTTTAAATACTATGCCTGCATTCCAATTATTCCATAAAGTTTCTTCTTTCTTGTCAGGGTTACTGGGAAAAACGATTTTGTTGAGTGCTTACCATGTACCAGTCAGAGCTTTCTATATGGAATTTTGTCTGGTCTTTATAACATACCTGTGAAGTTTTAGAGGTGATAAGATAGAGGCAAATAACTCATCCAAGTTCACAGGCATTGTTGAGTTTAGGCTGCACGGTGTTCTGTAACTTTCTCCTTTCAGACTTCTAGATGTTCATATTTATATATATATTTTCTTTTAAATGAAAGAATGACAGTGTGAAATGCCCACCCTAACCTGGTTCCCTCTCCTGCCAACCTGCCCCTGGAGAACTGATTCTATTGGCTCTGGCTGTGAAGTTGTAATGTAGACAGGATCTAGTTAAAAAGCATCAAAATGAAGTTTTTCTGTCTGCTTTGCAGCCAGATGCTGACACTCCGCATCTGATCTTTCTGGAGAAGGTGCATTCTCTAGCTATTCTGGCTCAGTGCGTTTGCACCAGGAGAGGTATGAAGTGCTCTGTCTTCCTTGGGACATAGAGATTAAAGAATTTCAGGTCATGAAATGCATTACTACCAAGTTTATTACGTATTGAGAGTTGTCTTGTTGAATTTCTTAATTTTTTAAATTTCTTAACTCTTAGAAAGTGAAGTGCTGATTTTATACCTCTGAATCATGAAGAAAATTTATTCTTTTTTTTTTTTTTTTTTTTTTTTTTTTGAGACGGGGTCTCACCCTGTCGCTCAGGCTGGAGTGCAGTGGCGCGATCTCGGCTCACTGCAACCTCTGCCTTCCGGGTTCAAGCGATTCTCCTGCCTCAGTCTCCTGAGTAGCTGGGATTACAGCCACCTGCCACCACGCCCGGCTAATTTTTGCATTTTTAGTAGAGATGGGGTTTCGCCATATTGGCCAGGCTGGTCTCGAACTCCTGACCTTGTGATCTGCCTGCCTTGGCCTCCCCAAGTGCTGACCACACCCGGCAAGGGTAGCTATTCTCGAACTTTTTGTAGATAAAGAAATAGATCGTTGGATTATTATCCATCTGTATGAGGCTAGCTTTCCAGAATTCAGGTTTTCTGACTCCAAATTTGATGCTCTTCCCGTAGTACCACAAAGTGTGGGTTAGATGTGGATCATGGCGCCCAAATAACTTGAATACATACTGCTGGCATGGAAGATTAATGTGTTAAGGGAGCTGCCCAGATTTCTGGACATGGGCTGCTCTCGGTTTTTGTTGCATTAAGAATATTGACAGTCAAGGGAATACCAACTTTTTCTTAAATCTAATATTTTACTAGGAAGAACATTAAAAGGATTCTTGGAGGCTAGTTATATAGAAGAGGAAGGTGATAGATAACTCCTTTTGAGGAAAAGATAGCACTTTTCTTAGGAGAGTCAGCCTAAAATCTCCCTGGCTGCTGAGAAAGCTTTCTGGATGATGGTTCCATGTCATCACCTCTCCTCACTCCTCATTCTTGGAAAAAGGGGTCTGCACAGCCTCACTGCTGCTTCGTCTGCTTTAGTCTCTTTTCATGGCTTCCTAAAGTGTCCCCATGCAGTTATCCCAGTCTCCCCACAGCAGGGCCCTGAGAAGAGTGCTCCGTGCAAACATGTCTGGGATTCATCTTTGCTGGGATTTGACTCCAGTCCCAGCTGCAGCTGCTGCCACACCTGTACCCCACAGAAGTTGTGATTCCTTAAACCTGCCCTGCATTTTGGCACCCTTGACACCCTGCCCTCTTGGTTTCTTCTGCAGGGAATCATTTCATGTGTCAGGATCAGTCTTTTGAGGTTCAGTTCAGATGCCACTTATTCTAGGCATTCCAGGAGGTTGGGGAGGTCAACATCCCTGCTTGGACTCCCTTCCTTTTAAGATTTGAAGTTTCAGCGCTTGATCATTCACCTGTGATTTTTCATTACTGCCTTTTGTTACAGTTCCAGTCTTTGTCTTTTTGTTTTCCCTGTATTTCGTGAAGTCTGGGAGCCTGAAGACCAAAGTCTGAATAGTCTGTCTTACACATACAAGCCGCTAAATATTTGCTAAAGAGCAAAATTAATGAAGTCAGTGTTATAGACTCCCTTATTGCTGTGGTTCCCAAATTGAGGTTCTCAAAATGAGGTCCCCAGGTCAGCATCAGCATCATCTGGGAATTGGCTAGAAATGTAAAATCTCAGATCTCCACTTCTCACCTACTGAATAAGAAATTCTAGGGTGGGTCCTACCAATAAGTGTTTCCAGCTACTCTGCCAGGTGGTTCTGGTGCACACTAAAATTTGAGAAATAGTCCCTTATTGGATCATTTGTACAATCTTTGCAAAATTTTGTGGTGGGGATGGAGAAGCAGACTCTTTAAGTTGCTCCCAAACAGGAGCAGGTATTATACCTGATTTCTTATAGAAGAATGAAGAGTTGGGGGAAAATATGTTTTTTAGAACAAAATTGTGAAACAGTGGGAAAAACATTAGCTACTCAGGAATGGACTCTGTCCTGCTTAAATTAGAGAAGCCGTTGAACATCTGTCTCAGCCACCTCTTCTGCCTCAGATGACCCTCAGGTGGGGTCAGTTACCTGCCTCAGTTCTCCCACAGTTGGCTCAAGAGCCACTATAGAAAGAGATATAAGTTTAGAAAAAATAGAGATAAACCTAATAGTGTGTGTAGGCTCTAAGGATAGTTCAGCAAGGCATCAAGGTTAGTTTCACTTATATTCTTAATAAATAATCTATTGAATTTAACCTTAAAAAACAAAAATCCCAGCAACTTGGCATCTGTAAGGGAGACAGATCAATATCTAGGCTGCTTTCCTTATTTGAATAACTGCCAGGTCTGCTTCACAAGATTGTGTTGACCAGCAAATGATATGATCTATATGAAGTTTCCCTGGAAACATCCATGTACTATTAAAATGTGAAGGATGGCTGTTGTTTCCATGACTGTATTCCTTTTAAAGAAAACTTCTACATATAAATGAACACTGACAATTCCAGTATTGTTGATTACTAGTAAATATAGTACAGCAATTCAAGTAAGGACTTCAGGGTTTGTTTTTTCTTTTAACCTTCTGGAAAATAATGTGGACAGTGACAGAGCATTAAGTTTTTAGTTAATGATAGCTCCACCTCTTGTGCACATAATCAAAACAGACCAGGTGGGGTTTAGCCACTTGTAGATCCTAGTGCCTTTTCTCTCTTGACAACTTTCTATCAACTCTGAAACCCAGCTATGAAAAACAAATGAAAGGGGGAAATAAAGGATAAGGGCATTGTAAGCATTTTTCTTTTTTCTTTTTTTTTTTTTTTTTTGTTGAGATGGAGTGTCACTGTGTCGCCCAGGCTGGAGTGCAGTGGCATGATCTCAGCTCACCGCAACGTCCGCCTCCGGGTTCAAGCAATTCTCTTGCCTCAGCCTCCCGAGTAGCTGGGATTATAGGCGCCCACCACCACGCCCAGCTAATTTGTGTATTTTCTGTAGAGATGGGGTTTCGCCATGTTGGCCAGGCTGATCTCCAACTCCTGACCTCAGGTGATCCACCCCCCTTGGCCTCCCAAAGTCCTGGAATTATAAGCGTGAGCCACTGCGCCTGGCCCCTGTAAGCATGTTTTTCAAATGTTTAATATTCTCTGCTGCATTGACTTAAAAGTTTGACAGGCCAAGCTCAGTGTCTCATGTCTGTAATACCAGCTCTTTGGGAGGTCGAGGCAGGCAGATCACCTGAGGTCAGGAGTTCGAGACCAGCCTGGTCAACGTGGTGAAACCCTGTCTCTAATAAAAATACAAAAATTACCTGGGCATGGTGGTACACGCCTGTAGTCCCAGCTACTCGGGAGGCTGAGGCATGAGAATTGCTTGAACCTGGGAGGCAGAGGTTGCAGTGAGCCAAGATTGCGCCACTGCACTCCAGCCTGGGCGTCAGAGTGAGACTCCATCTCAAAAAAAAAAAGTTTGATGATTGTTAAATCATTTTGTTGGTGCAGAGAACCTGCCATTTAAAATGGCAGTTGTTGGCACTAACTTAGACTACTTTAAAAGCAGGAAGGATCCTAGGAAATAAAACACTAAAATAAAACTTTAAAAAATACAGGGCTTGCTCTTTTGGTATTCTACTTACTTATTAACAAATATTTATTGATTACCTGCTTTCCAGTGAGCAGCTGTCGTCTGGTTAAAAAGTGCATGGGTGTGTTTCAGCTGTGCTGGGAATGCTGGCTAAGCCAACTGATTAATAGAAGCAAGTGGAGAAATAAACTTGATCTAGGTAAGAGGTGAGGAACTGAGGTAGGGGAATCTGTGCAGGTTCAGGGTTACTGGACCTTAAAGTACAGAGTGAGGATGGGGTGGTAGGAAGGATTCTAGAAGGATAATAAAGGATGCAAGGCCCTGTTAGGTAAAGGAGTTTGGACGTAAGGCAGTGGGAAGGTACTGGAGGATTTTTATTTTATTTATTTATTTATTTATTTTTGGAAACAGGGTCTCTGTCACACAGGCTGGAGTGCAGTGGCACAATCTTGGCTCACTGCAACCCTCTACCTCTTGGGCTCAAGCCATCCTTCCACCTCAGCCTCCCAAGTAGCTGGGACTACAGGCATGCACCACCCACCATGCCCAGCAATACTGGAGGATTTTAAATAGGAGAGGATTTTAAATCTGGATTTTTAATTTAATTTTATTATTTTTATTTGTATATATTCACGGATTGCAAGTGCAATTTGCTACATTCATGTATTGCATTGTGGTGAAGTCAAGGCCTTGAGTGTATCTATTACTGGAGCAATGCACATGATACCCACCAGGCAGCCTCTCATCCACTTCTTAAATATAAATATACCTATTTACATTTATATATAAATTTCTTAACTCTGGTCACTGAGGCATGCTTTATTCTCTCTCTATATATATAGAAAGGCTAGTCTGACTGCTGGTATGATGATCGTTTTGGAGGGTGCTGGTCAAGGAAGGAGACAGAAGACCAGTGTTTTATTTGCTGGAGTGAGAAACTTAGAAACGACATAACCTCCTAGAATTTTGAAAGTGAAATAGGGGACTTAGAACCTTGTTATTCAGTATAGATAGATGACTTGGGGTTTGTTGGAAATACAGCATCTCAGGCCGACCTCCCCACAGACCTCCTAAGTCAGAATCTCGTCTTTTAAAAATCCCCAAGTGCTTTGTATGCCTGTTCAAGTTTAAGAAGCACTGCTGGCAGTGCGTGGTGGCTCACGCCTTAATCCCAGCACTTTGGGAGGCTGAGGCGGGCGGATCACCAGAGGTCGGGAGTTCGAGACCAGCCTGGCCAAGATGGTGAAACTCCGTCTCTACTAAAAATACAAAAATCAGCCGGTTGTGGTGGCGCACATGTGTAATCCCAGCTACTCTGGGAGGCAGAAGTTGCAGTGAGTCGAGATTGCACCACTGCATTCCAGCCTGGGCAACAGAGTAAGACTCTGTCTCAAAAAAAAAAAAAAAAAAAAAAAGAAGAAGAAGCACTGCCTTGGAAGTAATGGTGTCTGCCTTCTAACTCCTATGAACAGACAAGGAAATAGTTTCATTAAATGGAGGAGTTTTTGGTTTTTTTGAATAAACTGGATTATTTTAACTAAATATAAAAATAATCTTGAGTATAATAGTTAATTAAAGGAAGTTTAGTATTGCTCTAGAAGATTACAGGGCTTTAAAACATAGTTAACTAATTCTGAGCTTTAGAAGTAAGTCTTTTATAGAATTTGGCTGGGATTTTCCTATTTGCTAGTCCTGCAGTTCTAGAAATTTGTGAGGTAAAAAAACAGTTTCTTTTCATATTTACCCATTGATATTAATGGAGAATCACAAAAATACCCTGGGTCAGTTTCTCTAAATTATTCCAGAATTTCAGCATGATGTCCTGGGAAGTAGAAATTTATGAGTCCATACCTGTTTTATGACTTAAACCTTTTAAATACTTTAAAACTATTTTTTTCAGAAACAAAGCACAAATACTCTTCTTCAGCCACACTTCATCTTAGTAGAATGATCCTATATTAAATGAACGTTCCTGTTCTTGCAGTTGGTTAGACTTCAGTCTAGTTTCATGCACATCAAACTTACCTAGTGGTGCCTTCAGGTTTTAGCGCTAATAGTGGATTTGAAGTATGTGAAATATCTGTTACATGGTAAGTGCTCATTTCCTCTGAGTTTGTAGGTGAAACTTTAAAATTACTGGTTATTGATTGGGTAGGGGAGAAAAAACACCTGCTGAAACTTGTTGGCCGGAAGTTTTTACCCCTGGGAAGAAGAAAGGAACGGGGTGGGGGAGATAAGGGAATTCAGTTCTTGGCTGGCAACACTCCAGAACCGTCCTGATGGAAGGGTTGTGGCCAGTTGAAAGCAGCAGTACTGGAGAGGGGACTGGGGGTTGTTCTTTCAAAGGCAGGGTTGAAGGTTATTAATGGACTAAGTTAAATTTCTAGCTGTTCCTTCCTGTTACTCTAGATACTTTTTATATATTTATTATGTCACAGCAGTATTGACGCCCTGAAAAGAAAGAAAAGTGAAAGAATAGTTCACGTAAGATCCCACAAGTCCTACAAATTTTAACTTTCCAATAGTTAATATATATAAGCACACACATATACACACACGTGCAGTTTAGAAGTGTTAATATAGACGAGTTTTGTCTTGGCTTTTTATTTTTTACTTAACATCATCTTAAGCTTTTCATATGTGGTTATTTCTGTGCCTCTTACCAAATATTGGCAATTCACTTTCCAAATCAGACAATTACTTACCAGTCTGAGAGCCTGCTTCTCATCTATGGGATGAAGGTCATACAAATTCTGTGTAATGAGATTGTTGTAAGAATTAGGTGAGATTCTGTGTGGAAACTGTGTTTGGCACAGTCCCTGGTACATAATAAGGGCTCATAGGATTATTACAGATCCTAGTTAAATGGCAAGGCAGGGCCCAGCAGGGTGAGCCTTGTAAACTTGAGTGCCTCAACTCCCACCCCCACCCCCAAACCTGTTCTGGGTGTGGTTTCCTTTAGCATGTTGGGAGAGTGTTTAGTTTGCCTGAAAATGCACCCAACTGAAACCATTCCCCCCCCCCTTTAGAAAGATTAGAAGGTTCAGTCACTTGGGCCTGGTGACTTTTGATGTAGTTTGAAGGTCACAATGCTGGTTCCTCTCTCAAGTTCATAAAAGCCTCTGGAGCAGCTATTGCTGCAGCCAGCGAGCATCCAGCACTTGGTCAGAGAGCCGCCTTTGTCAGAGAGCGCTCCTGTAGCCAGACTCATATTAACTGCCCCCCATGGGTGTGTTGAATGCCTCTACTGTGTTTGCCTTTGAAAGGCCCTTCTTAGCCTTTCTCTCTCCCCCAACCCCATTTTCAAGAGGCACAAGACCTTTAAGTAGCAAATACAGTAATCACAGTAGCATGGAGACACAGGCTGGCCTATATTTGGTTTCACAAAGGCCTTGTGAAAGATCTGGCCTTAAAGTCCCTTTTTAATGCTGAAATTATGCAAGTGGAAAGTTAATTTGAGGATCACTGAGGCACGCTTTATTCATGAAGAATGTGAGCAAAACATAAATACAAAGTCTGGAGGCTCTGTTCTACGCTGGTGGCAAGGAAATTACATAGGTGGTATCTTTATTTGGCTGAATCCCCCTCCCTCCACCAAGAGTGCAACTGTGATAGAATTTTGGAGTGAGAGCTATTGTTTTAAGCACTGACTGGTTGCAGGTGTGTGTGTGCATGTTGCCTGAAACTCTCTACAAACCATAGACATGATTTTGGTGGAATTGGCGTGCCAACAGTGGTTACAGCTAAGATTGTAGAAGACCAAACATTCTGTTGGAATGTGACCTTAACATTTTGAATTATGTTTCTTAAGTAAGATAAATTTCGAAGGTCTATTTTATTTTTATCTTTATTCTTTGAAGGCCTGCTTTAAAGTTTACCGTGTCTTTGAAAGTCTAGTCTGTTGAACTCTTAAATCCCAGTGAGTTCCTATAGATTGCTAGCTTGAGTGTATAGTATTTGAGATGTGAATAAAGTCTAGTGCAAAGTGTGTTTCTTGTGCTTGAAAATGGTGCCCTGATTTCTGTTGAGGGAGACGTTTATTCCTATAAAGGTTTAAACGACTTGCTGTACAATTCAGTCTTGCAATGACAGAGAGATTACACACTATCTGCAAACAACTGCCAAGCAGATGAAATCCTGGCTGTGGGAAGTCTGCGGTGAAGAGTGGTGGGGGTGGTCAGGAGAGCAGTGGAAGGGAAGTGGCTCAGAACATTGTAGTGGTGGTTTGGCGTGCCTGTCAAGGGCTGTGGGACGTTTTCTCTCTCATTTCAGAAACAAGGGTGGTGGGAAACACATGGGCCGTGGATTTGCATAAACCAACAGTCAAATCCTAGCTCTACCAGTGACTTCACTGAGCCTCATTTTCTTCAGGGGGAAAGAATAAATAGCCCTTGGGGTGATTGTAAAGCCTAATTAGGTATGTTATAATTGTATTAAGAGGATGACGAGTTCACCGTTTGCCAGGGAGTTTTCCGGTTTTAGTGCCAAACATTCCACATCCGGGGAATCTTCCTCAGTCCCAGGCACACTGGGTGGTGAGTCCCCCAGTTATATATGAAGATACCTATTACTGTTCCCTAATTGTATGTACACACACACACACACACACACACACACATACACACACACACACACACACACACATATCTATAAATAAAGGGCTTCTGGAAGCTGGCTGCCTATTACTGTGTACCTGATACTCAGTGGGTATTTGTGAACTCCCAGGAGGATAGTGTGTTAGTGTGTTTGCGTGTATCTCTGTATTCCTTCTTAGGGATGGCATACAAATAAATGTTTCATGAATAAAGGGATGAATGAGTAGGTAAAGTAATATAAGCAGTAATGCATATGTTTTAAAGTGATTTAGCTGGTTTTCCTTCCAGGGGCCTCTTCCCTGAGAAAAGAGCCACTTAATAAATGATGTCTTGAATGAAAGAATACATCATGAAAATAATTTTGTCCATGATGTGGCTAAACTAAAACTCCAGGAAGGGCTTAGGCTGGGCCTATCTACTTTTTTTGATAAAATGAAGTTTAATATGACCCTAGTGACAACCTCCCCTCATCCCCTTAAAGCTCAAATTTAGGGAACTCTTGTGGTTGGACTCTCACATACTCCCTAGGACTCTGCTGGGTGCTGGGGAATTTACTAAACTTTGGTGAGGAGAAGAGGAGAGGAGAGGGAAGCCACGGTACTAAGGTACTTAGGGAGACAGAAACAGTTCCCCTAGAAATTAGACATCACATTGTCTTTTTCCCCCCTTTCTTTTGAATGAGATGGGGCAAGAATATTTGGACCAGGATAAAGTTTTAAGATGCATTTACACTAATGTAATCAGGTTACATAGCAAAAAAATGTTAAAAATGTACCCTGGGAAATTGAAATCTATCCATTCTTCTAGGTGTGGCAGCTTATTCAGATTTTTATGTTGTGTGACCATAAAACGAACACAGCTTTTCTAACCGCGAGTGTCTTTGTTTACAGAGATAACAGTGTGAGTAATGCTTTGCTAGAAGCCAGGCAGTTAAATCACACTCTGAGCAAATAGAGGCTGGGCTTCAGAAACTTAGATAGCACACGAATGTGCAAACTTGGTCTTTTAAACTGAAGACATATCTGAAAGAAAACTGCTTTTGGCCCATGAACTACTTTCCCAGCCCTTTGTGCCTCCCAATCTCTGCCCCCCTTTACAAAAAATCTTTGTTTTTCCTCTACAAATATACATATATGATTTCAATTTGGAGGTGGGATGTTATTTTTTTCACTTGAAACACAAGGAAGCAATTTTTAAAAGTCATACTCGTTCAGCAGTGGGCTTGACTGTAGCCAGTTTGACTAGGAGTTCTTGGCTACAGAACCATACACTTGCAGTCTTTATCAGGGTAGTAAATTCAGATGGGTTTTTGGAAAGGGAGAGGGCTGGAGTTGAGGGAAGGGCACTAGAGCAGTGTGACCCACGGCCCAGGAGCAGTGTGAGTGGGAAGGGGCTCTAGAAGCTGACTGCCTTTGTGTTTGCCACAGCGTGCTGGGAATCAGATGAGAAGGCGGGCCCAGACCCCACCAGATACTCATCTCAGCCATTGTTGTCATTAAATGACTCTGAAATGACCTTTCTTACCTCAGTTTCCTGTGAGCTCATAGTTGTCTGCAGATGTGAATTATGTCATTGATCTTTGCTCCCTCTTTGCTTATAAGGAGTAGCTGTTCTGCTCCATGTTTCTGGAAGAGGAAAGTGATGCACAGGTCACTTAGTAAAGCGGTCCCCAGCCTTTTTGGCACCAGGGACTGGTTTTGTAGAAGACAATTTTTCCACAGATAGGGTGGAGGAAATGGGGAGTTGGTTTCGTGATGAAACTCTTCCACCTCAGATCATCAGGCATTAGATTCTTATTAAGGAGTGGTAACCTAGATCCTTTGCATGCACAGTTCATGATAGGGTTTGGCTCCTGTGAGAATGCTGCTGCTGATCTGACAGGAGGCAGAGCTCAGGCAGTAATGCTTCCCATCCACCACTCACCTCCTGCTGTGTGGCCGGTTCCTAATAGGTCACGGGCCAGGACCAATACCGGTCTGTGACCTGGGGGTTGGGGACCCCTGACTCGGTGATTCAGCAGTTGATTTGGGATCCTCTGTCTTTGTTCCTCCTCCCTCAGCGGGAATTCACAGTGTAACTCATTTGCTAAGGTTTTCTGCGTTAGAAACAGAACTCCTTTTGGACTACTAGGAGACATGGTCATTAGAATAATTATGATTCTTAGTATGACTCAACCCCTTTTTAATATTCAGCCTTATGGAGGGCCTCTGCCTGCGGCTCTTTGCTCAGGCACTAGGGCCACAGGGGTGTAATTTCTATCTCTGCCCTCAGGAAGCTCACAAACAAGTCAAGAGACAGGAAAACGGATCCTGTTTTTCTAATGGGATTTGAATGGATGTATTTATGGGAGGGGGGTGCTTTGTACACCTGCAAAACAGAACACCAGCCCTCCCTTCTCCTCTGGGGTTGCTGTGAGAATCAGTTAGAATAATGTGCATGAACCCCGTATGGAAAATACAAACTCATAATTAAATCTAAGAAATTTTTGTGGGGGGACACAAATGTTGGGGTTGTCTTTGTTCTCAGGTCCCCTCAACTGGTCTAATGAAGGAAACAGACACCTTTCCAGTAACAATAGCCAACATTTATTGGACACTTATGTACCAGACTGTGCTATTTATGACATACATTATCTAATTTCACAATCAGAAGAATGCTAGAGATAGGGTCAGGCGTTATCTCTGTTTACAGATGAGGAAAGCAAGGCTTGGAGAGAATGCCATACAGTTATTAGTGTGGCGGAGCCGGCCTTTGCACCTGGCTGTTGACCACGCCCTAGCATTAAACCATTACCTCACACTGCTTCTCCGAGATAGTTATCTTCTTGGGATCATTTAGGTGTGGCAGGATCTGGAGGGAGCAGTTGGACCCAAGTCTCCTAGCAGCAGCCTACACGTTTCTTGAGTCTGTTTTGAAACAACTTCCTTAGCCCTAGCTGCGCAGAAAGCATCCTCCCCTCAGAGTGATGATTTTTATCATGTGGTTTCCTTCCTCCTGCCTTTGGAGGTCAGGTCTTCTCACCCAGGGTCAGAAAGCCCATCAGTTGCTGATAAGCTGCAGCACTTGAGTCACAGGGTGCAGGCCTGTGTTTAGAATGGGTCATGCTCATGTCAGGCACGTGGGGAATCAGTGATCCCATGAGAGCTCGATCAGTGCAGTCTGGTTTGGAATTGCAGGTCACACCCTTCCACCACTTTGCTCATGTGTCTACTGATGCCTGTGATGTAGTTAGTTAAACCACTGACTTCTTTCTCCTGCATCAAACATGACTTTTTGAAAAAGTGTGTGGGGGCTTTCCAGCATGAACCAGGCATAAACCAGGTACCTTCATGAACATATTATTTATCCCTTCAGTCACCCTGTGTGCTAGGTGGTATCATAACTGCTTTGTGGATTGAGGAACCTGAGGACCAGAAAGATGACTTGAGGTGGCAGCCTCATTTAGCCAGCAAGTAAGAAAATGGGTGATGGTGAACTTCTGCAGCAAGAGGGGGCCGTTTTCAACATTTCTGTGAATTCAAGGCGTGTGCTTCGTCTAAATAGGTGGAGACACGTAGGAAGGCATAGTGTATACATCCATCAGCACATGGGTAGATTTTGAGGTTTTTTTTGTTTTGTTTTAAATCCAGAGCGTTGTGTATTTGATCATTCTTGGAGATTCAGCCACATTCACAGGTGTTAAGTGTCACACCTAACCTAGCAATACAATACACAGCTGAAAGAAACCAGTCAGGTTTTCCCAATATCAATTTCTTTTTATTTTCTTTTCTGCAACTCCAGAGGATTCAATAATGTCAATTTCTGATAAAGCTTTTGCTATTGATGAGTAAATTCTTCCATTAAAAAGATAACAGTCTGCTAATTTGCTTATCATTGATGTTGCAAGAGCGTAACATTGGAGGGATGAGTAATGCATCTGCATATCTCGAAGGACAAAACTGACGTCCACCCACTTGTGGATACGGTATTTGGTAAAAGTAACTAAGGTAAAATTGCCTAAGGGCATTTAACTTGAGCCATAGCTTAAATTCAGGTGATATTGAGCGTTGACATATCAGGATTCTTTTGTACACAGAGACGTGGATGTAGACCCACTGGTAGCAATTGCAAAGGCTCTGGATTTTTAGCTGCTGGATGAAATACCTGCAGCTGAACATCTGTTATGATGCAATTAAGCAGTGACTCAGTGGCGTGAAGGCTCAGTTTCGATGTATCGGGAACTCCTTTGAATCTGTCCACAAACTTCTCAACCAAAAGGAGAGGAGAAATGTGTACAGACATTTGAGAGGCTGGGTCTCAACATGCCTCTGCCTAGGCAGTCATGGGAACCTGGTCTTTTCTCCTGAGACAGGAATTAACCTGTAGTACGAGAAACATGGTTGGATGAGTGGTTAAAGCAGGGCCCAGACTTTGGTACAGTTTAGGTTATGGTAGCAGGGATAGGGAGAGAGGTGGATGATGGTAATGGTCTGTGTTTTTTTCCTTTTGTCACTCAGATCCAGCTTTTTTTTTTTTTTTTTGAGAGACAGTCTGGCTGTGTCTCCCAGGCTGGAGTGCAATGGTGCGATCTCGGCTCACTGCAACCTCTGCCTCCTGGGTTCAAGCGTTTCTCCTGCCTCAGCCTCCCCAGTAGCTGGGATTACGGGTGCCTGCCACCACTCCCGGCTAATGTTTGTATTTTAGTAGAGACAGGGTTTTACCATGTTGGCCAGGCTAGTCTTAAACTCCTAACCTCAGGTGATCCACCCACCTCGGCCTCCCAAAGTGTTGGGATTACAGGTGTGAGCCACCGCGCCCGGCCTTCAGCTCTTCTTTCTGCTATTGCTTTGGCCTAATTAATAACTTAAAGCTGGAACGTTGATGTCAGGTATGTGTAGGTCCAGGAAAACAGCTGTTGGCTCTGTTACTTCAATTTTTTTTTTACTCTATACTTTGAAGAAGTAGTACTTTCTAGAACTTGTACTCAAAACTCAACTGACAAATCCTGGAAGGCCGTTGCTTATACGCTCTAGTTGATGCGCCACAGCTGCCTGGCTGTGAGAATGGAGTAGCATGTACCTCTTAATTAGCCAAGAATAAGTGCCGTGGAAGAAGGCAGGATGACTTTTTAGAACCCATTTTTAGCTTGAAGATCACTGAGGGAGCCATCAAATCCATCCACCTGTTCAATCAATATTCAGCCAGCAAGTGGGTGTCAAGGTGAGCAGCTTACAGTGCTGAGCACACTGGAAACACAGGTGTGTAAGGGACAGCCACGGTCTCAAATTACATTCTGAAAGGGAATACTAGGTAAGTGATCCCAAACATGCAAATATCATTCCTTGGTCCTGGGATGTGGGGGAAGCATTTTGGAGGAATTGACATTGATTGCAAGTTTTTAAATATGACCTGGATTAGATTATGAGATGATGGGTGCTTGGGGGTAGGGGTGTACAGAGGGAGTCATGAAACCATGGAGGATGTTGGGGAATGGCTAGAATTCTACTTGGGACATCATGCAAGTTTTTTTTCCCCTTCCATTTCATTTGTTAATGCTTATTATTAGTTGGGGGTTTTGCCTCCTTTTTGTTAGCCAACAGCCAGCTAATCTTGGCACAGGTCCCGGGAATCAGGTGCTGCTTAGCAGCTGATGTTGGTTAAATGACCTTGGACAAGTGACTTGCATTTCAGTTCTCTAACCTGTTAGGGTTGTAGATTGTCTGATACAGATTTGAAGGCCCCTGCAAATAAATGCATGGCCGTTTACTCTGGTCACTTTCATTTTACCGAATGTGCTCCCCCAAGGCTCTTCTGGGTAGATGCCCACTGCCAAAACATTAAGCATTTTTGGCTTCTCATGCTTTGAGCTCACAAAATCAGTCCTGTGGGAAACCTAACAAGCTACAAAGGAGAGGGAAAGCAAAAGAAAAGGTATATGGATTCTCATGCAAAGAGAGAAGGAAAGTAGGTCCCTACCTAAAGTCTAGCCCTGTATTGGTGGTGGTACTGATAATGGTAATAGCCACCAAAACTTCTTGATACTCCCCTTGTGCAGGCATTGTCCTAAGTACTTTGCAGTATTGATTCATATGCTCCTCATAGCGTCCTTGTGTGATGTGTTATTTCCATTTTGAAGATGAGGAAACTGAGGCACAAAGGAAGCTGTGCCCAAGGACACTTAACTAGTAAATGGAGCCAGGATTCCAACCCACGCAGTGCGCTTTGGGACTCAATTTTTAACCATCTTGCTGTGCTGCCTGTTGAGCATTTTTCACCTGGTGCTTTTGTAGATCCCACATTAGGATTTTGTTAGGACCCTGGGCAACCTTGATTTAGTGAAAGCAGTTGTTGAGAGGTAGAAATTCCTGATCCTTTTTTCAATCTTAAAGGATTTGCTGAGACTCTCACTCTTCATTGGTGATGGTAACAAGGAGCAGCATGGTGAATGCCATGTAAAATTCAAGCCTTGCCTTATCTTGGAGGACTTTATTCCCTTTTCTTTGATGGTACTTTGGAGATTCCAGACTATAAAGGACTCAGCTGACAGTACAGACTCTCTTGATCTGTATTTTCCCAGTATATGAAATTATTTGTAATGTACCCGTGAGAACCTGGAATAAACTGTACTGGCACTGAAGTAGAATCTTGGATTTAAAAGTACAGTGTTCACTGCTGCATCGTTGAGCATTTGCTACACAGAGAATAACCTTGGAGCAATGTTCAAAGGTGATGGCATTACCCAGAAACATGGAGTTAGGCCAGGAAACCACATCTGAAGTTCAGATTATTGGAGATTGCTGATTTTTCTTGACTTTAAATATTTTCGACTGGTTGAGTGTTTGTTGGTGTTTTTGGGCTAAGTGTTAGCCTTTTGTTCTGTGATGTCCCTGTGTGAATAAAATGGATAATCCCTGTTTCCGGTTAGCTGCTGCTGCTGCTGCTGCTGCCAAGTATAAGTGAAGACTTCCAGCTGCGATTTGCATTGTGTTTTCAGGCCACCTTTTGAGTTTCCCCATAGCAGATATAAAAACTGTTTCTAAGAGTTCATCCTTACGTGTTCAGCCTTACTTGTATCCTAAAACCACAAACTTGATTTTGTTCCCATTCATTATGATCTATATTTGGCATCAGTGAGGCAAGTTATTTATATTTATTATTTATACCCTGCCCACTTCCAGAAATGATTTAATTTGGCCTAGGCAAGTGTCTTCTGATGGGGTGTGTGTGTGTGTGTGTGTGTGTGTGTGATGATAATTCTGATGTGTGTGTGTATGATGCTACTTCTGCCACTTCAAGAGTCCAGAATCATAAGATTCCTAATAGGATTGTTGGGTTGGTGAATGCTGGGTTTGTTCTCTTCTATGCCCTCTCTGTCCAGGAGAAATCTGAGTATCTTTCTTAGGAATGCCTAACACTGCTAGACTGAAAGGTGCCATGTCACCATTTTTCCCAAGAAATTTTCTTTTGAGGGTGCTATAGAGAAGCCCTCTGGTATGAATGTATTAGGCTGGTGCAAAAGTAATTGTGGCTTTTGCAATTAAAAGTAATGACAAAACTACAATTACTTCTGCACCAACCTAATATATATTATATATTCCCATTTTGTTCTTTTCAGAATAAAGCTTCCTAGGAGTTTCTCTAGCTCATGACCTCTTTTACCTTTACTTTCAGTTGCAGTGTTCTTAGCTCATAGAAGGAGCTTTGACGGCACATAGAATGAAGTATAACAGCTTCCGTTTGACCTGAGGCATCCCTCAGGTATGAGAATGTCACCCAGAGATCGAATACAGTGCCAGGTTATCAACTACCATTTTTTGGGACTGATTCTCTGCTCATGTGTGACCATTATTTGGGGAAATCATACAGTACCACAAACCAGAAGTTTCTGAAAACACCTAAACTCCCCATCTTTCACACTCACCCATAGGGACCGTGGCCCCCAATGAGGGGTAGTTCGTCTCTGTATTGGTAGCATTAGCGCACGTGCTATATAGCTCTCTTAATACCTGAACTGTGGACAGACCAGATCCTCACTGAGCTGAAGCACATTGGCATATTAAGGGAGCCCAGCATTGCTGTTTGGCCCTGCTTTTGAACTGGGAAGATATATTGCTGCATGGAGTTCTGAAAAGTACCTTTGTAAGTCCCGAGAACTCCTGTTGACCTTTGGATTTAGGTAAAATGTAAGTCTTAGGAGAATTGATGAGAATGTAGGAACCAGTTTTAGCCAATGCATTAAGACTAAAATGACTCTATTGTTTGTCAGGCTTTGCCAGAAAGTATAGTGAGAGAGAGAGATCCTAAAACTCTGAAAGCAAATAGCCCACAGCAGTTAACTGTATTGACTTTGGAAACAGGTTATAAACCCAAACCTCTGTGCTGAACTTGAATGGGTGTTTCTTCTCTCCTTTCTGAGGGTAAAAGCTGCTGGTGAGAACGGCTCTCTGGTGTTGCTAGGACAGACCTGTATGACCTTCTTTATGTAAATAATTAACAGGGGAATATTTTCATTTACGTTAAAGCCATATATGAGAGAGATTTCCGGGCTGGCTCTGACAGCCTCTGGCCCCACTGGAGAAGGAAGCCAGCACTGAAAAAATTCAAGCTTCCGGCCACACGGAACCTGAGAATATTCTCTATGACAGCAGTGGCTGTGAAGCTGTTTCTTTAAAGTAAAACCCCTTTTGAAGGTTAGTCTGGGGTGACTTTACTGTTACATAGGGAGTAGATTTTGTTTCTTGATGGTTCGTTGAGTGGTAGAGAGGTTAAAGGTAGAACTAACATATGTAGAACTAAAAAGCATCTGAAACTTTTAGCAAACCAGTAATATTTAGAGGCTTCTGCCCACTCTGGGTAGGCATTTTTATCTTGTATACCCATACCAGCTTTTCACATCCTGTTTCTTGAGAATACATAAAGAGCACATTTCTCCACATTATCAGGAAAACAATTTGAAGCACAGGTCTTGTGAATTGGGAAGACCACTAGTATTGCCATTAGCTGCTTATTTGTGTGTGTGTTGGAGGATGGATTATAATCCAAGTGTATTCATATTCTCACACTTTAACCAAAAAAAAAAAAAAATCTCCAAAATCTTCTCTCTTGCATTGTTTATTGATAGAATGGGAAACTTACTGCTGGTAACTAGTTAATTCTGAAAGGGTTAGGGTTTCTACTGTATACTTCCAAAAGTACAGGCCTGGGGGAGCCAATATGAGAGACACACATAACCAAAAATTTGTAAAAACTTTATTTTTTAATAAAAATTATAAATAAAAATTATAGGCCGGGTGCACTAGCTCATCCCTGTAATTCCAGCATTTTGGGAGGCTGAGGCGGACTGATCACTTGAGGTCAGGAGTTTGAAACCAGCCTGGGCAACATGTTGAAACCCTGTCTCTACTAAAAATACAAAAATTAGCCATGCATAGTGGCACACACGTGTAATCCCAGCTACTTGGGTGGCTGAGGCACGAGAGTCGCTTGAGTCCGGGTGGTGGAGGTTGCAGTGAGCCACGATCACGCCACTGCACTCCAGCCTGGGCAAAAGAGCAAGACTTAGTCTTAAAAAAAAAGAAAAAATATATAAATATATACACACACACTTTATATATTTTTATATATAATCTCATACAACATGTTTTGAAATACACGTGCATTGTGGAATGGCTATATTGAAAGCTAATACATAACAAATTTAATGATAATACAAGTGTAGAATGGACAACAAAGGGGTTGTGCATAATCATCAAGTACTTCTCATTAGTAAAAACCCTTTTCATTTGCTTAGAATTGAGGAGGAGGGGATGCTCTAAATTGAGGATTCTCCATAGGGTCGTCCGTGAGACACAAGATGTTGACTGTCCCACTTACCCAGGACATGGGTATCCTTTTGATGCTGACAGCATTTGCTGCTGCTTTCCAGGGAATCATGGCTGACATTGAACTTCCACTGCCTCTGGGCTGCTTTGCTCACTCCTCCTAGGCAGGCAAGCCGACCCTTGGGAAGCTCAGCATTTAGCCTTCATGCTTTGGTTTCTTTGCCCTTTTTTTTTTTTTTTTTTTTTTTGAAACTTTTATTTGCTCTGGGACCACTTTGAGGTTGAAGGTACAGCCCACAGTTTAAGAAAACTGTCCCAAACCTGAGCTAATAAACAAGAGTAAAAGCCTTTTTCTCTTGTCATTACTACTTCCTCCTCACTGACTAATTAGCCAGCTGCTGCAGGTCTCATTAAACTTCATTAATCCTAAGCATCTGTCTGTAGGAACTGCCTCAAGATAAAAAGAGGAAGCTCCGCTAAACATTTTTGTTGCTGCTGCTAATTACCACAAGCTATGCTTTTTATTAATTAATGGCTCTACTTGCCTCCAAATCCTACTGAAGAACTTTGCGAGACAACAGGCACTTCATTCTTCTGTAGCTGCAGACATGCTGCTCTGTGGTTTGGTGCATGGGGTACCTGTAAATTATCAGCACCGAGAATACGCTAGCTCTGGAAACCAAGGTAGAGAAAAAAATACATCTGGAAGTCTGGTTATGTGTAACTTGAACTTGCTCAAAGCCTTCAGCTGACACTGATGCTTTTTAAAAACATGGCAGTGATAAATTATTTCATCACTTTGCTCAAATACATTAATGCAAAACATTACAAAACTAGTTTTCTTGACTCAGCTTCCAGGGTCTAAGAAAGCATTTTATTGGGGGGTTGTGATGCCAGAGCATAAGGGATGTTAAAGGTGACACTTAAAAAGGAAGGTGTCGATCTTGGTTCTGGTCTGGTGGTGCCTGAGAGCAGGGACTCCTTGAAGGTGCAAGATGAATTACACTCCTCCCAGGTGTCAGGCAGGGGAGAGAAGCACCCTCCATTTAGAAATATGGAGGATTAGCCAGGCATAGTGGCGGGCGCCTGTAGTCCCAGCTACTCTGGAGGCTGAGGCAGGAGAATGGCGTGAATCCAGGAGGCGGAGCTTGCAGTGAGCCGAGATCATGCCACTGCACTCCAGCCTGGGTGACAGAGCAAGACTCCGTCTCAAAAAAAAAAAAAAAAAGAAATATGGAGGATTCTTTCTGATGAGGGCTTCTGCACTGAATTACGTAAAACTCCCATTTCGGAATTATCAGGAATTAAGGTGGCAGGATACCTTAAGAGATTTAATTCAGTGTGGTCCATTTAGGTTGGGGGGAATCTTACTGAGCATTAAGGCTTGAACCCCATTTCATATCAGTTGGAGCCAAAGGTCCTTGCTAATGTAGAACTCTCTGTAGAGTGGTGGGGGCTATCAAGTCAAACTGCTGGGACTGTGCTTGCTTCGTGACTGTGGGCAAATAACTGAATTTTTCTAGGCTTGAATTTGCTCTTATACAAAATATGTTTGGTGGTAAGAGTACCTACTTCACAGAGTAGTTGTGAGAATTGAGTTTTAATGAAGTGCTTAGAAGAGTACCTGGCCCTAGTAAACACTCAGTAAACCCTGACTATAGGGGTGGACATGGAAGAAGATAATTTAATTCCTCCGTCATCTAGGACCATGCTGGAGCCCTTCCCACTTGCGTAGCTGAAGCACTGGTGGATGAACCCCCATTTGCCTCTGATCTTATTCCTGCCGCTGCTTGGTGATGTCCCCTGGACTCAGTTGTCAGCTCTGAAGCTTTGACCCCTTGACTCACCTCTGGTCAGTTGGTCCCACAGTGCTTTGCTTGATCCTCTCTGTTGCCATCTGTTCCCATGCGGTATAATTACCTGTTAATAAGGCTGGTGTCAGTAAACTGTAAACTCTTTCTGCTTCTGCGTCTATCCTTATTTCCTACTGCTTAGTAGAGCAATTTAAAACCTTTTTAAGAATGGATTTGCATTTCCTGTAGATGAAACCTGAGGTGGAACCCCAGTAAATCAAGGGTATGAAATGGGAGCTTTTCTGACCAAAGTGTAGGTGAGAAGATACCTGGAGGCTGACCCTGGGCTTTGCTCTTTCTGCATCCCTTGCTAGGAACATGGTTTGAAAACTACTCCCCTGGCATCCTGTAGACCCCAGTGTTTCTTCAGTGAATGTCACTTTTTAAAAATTAATATCCTTAGTGTCTCCATCTATTACAAGGAAGTATTAATGTTTGTTTGCCGTATTATGCTTACAAATGTTATATAAAGTTAACTACCAATTTAGTATGCCCCAGAAGAAAGACATGAAAATTCAGGGTGGCATTTTATTTTAGCATATTCATTGAAGGCAGCAGTACACATAGGACCTTTTGTGATGCCCCAGAAGAGTATGTTTTCCTCCAGTGAGTGCTCTTTTTATTCCTACTCATCAGTCCCAGACCCATCGGGTGAACCTCAATTCTCTTATCAAATAAAAAATCATTTCATATTTTCCCCTTTAATGGGAACGCTCTTTAAATTTTTCAAAATTAATATGTGCTCCTAAAAAAACAAAAACAGAAAACCAGCAGTGTATTCATAGAAATACAGAAGTGGAAATGCCTCCTGTCTGCTTCTACTCCCTTGAGAGAAGACGGTTAATAGTTTGGAAGATATCCTTCGATATCTTTTTATGCAGTTACTTACATTTAAACATATACATTCGTAGGATCATACTGAATATTATACACTGTTCTATAAGGGACTCTTGCATTCAGTAATATTATATGGCCACTTTCCGAAGCCTGTATGCTGTAGGTTTTCCTTACTCTTTTTAATGCATACATATTATTTTATAAGGATGTCCCGTATTTTAATTATTCAACCTATTAATGTATATTTAGTTTCTAGTCTTTTCTGTTTTGCTGTTGCTATTCTTTTTGACAATTATTTTTTAAATCTGTAGTGCACATTCTGTACATCTTCGTTTTCTTGCACAAATATTTCTAGAAAACAAATATCTATAGATGTGATTAGTAGATGGAGGAAATACATACTATAAATTTTGATATCACTACTTACCTTCTCACCAACCACATGTGAGTGTCCTAGTTTCTCCACACCTTCAGTAGGTGAAAGGATTTGTCTTTCAAATGTTGTATAGAATAGGGTTATAGTTTATTTTCCCCTACTTCCACCTAGTCCTGAAAGTGGATCCTCTGCTATCTGCCACCCCAGCAGAACATCTATAAGTTTCCAGCCCTTCCCACCCAGATCCAAGATTATTATCTTTATGGAGGCTGTTGAGAAGCAGCCAAGGTCATTATTAAACAATAAAATGCCCCTGAAGAACAAATCAGCAAGAGCAAGAAGCTTCCTAGGCTATGTCAAGGTAGCTGAACAATAAGACTACACCTAAGACAATATTGGCTTACTGTCTCCCTCCTTACACCCAAACTGACAAAACTACAAACAGCCAGGTCCCCACACCTGTTGGAAGCACCTGACTTTTTGGAGTGGGAGATAAAGGCTTGCGTGTAGGGACAAGGGAGAGGTGGGGTGGGAGGCTTGCAAGTGGATGCATTCATGGATGTTATAAAGATCTGTATTCCGTTTTATGGGAAGAGATTTACATTTAAGTTTAGCAACACTGCAAGAGGTTTACATTTCCAAAATTAATAGAACAACAGAAAAATCAGATCTCCCCATTTATGCCCTCTTGTTCAAAACTTTCCTTTTTCATTTGAAGAAAATTAAATTTAGACAGATGACCAGTTTTAAGCTTAGAAGATTCAATATGACCAAGACCATACATTGTCTTGTATAAAAGTGTGTTTAAAGCTTTGGTTAGTGTTCCTATAATGCAAAATAGGTTTTGATTTAAAGTAACAACACAGAATACTCTTGTGTTCTATGAACTGTCAACTGCCCTGCCCTCTTCTGATGAGTGTGAGGGATCTTATGGTGCTACCCTGCCTGTTGGCTAGTCATCTTGGGGTTGAATCTGAGGTCATTTTTTCCTCCAGTTTTTCTGTCCTCCTCTATTAAAACAAGGCAATGTACATTGGGTACTTACAGGATTTGTCCACCAAAACTCTGTAGTATTTGGCTTTGAAAGAAATCTTGTATAACCATTTTATGTGTGAGGTTGAGGAAAGCCACAAAGGAAATTAGCAGAAGTGTTTTTCAGTGTTTGACCCTATGTGTAATAACTTTCTCTTTTACATGTTAAGATATCTTTAAAATAATTGAATGGTAGCTGAGTATCAATTGTCTAATGCTGTGAGCTCTCATGGAGTCAGAAATTACTCCTTACATTTTTAAAGAGAGAACTCTTAATGCTTTTAGATGTCCTTCCCAGTGTCCTTATATTAGTTACTCGATAAATGGTTGCTGTGGACTAATCCAAGATGAAAAAATGACAGGCGACCTTTATGGCTGAATGTTGGGTATTAGTGTTCTGCCTGGAATAATTTTTCAGGCAGTGGAATAGTTGGCTGAGTTGAAAATATAACCGTGGATTGGGTCAGCCTATCATTCAATAAATTACTTCCTGAATGAAGAATACTCTGTGAGAAGTGAAATTTTGAGTTACACATTGGGATATGATATCACTTAGAAAATAGTGCTAAACTTTAAAATTCTTTAGTTTCAGAATTTTCTAAATCAGGGAGGGGCTTGTCAGTATAAAATTATACATTTTGTTTTTTGATCTTGTCACAGTTGTTCGTGACTTCTGAAATCCAAGTGTGGTTTGGAGACGACTTTACCCCACTCCTCCCCAAACACACATTGGTAGTCCGTGGCTTACTTGCGTAGACAACTGTGATTGTGGAGTTTGGCACTCGAATTGAGACAGTCGTATTTAATTTATCAATCTGTCGTTTCAACCCTGAACTTTTCTACAATGGGTTATGGTCACTGGCCAAAAAGGGTTTAGGTGACTCATGTGTAATGTTCTTCAGAACAGAAGCCAATTTTTAAATCCTTTTGTATTTATGTTCATTTATTTTTAAATATAATTCCTCTTCTCATTAAGTGGAATCTTGTCATAATTCTATAGTTTCAAGTGATAACTTGGCATTGCTGTGGCTTTCTTTATTCCAAAATGCTAATCCTTTGCAGATAAATTTATACATTCTGTATAGTCTGATTTGGAGGACTTCTGTATCTTAGCTTATCTTAGATGGGAGCTTCCATAATTCATTCAGGGATTAGTCAGTGCTATACTGTGCATGCATAGTAGACAGCTCTGTGTGGTGGCTTTAAGTCTTTTGACTCCCCCTCTTTCTGGTCTTTGTGTCTTTCTGGTTTAAAAGAAAAAATATCCCTCAGACCTTAGCTTTTTGGATTCAATGAATTACTGTTAACTTTGACATCCTCATTAAATAGGAGAGCTGTCGGAAACTGTCAAGAACGGCTGGAATTGGTACTGTTATCTTGTTGGCGACGTCAGCTTCTGTGGGCATCTGTGCAAAAACATTGAGGTAGAGCAGAATCCTCTTCTATCTTGAATGTCTGAAAATAATGTGACTGGTGTGTTTGAAAGAGTTCTATTTTTCCCTCTTTGCCCTTAATTATTTTGGCCTTAAGGATTCCGGAAACCTGGAGTAGATTGAAAACCATAATAAGCAAGGGCCGGGGAGCATGTTATTTGATTTTTTAATAAACTACCTCTGACTAGCTTACACGCCCCGTAGAACATTAAGGCTACTTTTTGTGTATATTGCATGAAATAAGAAACATCACAAATTTGAATTCTCTCTCAATACCTCTGCTTTATCCAAGGCTCCTACAACAAAAGCCTACCTTTAGCCCTTGAAAATGAAGTAGAGGATTTTATCTTTACTGGTGAATTTGTGTGCCACATGGTAGACTAGTATAGAATGTAATATTTACTGCTTCTTTAATGTTCCTTAGGAAGAATATCACACAGACATCTCCCTTCTCCATATGTTGCAATTATACTACTTTCATGAAGTCTTGAGTGTGCCTGTTACGGTTGGTGCGCTTTAAAACATTCTTTTCTACTTAGTCTGTATTCGTGTTAACGTTCTGCCATTCTGTGTTAAGTTCTGCCGTTCTGTGTTGTTTAGTAATTAAGTGTATGGTATCTATTTAGTTCTAAGTTTTTCCTAACTTTTAAGGGCATTGCAAGTTACCCTCAGCCCACCTTGGATTGAAGTCCCCTTCCATGGAGGACTGGAGGAGAAGAGGTGATGGTGTATGAAGTGTCCATCAAAATAAGAGCTGAAGAGCCTTCAGCTTGTGGGGAGGGCTGGAAAGTTGGAAGATCAGGCCTCAAGCTGTTCCACCCTTCTCATCCTTTGAAGGTGAGGGTGCAGCCTTGAGGTCTAGCCTGTGGTGATTACCATAGTTTGTCCCTCCTGCCAAATGGGGTGGCACACTCCATCCCGTAAGTGAAGGTAACCAGATAAATACCCACTCCGCTGGGGAGTGGAAGGGGCCCCGAGTTCACCCTGTGACTGACCTGACATGTGGATATCACTTACCAGAAAATGCTTGTGGCTACTGAGCATTAACCTGGCAACATATTCAATAGCAAAATTTAAAATAGTACCCAGTGTGGTGCCTTGCTCATAGCAAGCACTTAGTACCTATTTGCTAAGCTGATTTTAATTTGAAGTGGAGTCTAACAAATGGGATGTGGGATCAACAGTATTATTATATTGAAATGTTTTAAACCAGGACATGCCAAACTTTTTCTATAAAGGACCAGATAATAACTGTTAGGCTTTGTGGGCCACATGGAGTCTCTATGGGGTATCATCAGCCTCCTCCCCTTCCTCTTCCTCCTCCTTTTAACCACCCTCTTAAAATGTAAAACCTGTGTGTCTCCCAGGCTACATAAAAAGAGGCTACTGGCTGAAGTTTGCTGACTCCTATTTTATATTAATCTTTTAACTCAGTCTGAAGGAACTGACCAGACATGGATGGTTATGAGTTTTTTCTTCTTGTTTTGGGGAGGTGATGTCTTGTTTTCCTCAGGCAGTGTGGGATGGTGGTTGGAACTAAATAGATACCATCCCACACTCCCTGTGTGGGATGGAGTGCCTCAGGTGCTTTGGGATTCTGTAGGGTTCAGATAAATGTGGGCTCTAATTCTGGGTGTTTATTTGCTAGCAGCATGCCCTCGGGGGGATCCCAAAACCAGTCTGTGCCTCAGCCACCTCAGTTAGTTAGAAATCACAGGCTGTAATGAAGGAGGGAAAGTGAGTGAAGATCCTAATGCAGCATCACTAGTGCACACCTGGGCTTACTTCAGCCTTTGCCCTAACTGATCAGTCACCCTGACTGCAGTTCCCATCCTGTAGAGATGGAGAGTAGCAGGTTAATGGGCTCAGGATATGACTTCCTGTATGTGAAAGCAGTTTGGAAGCATGCTACCCATTTTTAGTCAAACACAGTGAACAGTTACTGAGAATTTTATCACAAGGTCCTAATTCTGTTTTTTTACATTTGCTTTTTCCACCTGGTTTTGGCACCTTACACTATTGGTTTTTTTTGTTTTGTTTTTTAAAAAATATTTTTAACTTTTGTGGATACATAGTAGATGTATATATTTATGGGGTATGTGATGTTTTAATATAGGTATGTGATGCTTAATAATCACATCGTGGAGAATGGGATATCCATCCCCTCAAGCATTTATCTTTTGTGTTACAAACAATCCAATTATACTCTTAGTTATCTTTAAATGTACAATTAACTTATTATTGATTAATTCACACTGGTTCCCACCTTAGCTCTCATCTTAGAAGAGGTAGTTGTGTTGCTTTGCCTCTTATTTTCGGAGAAAGCCCCCATCATAACCTCAGCTCCCTCCAGAGTCTTGGCTTCTTATGGATTGTGACTTTATGCGGCTCACCTTGACGTACGACTGTGACAGAGGCAGGACCCTGGTGACAGAGCCTCATTTCTCAGTTATTGTGGGTCTCCTCTCAGAAGTTGTGCCTGCAGTGCCTTGGTCTCCACATTGGCAAACTGGGGTTGTGCCGCTCAGAAGAAAGGCCCTCTGGAAGCTGCAGGAGGGACTGCCCAGCAGATGCAACCTGTAGGTGCCAGGTCATAGAGAGCTCATGGTGGGTTTTGTAGTCGGCCCATCAGACAGTTACTAGCAGACAATTGCATATTTGCTTCACATGCATTTAGAGCAAATATTTACATGTGTTTTGTCCATGATGCAAGTTAAACAGTTAAGGAAACTATTGTAACTCAAATTCTATTTTTATACAAATCAGCAAACATGAATTTAAGGCCTTCAGACTAGTCCGTCACAGGGAGGACTTCAGTCAAAAGATTAGTTTCCTTCCTGTTGCTGCCTCAAGATAACAGTTGGATTCTCTGTTATCAATACAGCCAGCTGCCTGTTTCCGGCTTCCTGCTCTGTGTATTTTGCATGTTACTCATGGGAAATGATTTATTTATTTTTTCAAGCTAAGGCATATAGGGGGACTCCACCCTACCACTATTCTTTTGTTTTGAGTTAAGATCCTTTTTTATTCTTTATTTTAAAACAGTTCAAGAATTAAACTTTAATATATAAATTGTTAAAGTTGCAACAAATTAAGTCTTGTGACAATTGACCTGATTGGGTCATGTTTAAATAATGTTGTAATATGTTACAATGATGTCCTAATCACACCGTTGTGTATTTTGCAACTTCACTTTACCGTACAGGTATGTGGTGGCAATTGCCCAAAGATAAAACAAGCAAACAAAAAACAGAATTTGTCAAACATTTTAGTTTGGCTCTGGACCCATTTTAGTCTGAATGACAGCACCACAAAATTGCATTTTTATCCGTATTTCAGACATTGAGGAATTGCAAGAAGCAGTTCACCTGTCATATATTTTTAGTGCTATACAATGACAACATTTAACTGCCTAGGGCCTGTCTTTGTGATATGAAATTTCCCTCCTCAACAATTTCAGTGAGACCACCACCAACAATAAGATTTATCGAGAACCTAGTTGTTGGACACTGGAGGTTTGCTGACTCATTGAACAAATGTTTATTGTGCACCTCCTTTATGTCATGTATATGCTAAAGCTCTAAACATGAATAGGATTGAGCCTTTGCCTCTGAGCCAACTGCAAGTTAATTGAAGAGATAGGACACAAGACGTATAATAAAAGATGAGAGACCACATCCCATCAAATGATGATTGCTGACATCTGATAGGAGAGGGCCTCTTGGTAGAACTAATCTTGGCTGGATCTTAAAGGAAGGGTAAGAGAAAACTGCCTTCTAGGTTAGAAGAATGATAGAAGCAAAGATGGGAAAAAGCAGTGTGCAAGGTGAGAGTTCAGAGCATGAGAGTAAGACCTGTTAGGTTGGAACAAAAGACGGCATGTCAGGGAAGTTCCCAGATGAAGCTGATGCCTTAGGAGAGCCCGTTTGGGACCTTTAAATGCCAGGTTCAGAGATTTGGACTGTCTTCTGGATAGCTGGGGTCCGTTGAAGGTTTTGGTGCAGTGCTGCAACTTTGAAAAACCACTGATTGAGGAACATGGCTATGGTAGTGATGTTTAAGGTGGATTAGAATGCGGAGAGAGGCCCAAGGCAGGGGAGTTCAGTTGGGGTCTGAAACCACCCAAATTGTGGTGAGCTTTGTTCAAAACACGCAAAAATAGATTGTCAAAATTATTCTCTTAGCAACTGATCTTGTACTTCTTTGTAATGTCTTTTTGTTATTTTTTAACTTTTTATTTTGTATCCCCAGCTAGATTTCTAGTTCATTGAGGGTAAGAGACTTTATCTTAGACACAGAGTTCTAGGTAAAGTATGCACTTTGTAATATTGGAGCTCACTAATACTCTCAATTTCAGATTAGTCAGCTAACACAGTATTATTGATTTAAATAGTGGGGATATGTTCATGGGATGATTGCTTCCTCCCCTTTTGATTTCTTCTTAACTTCCATCCCTGTAATTCCTTTCTTTCTTACTTTGAACCCAAGACTACACCTAACTTAACTATATGTCTGTGCAAAGCAAAAACTACATGATTGCTGTCTCTTACTTAGGGGGTAGGCCATTATCTTAGCACAATTGAAGAGCCTGATAGAAAATATTACTGGGTTATACGTGCAGGTTCAGACTACTTGAAAAGTAAAAGAAAGATTCCTTCTCTTAAGCCAGGTATAAATTCAGTCTTTAGGGGAACAATGAATAGGGTCTTTTGACAGTTCCTGATTCTATGTTTCCTTTTTTTTCCATCCGGAGATGTTCCATGCCTTCAGGCTTTCCTTCATTCCTGGCTCCCATCCCTTTCCATAACCAGAACTGTGGCATATGGTGAATATAGTTGTGTTTAGCACTCTGTGCTGAGGGTATTGCAGAAAGATGCCGTACAATCATTTCCATCATGCAGTGCCCTTCTGCTCATCAAAGCTATTTCTGTATCCTAACTTGACTCACGCTAACACAGTGTTCATTTTTTCAGTTATAGCAAATTCTCTAGAGTAAATAAATATGGGGCTGGGTGCAGTGGCCCACACCTGTAATTCACTTTGGGAGGCTAAGGTGGGAGGATCACTGGAGACCAGGAGTTTGAGGTCAGCCTGGGCAATCTAATGAGACCCTATTTCTACAAAAAAAAATGAAAAAGCCAGGTGTGATGGTGCATGCCTGTAATCCTAGTTACTCTGGAGGTTGAGGTGGGAAGATTGCTTCAGCCCAGGAGTCCAAAATTACAGTGAGCTGTGATCACACCACTACACTCTAGCTGGGGTGACAGACTCCTTCTCTAATATATTCATTGGTTAATTAATTTAAAAATATAAATTAAAAAATTACATAGACGCATTACAGCCTTTCAGTATTTATCACAGTCATTCCCTAAAAAGAAAAGAAGTAGATGTTATGCTTCTAGAAGAGGATGATGGTGGAGAGGATATTCACAGCCCTTTTTTTTAACCATTAAGCAAATGTGTTTCTCAGTTCTAAATATTTCATACTTTTTTTTTTCTTTTTTCTTTTTTTTTATCTGAGACAGAGTTTTGCTCCTGTTGCCCAGGCTGGAGTGCAAAGGCACCACCTTGGCTCACCGCAACCTCTGCCTCCCGGGTTCAAACGATTCTCCTGCCTCAGCCTCCCGAGTAGCTGGGATTACAGACATGCGCCACCACGCCTGGCTAATTTTGTGTTTTTAGTAGAGATGGGGGTTTCTCCATGTTAGTCAGACTGGTCTCAAACTACTTCTGACCTCAGGTATTCCACCTGCCTTGGCCTCCCAAAGTGCTGGGAATTACAGGTGTGAGCCAACGCGCCCAGCTACCTCATCCTTTTTTTCTAATACATCTTCTAAGAATTTCAAGTTGTTTATCAGAAACCAAACAACAAAAGATAGTGAATCTCAGTATATGACAGGAGAAGGTGTAGCTATGCATCTTAATCCCTCTTGCCTGGCTGGAGTGGGAGAGAAAGAGCCGAGGACCTCACCACTACTGGCTGGTGACACTTAGCAGCCCTTAACCTCACTGAGCCTTGGGCTTTGCTAGAGATAACTCTAGCATCCCACCTACCTAATAGTTTGCTGTGAAGATCTAGTGAGCTTAGAGAAAGTATGAAGTGCCATTCAGATGCATGGCAATGTTATTGCAGACACACCATCTTATAAAATTCCATCTGGAGGAAGGAGCACCATACTAGGATTTCCCTTATAATTTACTCCTTCTGGGAATCAGAATCTGATGTAAATGCCACTCACTTGAGGGTGGGTTTCTTGTCTCAGTAGTTCTCATTGACAGTAGTTAGCTAATTTACTTATCTCTGAGCCTGTGGAACTAAAGGCTGAGCTGGTTGGGTCTTCACACTCAGAACCATTTCTGGTTCCTAGGTTCTCGGGGCTCCAAGGTCATTTTGGTAGAATTTGTGGTCCTGAGAAGCTTATTTTGAGACCATTGTTAGGAGCCCTTCTTTCTGTCTCCCACCCCTGTCATGTCACAGAGACAGCCTCACCACGTTCCTCCCACGGAGGGCTGCTGGTTCTTTTTGTCCTTTTTTCACTTTGTTTTCCACTTTCCTCCCTGGACTGCCAGAGCTGCAGCTGCCTCGAGTCCTGGGTTGTGTTGGTAGGTAAGTGATGTCCAGGCTGCCTAGAGGTGGGGTCCTCAGGTGTGATCTTGGATCCCACTTGTACCACATTGTACAGCATTGCAAAGAGGGGATGGTGAGAAGTGTTTGAACCTGAGGGCCTTTACATGGAGAAGTGAGGAGACCTATTCTGCATACTCTGAAGGTGGTGCAAGCCATAGTGGGCCACAGAGACAGGTCTAGTCTTGATGGAGACACCATCCCAACAGATGGAGAGTTACCCAATAATGCAGCAGACCCTTTACAAAATAAGGACTTGCGTTAGTTAGGATGGTGAGATGGTGGGTAATTCTAAGTCTTGTATCATGGAAACACTTTTTTTTTTTTTTTTTTTTTTTTTTTGAGACAGAGTCTTAACGCTGTCGCCCAGGCTGGAGTGCGGTGGCATGATCTTGGCTCACTGCAACCTCCGCCTCCCAGGTTCAAGTAGTTCTCCTGCCTCAGCCTCCTGAGTAGCTGGGTTACAGGTGCGTGCCACCATGCCCGGCTAATTTTTGTATTTTTAGTAGAGACGGGGTTTCACCATGTTGGTCAGGCTGGTCTTGAACTCCTGACCTCATGATCCGCCCACCTCGGCCTCCCAAAGCTGGGATTATAGGTGTGAGCCACTGTGTCTGGCAGAAACACTTTTTTAAATGTTGTGCGTGAGGCATTATTGCATAGTGGATGAGAACCAGGGCTCTGGAGCCAGCCTGCCTGGAGAGTTGCTGGCTCCTGCCTCATGGGGCAGTTGTGGGGATTGATTATAAGTGCAGTTAGCCCTCTGTATCTGCAGGTTCCTCATTTGTGGATTCAGCTGACAACAGAACGAAAATATTTGAAAAAAAAATTAACAATACAATAGAATACAAATAAGATGCAATATAGCAGCTGTTTACACAATATTTACATTGTATTAGTTATGAATAATCTAGAGATGATCTAAAGTATACAGGAAGATGTATGTTGGTTATAGGCAAATACTATATACCATGCTATATAAGGGACTTGAGCATAAGGAGTTTGGTTTCTGAGGGAGGTCCTGGAACAAATTCCCCGTAGATACTGGGATTAGATACGGAAGGACGACTGTGCCTGGGACATAGTAAGTGCTCAGTGAATGCTATAATTATATTTTAATAAAAAAGAAAAAAAGTCATTTTCTTTCCATACAACTATTAAACAACCTTCTGCCACACACACATAATTTCCTCATATTCTGGGATTTTTAAATAGCTGGCCCAGGTGTTGAAGAAGGGATTTTTTGAAAGAGAAGTGATTTACATAACTTCTAAATCTTGTTCAGTCCTGAGATTTTACGATTCCATGACCCTCTGGTAAGTTTCTTTTTTTTTTTTTTTTTTGAGACAGAGTTTCGCTCTTGTTGCCAAGGCTGGAGTGCAATGGCACAATCTCGGCTCACTGCAACCTTTTTCTCCTGGGTTCAAGTGATTCTCCTGCCTCAGCCTCACAAGTAGCTGGGATTAGAGGCATGTGCCACCACACCTGGCTAATTTTGTATTTTTAGTAGAGACAGAGTTTCACCATGTTGGTCAGGCTGGTCTCAAACTCCTGACCTCAGGAGATCCACCTCTCAGCCTCCCAAAGTGCTGGGATTACAGGCATGAGCCACTGCACCTGGCCAATTTCTTAAATGATTTGAATTAGTGAGACTATTTCTTTGCTGGAGAAAAGACGGAACTAATTTAGAGCAGTTACAACACTCTGGGCACTTTGATGTGCACTTTACCTCCTCTTGTTTGGTGCTGGGCAGTCTTTAGATGAGTCCTTATAATACGTAAGCTTAGTAAACTGCGGGAGGGTGGGGGCAAATATAGCTGAGAGATACCCCCAGAGGGCAGGGGCACAGAAGTGCTTGTTCCTTGGAGGCACCACTTACCAAGTTTGGGGCAGGGCTGGTTGGGAACCTACTGAAAGGTTTAGCTGCGTCAGCTTCTTGGGGAGGACTTGATAACAGCGATACAAGGCCCAGAAAAGGTAAACGGAGAATGGAAATGGTGTGAGGCACAGAAGTGCCCACCTCACATCGCCCAGACCCAGCCCGCCCCAGCTCCATGCTGCTGGTGCTGCTGCTCCTCTGCCTTGCAAAGGGCGTGCCCTTGGTGGCGTGAGTGGGCCTGAAGGCCGGCCATTTCTGCTGCCTTCGAGCTGACCTGCAGGTCATCAAAGAGAATGATGAAAGAATAGCAACCCACCTTGGAGGGGTGCTCTCTGGGGAGTGTCTTCCAAGATTTCTCAACCTAGCACCGCTGATATTTTGGGCCAGATAATTGTTTGTTATGGGAGCCATCCTGTGTACCGCAGGATGTTAAGCAGCATCCTGGGCCTCTACCCTCTAAATGCCAGTAGCATCTACCCATGAATCGTGACCATCAACACTGTATGTAGACATTGCCAAACTGCTAAATGTGCCGAGGAATCAAAATTGCCCCTGCTGGAGAACCTTGGGTCTAAATAACCAAACCAGTATGGAGCTTGTAAGTGCTACCTTTTTGTACCTTTTTGTACCTTTTGTACCGTGGTTGTAAGAAGCAACCACGGTTGCTTCATGCTCATAGGCCTGGAAGTCGGCTCACTGCCCTCTGCTGCCCCAACACCTCCTCACGCAGCTAGCCCCAGTCACAGCAGCTTGAGCTTGGAAGCACTCCTGGATTGCCTTTCATCGTCAGTGCCAAGGGCCTCCTGCTCCTCCTCAGACTGTCTGGCCCATATCCCCAAGCCTTGCTGGGTGGGGAGTGCAGGGGTGATGTCATTGTGCCTTCCCAGGATAGGTGGAACAAAGGAGGGAGTCCCCAAGGACCCGAAGCCTGATCCTCTACTGAGCCACCAAATAGATTTCTTTTCCCCTCTGTCTCCCTCCTTCCAACTTCATAAGCATTTGCTGTTCTCCAAGTGCTCCATTGTAAGAGGACACGCTAGTTGACTGGGGCTTTGTGTGTCTCTGTTGAGTCCGTTTCCTGCCCCTCGTGTGTTATGAGGGTGTTGATTCTGGTCTGGTCCCCGGATGGAATCTTCTGTGTCTTTTCCAACGTGGGGGTGTGAACCTGAGGAACTTAGACCCTGCGTGATTTTTCCAGCACTCTTGCACTTCGTGGGGCCTGCTCCTGACTGTGAGGAGAGTTCGAAGGGAGGGGAACAGGAAGAGAGGGCAGGAACACAAGAGCTTGTTTTTTTATTTTTGACATCTCTTCCTCCTCTTCTTTCCTCCCACCTACTTTGAGTTTCTAAGAACCATGATAGCCCTGGGGAGCCCTCCCGGCACAGATCTCAGTCTGTTTCAGCTCTGTTCTCTGCACCCACCCATGACCTCTCCATTTGCCTCTCTGTAGGGAGGAGGGTTGGGATTGGGCTGTAACTCTTTAGGACAGGGCACTAAGGAAGTATATTGACTGTTGTTTCTGGCAAATCCTCAGAGTTTCCTTGTGAAAGAACCTGTTAATTCAAAACCTGAAAGAAGTCTGGGTGCTCCTTTAGTGAGAGATTCACCCAAAAGAGTGACAATTGGCTGAGGAACACATTTTGTGCTTGTTTATTTAGAAATATTTTAATCCAAGCAGGTTTTCATTTTGATCTTGCTCCCTTGCTTCATTAAAGACATTTTCTGACTCCAGTATAACGCATAAAGGATTTTATAATTCACAAAAAAAATTGTTAACCCTAAATACATATAAACTATGAGTTACTTGCCTCCTTGATAAGAGGCCATCTGTGAAATGCACCTTACATATTCTGCTCTAGACCTGCTCTTTCAGAATGGCCAAGCTTAGCCCCAGAATTACAGCTCCTGAGTCACTGTAGTAAAGTTGCCATCCATCACAATGATTACGTGATCAATAATGCATGTGGTCTTTTCTGTGGGACCTGTCATGATGTTATTGGTGCAGCTGCTTCTCCACTGCAGCCTGCCCCTTACTGTCTTTTTCTGCTTCCTCTAATCCTGTCCTTTTTGATCCTGTGTTTCTGGTTGGCCTTTGTCCCTGGGGAAGGGCCCTCCTTCTGTCTGGATGGGTAGGTCCTTTTTGGGAAAGGCAGGACCTCAAGGAGCCGCTGACTGTAGCAGGTGGCCGGGGATCTTGGCAGGTGCCCCAGCTGATTCTCCTGCCAGGTCGGCAGCTGTAAAACCTCAACCAATGTCATCTCTGCCTCATTCCCTCCCTGTGGTGGGTGGTGGAGTGAGTTTAGCAAAGCCTTCAGACAGACCTTCCCAGGGTGTTGGGCTGTTTGCTGTCCTTCTGGCCAACCTGAGAACCCAGTACTCTCAGGCGACTGGGCACATGCCTTATTAGCAAGGGTGGCTTTTTAGTTGTTACCCCCACCCAGTGGTTTTGAAATACATGCCAAATTGTTGAGCTATCTGCTTTTTTTTTTTTTTTTTTTTTTTGTAGATTCGTGTGTAATTATTTTTGTCATTTGGGTTTGCACTAGGAGTAGGTCTTAGATTTTTGGCATAAATTCATGCTGGTGGAACTAGATATAGTGTATGTAACATAGAGAACAGAGTCAGGGAGTAAGAGTGGTTGGGTCCAGGGTACGTTCTGTGGATGTCTGTTGAAGGTCTTCAGCAACCTATGTTTAGAACATTCTGCAGAGGCAAGAAGTTTGAAAGCCTATTTGTATGGTATGTGAAGGCCAGTTCTGGGCAAATATGTCTAGAGTTTTATACCTTAAATTGGACAGAATTTGATTACTGAGCTTTGAAAAACCTTTAACACTGTTTCCTGGATGACTTGAATGTACAACAATCACGCTTTAGACCATAAATCAGCAGTTGCCTTTTCAGCGAAGGATCACAGTATGGAGATTATATTTTTCTTCTCCTTTTATAGAAGAGAACATTGAATCCTGTGTTGAGTCACATTTTTGTTGAAACCTTGGGCCCAGACCCTGCTTTCCCGATGCCTGCAAAGACTTCCCGATGCCTGCGATGTCTTTGCACTCTACCATGTTGCTTGCCATTTTCTTTTGTTGTTCATGGTGTGTGTGACTGAGCAGGTGAAGACGGTCATTGCCAAGGTCATGAGTTAATTTATCTTGTCCAGTGTTGCCCAATCCTTTGTAGATGAGGGAAGCAGTTTTCTGCTGTCTCATGAGATTTCCTACCCTACACCCTTTAATATACTCACCTTTTGGAGGAATAATAGCTGTAACATGTATGTAGGAAGCTTTACCAGTCAAGTATTATGGTATAGGGCAGGACTGCAAAGGACCCTGTTGTCATCTGCATCCTGCTGCCTCTTCAGCAGGGATGGGAGAAAAGAAAGGGGAGCAAAGGATGTTCTGCTGGCAGTGTGCCTGGGAGCTCACATGTTTAAGGACTGGACAGTTCCTACACAGATGCTCCTTGACTTATGAGATTATATCCCAGTAAACCCATCGTAAAGTCAAAAAATTGTAAGTTGAACCATCAGTAATCAGTGTTCTTTCTCAAAGACATGACCGCAGTTAAGGGGCGCTAAGTAGAGGTGTCCTTGGAGGTCAGTTTTGCTGACCTTCCTCTGGCTGGGGTCTTGTGGCCCTGCTAGCATGTGCCTGCTCCTGCCAGTTCTGTGGTCAATGGTAAAACAAGTTCTTCTCTGCTTGCAGATGAGCGTGAAGCCGTGCAGAAGAAGACCTTCACCAAGTGGGTCAATTCCCACCTTGCCCGTGTGTCCTGCCGGATCACAGACCTGTACACTGACCTTCGAGATGGACGGATGCTCATCAAGCTGCTGGAGGTCCTCTCTGGAGAGAGGCTGGTGAGTGGAGACCTTAGGAAGTGCCGTGTGTTGTAGGTGGAAAATATTTTTGAAAAATCAAGTGTGACTTGTCTCCTGTTGAATTCTGCACTTAATGGTTGATAGTTTTGAGGAGAATCTTGAGAAGTGAGTTGAGCGCTTCAGGGAGAGCCTTAGTGTCACATTCTGAGCGTGGATGATGTTCTTGAGCTGTAATAAAGCCACTTTGTTCTGGTAATTTGCAAGGTTGCCACCTTTGGTCAGAAAGAACTTGGCTGGGGTTCCTGCCAAGAACAGGGCATGGTGCTGGAATTTGAAGGGCCAGGCTTGGGCGCTGGCTTCTAGATGAACCTGTGTCCCACATGCGATGATGGAATGTTTTCTAAATTTGTGTCTTTCTGGTTGTCTAGAAAATCTGAGCTGCCATCTTAAGGTGGCAAGCATTGAATTCAGTGGCCACTGATGTTTTCTTCCCTGCACGCTTTTTATTTTGGGAGTGGAGGGAGAAGCTGGTGTTTTGTCATCTCCTTGGGAAAGGAGCTTCTGATGAATTCACCCTGCCTTTTCAGGCAGGAAAGTTGTCAGCCTGCAATGAAAATTGTATCCCCAATCTGTTTCCCAGAGCTGCTGCGGCCCTCTCTGATGTGACTCTTGTTTATGCACCTTATACCAAAGAAGCTTAAAGCAGTCACTGTGACTGATCCAACAGGTTTTGTCTCACCTTGGTTTGAAAATGGTTGCTGTATCCTCCCAGAGCACATGTAGTGCCATAGGTGGAAGTGGTGCCGAGCCAGAAGCCAACGCCCAGAATGGAGACCACATCTGTACTGACATCACCAGGAAAATATGATGCTGGCAGTTGGCAGGGCTGCCAGAAAGCCTTATTTTTAACTTGATCTCCACCCTGTAGCTTGCCAGCCGCAGTAGGCCTGTGTGCAGACCTGCCCCACACCTCTGACCGCAGGCAAGGGTCTAAGGTTGTCCCTTGTCCTATTTGTTATCAGCTCAGAGACAGACTGCCTCTTTGAGTCTGGGTTGAAATGGAGCCAGAAAAGTATTCTCTTCCCTGCCCTTCAGTTCAAGAACAGGGCTCTCCAGAAGATAGTGAAGCCCTGTCTTCTCTGTAGTGAGTTTCATCCATGCCCTTTGTTCCTGAGCATGTAGGTCTTGTGGCCTCATTTTCTGTGAGGGTTTGTCGGTCACACTAGACAAACTAGACAAATAACGGAGACCCCTGCTCAAAACCATGATGGCTATAAGAAGGCAGTTGATTTGTGGTCTGGGGGTGAGGGAGTGGACCCACATGGGGAGTTTGAACAGGCCATTTATTGCATTTTGATTTGATTTTCCAAAGTGAGTCTTGTTTGAGAGCCTAGACTAGAATTATTGTGATATGCAGCTTTAAGTATAATTTTTATAACCAGACTTCCTTTGTCTACCTCTCAACCTTTTTTTGTTTCTTAGTGTTTAACCTAGTATGTTTATTTATTGATTTTTTTTTTTTTTTTGTGGAGTGGGGGAATGGTGTTTTGAAAGTAGCTAAAAAAAATCATTAAAGGTCACATGGATAGGAGTTAGTCTGAACATTTATTTTTGTGGTTTTTTTTTTTTAATTTATTTTTGTTCCAATAGGGTCCAATCTTCTAGGCTGTAGGGAGTAAACTGTTCACCTTTAAAGACCCATAATTATTTTATACCAAGAAGATTGTGTCCTTGATAATGTCCACATCATAAATGGGATCAGGCCCATTGCCGTTTTTTCTGAACAGGGCAAGAAAAATATAAGTAGGGAGAAAAACCAGTAAAGCATAATTCTTAGATGTGTGTGAGTATCTCCCACTCCTCTCCTTATTTGTTAGCAGTAAGTTTTTTTGTGGCAACCCAGAGACCTAGGAGAGTAAGGATGAAGAAGATGGTACAGTGGCTACCATCTCCAACCTCTTAGGCAGTCGATATCAGTAGTTTTACAGAACTTTGTAAAGCCCCTAGTGCCTTCATTTGTATTACCCATTCTTCACAGCCATCTTGGATTATATAGGTTGGCCAGTCTAATTTTCTTATTCCAAAAATAAAGATACCATAGATAGAGTGCTCTTAAAGCTCTTGTTCATCTGGGCTGGAGATTTTAAGTCTCTTTGGCCTCGTAGTCTGTTTGGTTCATGGAACTTCCTGGAAAGGAAACACACCACACACTGCCTTTGGCCGTGGAGGTTGCCAGGACCTCAAGTTAAAGATCCTCCCTGCAGAAGACCTCCATGAGAGCTTGCCCCAAAGGTTCCTTGCATATTCAGATTCCAGAACTAATGAGGTGGTTAGAGCTTCCAGGCCTGGGTAAATGAATGTCCCAGCTAAGTGTGTCATCAGATAACATTAGCTGGGCTTTCTGCACCAGTGGTCCAAAACCCTGGGTAACATAAATGTTTGCACTCTATCTGGAGCCCAGTCTTTGTCAGCCAGCATTTTAGCCCCAGCACTTAACCACCAGCTTGGCAATAGCTAGCAGATAAATGTTTGAGGGACTAGGTGATTCAATTTACTTAATTAATAGATTCTTAGAGCCACTTCCTTTACAGAGGAGGAAATCTGTGAATGTGTGCATGTGTGTTTTCTGAGTAAAGTTCAAAGAAACATTAATGACCCAGACAATTCCACCCTCACCCCACCCTGGATTTTGGCTCAATAATATTTGAGTTAAATATGAGCAAGTATCATGTAGGCATTTGGGAACTTGATTTTGAACTACTCAGCAACATCACAAGGCAGAGATCTCTGGTCCTGGCCTGGTTATGATCTGTGTCCAGAAGTGTCTGCTCCCTCTCGGTCTCAGGTGTATCAGCTCATAGAGCAGTGAGAAGGCTGAGAGCTGGGCCAGGAAGCTTCTGCTAGTCAGGATTAGATTGATTAGAAATAAAACTATTCTTTTCTCATTTCTTATTCTGAGTTCACTATAGTCTATAACTCTCCATAAAGGTCTCACTTGAAAAATGCCTTAGAAATACAGACCCACCCTTTACTTTAACATTGGATTGGCAGATAAAAGTGTGAGCACAGAACCTGTGCTGGCCACTTAGTAATTAGACCTAGATCTCAGGACCAGAGTAGAATGAGGCTTGAGGGGTGATGGTTTGCCCTGCAGCAGCGTTGACATGTGGAGAGAGAGGAGCCCCTGGCATACGATAGGCCTGCACTTCAATGGTAATGTTCTGCCCACAGCTCATAATCCACTTTAGATGCTCCCCATTGCCTGCCATCTCCCTTCATGGGCGTCTGCAGTGAAGATTGATTCTCACTATGGTGGCCAGTTTTTTGCCTTGCTCCTGGCCAGACTAAGCCCTCGCCTCTGACCGAGATAGAGTGAGGTTTTCCAAACAACTCTGCCCTCCCCCAAACCCCACCAAGTCAGTTATCACTGGTTTTTGCTTCCCTGTTGTTTCCTGATCTGTATTCTGTCTTCTTACTCCATCAGTCATTCTCTGAGAAAGCAACAGAAAAGAGTGTGTGTGTGCGTGCATGTGTGTGTGTTTGTGTATGTTGCCACCATTAATTTCAAAGCAGGCTGAGCTAGGTGGAGAAGATAGATTTAACATGAGATTTGTTAAGCCTCAAATCCCACGTTGAACTGCTCTGAGTTTTTTCATAAAGCCTTTGTTTAAGAGAACCATACTGGTACATATTGTTTATTGAAATAGTGTTTGTGGACTGGCCATGGAACCTCGTTGGGGTTTCTTAAAAACGTCATTTGTATGGGAGAATTTACTTTTGTTTTAAACAACCAGCCACAGAACTCCTACATTAAATGTGGGTCTAATCACACAAACTTGAGAAGTGAACTAAGAGTCCTAAGTGCCACATGATAAAGTGCCAGATGAATGGCCCCAGAGCCCTAGAGTTCAGAAGGGGAGATGAGCCCTCTGGACAGGATGTCAAGAAACCTTAGTAGGAGGGTAGGGTGTGGGTAGGGTTCCAGCTGGGTCCAGGAGAAGAGCTTCACAGGCCGGGCAGCCAGAGTGTGAAAGCTCATAGTTTGGACTAAGTGAAGAGAGCATTTGGAGGTAGCAGGCATCAGGAACTGGCGCAGGGCAAGTTTCCCAGCCAAACTGGAGGGGTTTTTTTTGAAAGGAGTGGTGATGGTAACTTCCCTATCACTTGTGTTTACAGAGTACTCTCCTACTCTTTTCTCATTCAGTTCTTACAGTCTAATGAAGTGGGCAACCTCTGCTTTACAGAAAACAGTTACCAGTGACTTGCCAAGGCCAGTGCTGCTAGTAGGCGATATGGTGTGGACTGCAGCCCACCCTGCTGACTCTTCAGCGCCTCCTTTCCCATGGAGCCCTTAGGAGTGGGTCCCAGCTGGGAACAAGACAGGCAGGAAGTCATGGGACACAGTGTGGTATTCCCCGATTAATTGTAATTGGGCCAAAATAACTAATACTCCTCTGAAAGCTCAAAGTTTCATGTGTTGGGAGGAGTTTGGGGACTAGTGTGAAGTGAGTTTGGCTTTGTAGCATATTAGAAGAAATTTTGGAATTAGTGCTTCCCATCCTACCCTATGTATTCCGTAGAGGCCTTTGTTTGTGAATGTGTATAGCAAAAATCTATGTTTAATTAAAAGAAAAAAACATAAGCAAGTGCCTGTCACACTGATTTGCTGAGATCAGTGTCTTCTGTATTTCCTCTTCACCTGAACAAGAGATTGGCAGACACTGTAGACTTCAGCTTTGGTGCTAGTGAGTCCTCTGTCCTGCAACACCCTGTAGATTGTTATCATACAGCTGTAAGTGACTTCAGTGACCACCAAGTTAAATCCCCTCACTTGGTAGATATGGTAAGTCAGGGAAAATAAGTGACCAGCAAGGCCACCCAGCTGGGTTATGGCAGATCTAGGCCTCATTGGCCTCTCTCAGTGCCCGGGGCTGTGCTCTGCCCAGCACCACAACCCTTGATAGTTGTCACTCCAGGTAGCTGCAGGGTTTCTTTGGACACGTATAGAGAAAGAAGGGGCAGGGAGTACAGGGTGGAACAGGGCATCGCAGCACCCCAGAGACCTCCCAAAACACCCTGCCAGAAACCTTCCCTTATATCTTCCTCTCCTATAAAAAAAAGAGGCCAAATTAGCTCTCAGAAGCTTTTTTTTTCTTTCTTTCTTTCTTTTCCTCTCCATCTCTGGAGTGACAAAACCTTTGCGGTTGTAATTACTCCATAGTTCTGCAAATCCTGATGCCTTGCAGAGTGTAAATGACCCAAACTCAAGGCTGGGCAGGCAGGTGGGACAGAGCCAGTGCCCCAGGAGGGATCACCCAGCCCCCTCCTTCCTCTCTAAGGGTTTTTGGTCCATGCGAAGGAATTGCCCAAGGCCATACTGCTTCTTAGGCAGGGCCTGGACTGGACTCTAATAAGCAATTAGAATTATGTTGTCAGATCCTAGAGATGTTTATGTAGCCCCTTAAGTTTCCTCTCCTGTTTTAGAGCGAGAAAGAAGATGGGCCTGGGATGGAGATATGGCTGGTAAAGGTTTAGGACTAGACGGGACCTTGGGAGGGGGAAACAGAAAAAGTGCCTGTGAAAAAAACACAGGAATCCACGGACTGTAGTGTGAGGGGAAGGGAAGCTTCTTAAAATGATTTAAAGGAGGATCAGTAAAAATAGGCATTTCCTCAGAGGAACTGCTCTCTGCCTGCAGAGCCCCGATAGTCACAGGAGTCTGGTATCGACCCTTGGCCCCACGTTAAGGGCGTTTCAGACTTTCCTGTCAGAAGTGACACAGAAGTGCACATGTTGCTGTGGGGACGGAAGCATGCCGCACTAGGGAATCCGATGGCCAATAATGGAGGCAAGACAGAGGACGCTTCTTTCCTTTGCAGAATTAGCTGCTCTTGGGGCAGGCTTCAGAAAGTGTTTACTGCTGAGAGGCGCCCCCTCCCTCTGCTCCATTGTGTTTAATTCTCTATTGTTACCTCTTCTTCCTTTTGAGAAGATGAAGTTTGGCAATATAAAAATAGCTCTTTAAAAAAATGAAAACCAGCCACCAGATGGGAACCGAGTCCCTCACTTCCTTTCACATGGAAGCATGTACCCCTCTTCCCTGTATTCTGGGTTTTTCCTGTACTGTAAAGAGGACGAGCTTTAAGTCCTGGTTCACCACATCCTAACTAGCTGGTAGATTGCTTCATCTCTCTGAGCCACTGTGTCTTCATGTATAAAATGACAGGAATAGTAATTATTATAATGCAGGGTTACTGTGAGGATTAGATGTGATCACAGTTGTCAACCACCTAGCAGGGAGAGGTGAACACACAGTAGTTGCTCAGTAAGTGGCAGCTATGAATTTTTAGATCTTGGGAACTTTGAAGTTTGTATGACCAACATGTTTCTATGGATAGCTCTGTGAGATCATGATCACCTCTTGAAATTAATTTCTTGTAATTACTGCTTCCTAAACTTGCCCAGGTATTGTGCTTTAAAACATGTGAGAAGCCTACTCTGAAGCAGATAGAACACACGTTGTGGGAGTGTGTGGTGTACTTGAGTTTTAGTCTCAATTCCCACTCCTCTCGTATAGTACCACCAGGAGGTCATCTCACCTTGCTGTATCTTGTTTATTCTTGTTATTCTGTGGCTTGCTGGTTTTTGAGTTGCATCCAGGTCTGGAATGAACCATCCCTTAGTTCATCTGGCACAGCCAGTCGCCATCAGCATGGGGTCCCTGTGATGTGGCATTGAACTTCTTCAACCTGCGTGAATGTGTTTGGGCCCCATCACCACCCTCCCCCTCCCACACCCTGGACCCCATGTTCATGTGGAAGCACACACACATTCCATTGAGATTTGTAGAGAGAGAATAGAGTTGTGGAATGTCTCATACATGTTTCCTGTTTGTGGGGAGGAGATTCTGAGAGGACCACTTTTTCTACCGCATTCATTTGAATGTAAGTCAGACAAGTGATTATTTGAGATCAAGCTTTCAGGATAAAGTCTGAAAGAACATTGGTTATGTCCTGCTGGTTGGAGCCTGGGAAGGTACCGACAGTCCCCATCTATTCATTATTCTCTTCCTTAACTTCTCATAATACCATCCACACTGTCGCCTCCACCCTCTTGGAGGGAGACTTATGAGAATGGCTGCTGCAGTTAGAAGTTTCTGTCCCCCTTGATCTGCAGTTCCCATCATGAAGACACTTTGTTTGTGATGGAAACAGCACATGTAGCTGGACCACTCACTATCTCACTGCTCAGGTGCACGAACTGACAAGAAATGAGAAGAAAAGGCCCCTGAACAGCAAAAATGTCAGAAGCCCCTGCACCTTTCTTAGAGGCAGTTAATCCCCATCCCTCAAATTTGAACAGTTTTGAACCAGGAGCTTCGTTCAATCCAGAAACCACCTGGATGTGAGAAGAAAAGGGGCTGCTGTGAATAGTCACGTTTCAGCATGAGAAATGATAGCTGATCCAGGAGACAAAAGGAAAAACTTAAAGAGCACACATGAGAGCCATATGCAGTTCTGTGACTGCTGGCGGGGAGAGCTGCTCCACCCACCTCTTCTAGGGCGGCACCGATTACACAGGCATCCCTTTCTCGGATAGGAGCGTAATGGTGTCTGGGCCAGCTTTAGGAGGCTGACGGGTGTACCGTGGAGAGAGAGCACCAGTGTTACCTCAAACAGCACTTGCAGAATCAGAGTTACAGAATTTTAGATTAAGCCCACCCGTATTTTATATCTATTTTTTCCTACCTCGTTAGATTGCTTGATTTTGATGCAACCTGGCATTGCACAAATAGCAAATTCTAGCATTTCCCACATAACCGAATTAAAATCATTTTGAAGTTTCTAAAGGCAAAATCCACCTCTTTCTTTTTTTGGGGTAAGGAGGATATCACATTAATGTGAAAAGCTTAATGTTTAAAGACATTTCTTTTTCCATTGCTATTATGGTCTGGTTCTGCATCTGCAGATTTAACTGACTGCAGGTAGAAAATATTCAAGGGGAAGAACAATGAAAAATAACAATACAGAAATAAACAGTGATACAATTTTTTAAAAATACAGTATAACAACTATTTACATACCATTTATATTGTATTAGTTACAAATAATATAGCCATGATTTAAAATATATGGGAGGCCGGGGGGCTGGCTCACGCCTGTAATCCCAGCACTTTGGGAGGCCAAGGTGGATGGATCATTTGAGATCAGGAGTTCAAGACCAGCTTGGCCAACATGGTGAAACGCCATCTCTACTAAAAATACAAAAATTAGCCAGGCGTGGTGACTGGTGCCTATAACCCCGCTACTTGGGAGGCTGAGGCAGGAGAATCTCTTGAACCCAGGAGGCAGAGATTGCGGTGAGATCGTGCCATTGCACTCCAGCCTGGGCGACAGAGCGAGACTCTGTCTCAAAAAAAAAATTAATAAATTAATTTTTAAAGTAGATGGGAGGATGTGCATAGGTTATATCAAATACTGTGCCGTTTTATATAAGCGACTTGAGCATTTATGGATTTTGGTATCATTGGGGGTCCTGGAATCAATCCCCTGTGGATACCAAGGGACAAATATATTTGAAAATAAAATTTTTCTACTTGTGGTAGGCCTCTGCACATAATCTTATTTCCTCAAGGTCAACCACATTCTTCTGTTTTTACTTGTCCTTTTTTATAGGAGAAAAGAAAGTGAAAAATAATAATCTGAGACTGGACAGACTTAAAATGGCCGCTTGTTACCCAAGTAACCTTCCTTTCAGACGTTTTCCGTACAGCACATAGCTGAGGATCTTAACTACCCAGGGGAAGAGCAGGGAATGGACAAGATACTAAGGTAGGGCTGGCTGCTGCCCTTAATTGCGTGTACCTGGGTTGCTGCAGCCTGGCCCCCTTTCCCCTGTGAGGTCCGCTCAGCACACACCAAGCCCAGTCTGTCTGCTGGCATTCAGTTCACTGTGCACATAACTCTGTGCTCAGAACTGGACCAAAAACCCCTGAGAATATAGAAGTATAAAGCCTCATCCTTGCTCTTAGGAAGCGAACAGTCTAGTTGGAAGTAATAAGAGCAATAAATGAAACAACAGCAAAATTATAATGATGAGTTCCTGGGCTCTGTGGTCCAGCCTGTTAGTTGTAGAGTTGTGAGGAAAAGAAGAGCTGTGAGAACCAGAATGATTGGAAATGGGAATGTCTCCGGGAAGGAAAGATGGGCCTTGGCCTGAGCCTTGGAAGGTAGGTAGGTGTGATGAGGTGAAGAGATTGGGAAGTCAAGATGATGGGTCACAGGCTGAGTGCGTTCTTCTACATGTGGATGTGTGCATCCTCCTGGCATCTTTATGAGATGGTGACATCAGCTCCAGGTGCAGCCTCTACTAGAGGGGGAGTGATGGGAAATAGGAAGGAGAGAAGGATGGAGCCAGATGGGCGAGGGCATGAGCTTGGTGTTGGTACAACAGATAATAGAAACCCATTTTGTGTGCGTGTGTGTGCATGCGCGCACGAGTGCGCGCATGCACACACACAGTGGATCCTTGAACAAAGCAGGGGGTTTAGGGGCACCAACCCCATGCCGCTGAAAATCTTCCTATGCATTTGATTCCCCCAAAACTTTTAATAGCCTACTGTTGTCTTATCAATAATATAAACAGTCAATTAACATATTTTGCATGTTATGTGTATTACATTACTGTAGTCTTAAAGTAAGCTAGGGAAAAGAAAATGTTAGAAAAGGAAGAGAAAATATATTTGCAGATTCATTAAGTGGAAGTGGATCATCATAAATGTCTTCATCCTTGTCTTCACGTTGAGTAGGCTGAGGAGGAAGGTGGGGGGATTGGTCTTGCCATCTTGGTGTAGTAGAAGTGGAGGAGGTAGAAGGGGAGGCAGAAGAGGCAGGGACACTTGGTGTAACTTTATGGAAATAACACAAGCAGTCTTGAATAATTGGAACCCTTGGAACAAATTCAATTTGTTTTCTGGTACTGCTTTTACATCCTCTTCCGCATCATTTGTCATCTTTTTGGAGACACTCATTTTCATCAAGTCGTCTTCCGTTAATTCTTCTGATGTGGTGTCTGATAGCTCTTGAATTTCTCCAAGATCCGTATCATGAAAACCTTCACCCCTCTACCTTTTTGCCATATCCACAACCTCTTTCATAATTTCCTTCATTGGCTCTGTCATAAATTCTGTGAAGTCCTGTGTAACATCTGGACATCATTTTCTTCAGCAGGAATGTATTGTTTCAGGCTCGATGGCTTTCACAGCTTTTTCTGTAACAATGATGGCATCTTCAGTGGTGTAGTCCTCCCAGATTTTCCTGATGTTCTCTCTGTTGGGGATTCTATTCCATAGCATCAACAAATCTTTCCATAGAGTTTTGTGTAGTAATGAGCGTTACAAGTCCTTATGACCCCTTGATCTAGAGGCTGAATTAGGGATGTTGTGTTTAGGGGCCAGTAGACCATGTCAGTGCCTTCAGTGTTGAACTCATGGGGTTCTGGGTGGGGGCATTATCCAATACCAAAAGAACTTTAAAACGCAGCCTCTTACTGGCAAGGTACTTTGAGACTTCAGGAACCAAAACATCAGTAGAACCAATTCAGAAAACCGGTTGTCATTGTCCAGGCCTTCTTTTTGTACAACCAGAAGACTGGCAGCTGGTATTTATTTTTTCCCTTCAAGGCTCAAAGGTTAGCAGCCTTATGAATAAGGGCAGTCCTGATTATAAACCCAGCTGCATTTGCACAGAACAGTAGAGTTAGCCTATCCCTTTATGCCTTAAGTCCTGGTGCTCACCTCTCTTTCTCTTACTGGGCTTTTGTGAACAGGGCACTTTCGTCTGCATTAAAAACTTGTTGAGGCAAGATACACTTTTCCTTCATTGATTTTCTTAATGGTGCCTGGGAACTCATCTGCTGCCTCTTGGTCAGCAAAAGCTGCTTCTCCCAATTCCTTGACATTTTTTAAGCCAAACCTCTTTCCGAAATTATCAGACTGGGAGCTCTGTGAACCTTTCCTGGTTCTGAGGGCTACCCAATTAAAAATTAATAGTCATGCCATCCTTTGCTGGTGTTACATTCTCCAGCCTTAGATCCTTCACCTTCCTATGCCTTTAAATTGTCATATGATGACTTCATTTTTTCTCAAATCATATTAGTCCTTAGGTATGCCTCTCTTATGGCAATCCTGCACTCACATAAAAGATGCATTTTTAATTAATTCATTATTTATTTATTTATTTTGTAGAGACGGGTTTTTGCCATGTTGTCCAGGCTGGTCTCAAACTCCTGGGCACAAGCAGTCTGCCCGCCTCAGCCTCCCAAAGTGCTGGGATTACAGGCATGAGCTGCTGCACCCAGCCAAACGCTGCATTTTCAATATGAGATAAAAAGATATTTCACAAAAAAGTGCAAGGTCTTTGCATCTGCTGGTGTAGCTTCAGGGATGGCTTCACAAATTTCCTTTTCTTTTTTTAGTCTTCAAATGGTGGGCCACCACAACTGTAGACCTCAATCTACAATACATAGCAAGCAGTTCATCCTTTTCTTGTAATGTCATGACTTCTCTCTGCTTCTTGGGAGTACTTCCAGCATCACTAGTGGCACTTTGGGTCTCATGATATTAGTCAAGGTTTACAGTATTGCACTAGACACTGTGAAAAATACACAAGAACTGTGAGAGATGGCTTTTTACTGTGATACCCAATTTACTAGAGAGACCACGTGGAGATGATTAGCATCATAGGCATTTTAAGTAGGCACTCAACAATACTTGAGCTCATCACAGTAGGAGTTAGAGATGGCTCTGAAATTACTATAGTAGTACAGTACATACCAAGATTTAATACTGCTCAAATGGTGCCATTACAATCTGTGTTTGTGTGTATGAGTTTTGATAATTTTTAATTTTATGACAGATTTGTATATATTTTGCGGTAGTAAATTATAAAATAGACTAACATCTATATATATTTTATGCATTCATGACATACCTTTTTCTTAATTTTTCTGGTATTTCTAGGCTAGGCCATTCATCTGAATCTTTTCAAATTGTCACCAATCTCTAAAAAGTTTTCCAGTTTATTTATTGAAAAATATCCATGTATAAGTGCATTTGAATAGTTCAGGCCCAACTAAAGGTCAACTGTGTATATTTACTATATTTTTATAGTAGATGTGTGTGTGCTTTTACAGGAGACGTATATATACTTCTATAATAGTATATTTTATAGTAGATGTATATATACACATATGCATTATCTACTCTCTCTCTATATATATATTTTTTGTTTGTTTGTTTTATTTAAAATGTTCACCTTCCAAGGGCCTCTTTTACGTTTTGATAAAACTGGGTAGAGGGAAGAAACATTTGGGGTATTTAAATTGCACTACACTCATTTTTTTCCCTTTTCCCCTTCTTTTCAGTAAGTTATACTTCTTTACTTAACCTTCACCCCATCCCTCCACACACAACCACCACTTGGAAATTCTTCTGATTTGATGGTTGTGTTCCCTGTTTTCATTTTGAGCCAAGCTTAAGGGTTGCCAGCAGGTGGCAAACCTAATTTTACATTCCAAGTAATCAGAAAATCCTCACAGGTGTTTTGTCATGCACCTGCAAAAAAAAAAAATTGTATGGATGGCAGCAGTAGCGCTGAAATTCTCCATGAAAATTGGATTCTCTCTTCCCTGAACTTAAACAAATGCTCATTTGTAAACTATATAGCTCCACAACTATTCTCTAAAGAGGAATCAGTTATCATCCCCTTAAGTAAACTTTTTTTCTGTGGCCGTTAGGTAAATACCGTCCTTGGACTTAATGAGTACATGTGTTTGTTAATGTTCTGCTCTGAGCGGGAGAGCATTGCATGAATGGGCACATGTGACTAGGCAGTAACTCGGGGTTCATCTCTACTCTGTTGGGTGATGTGTCTCTACCTCTGCTCTCCTGTTTCTAGCCTAAACCCACCAAGGGACGAATGCGCATCCACTGCTTAGAGAATGTGGACAAGGCCCTTCAGTTCCTGAAGGAGCAGAGAGTCCATCTTGAGAACATGGGGTCCCATGACATCGTGGATGGAAACCACCGGCTGACCCTTGGCCTCATCTGGACCATCATCCTGCGCTTCCAGGTAAGGGTCTCTGCCCAGGGTTGCTCAGAACTTAGGCCGACCTCTCAGGTATGAGCATTGTTATAGAGCTGGCCTCCCTGTATCAGAGGGATCGGGAAGACCAGGTTGAAAGCATGTCTCAGAGTCATGTGTGTCATATCCAGCCCTCAGAATTGAATGCTGCCTCGTAGGCACGTGGAAGCTACTACATCCTCCTGCAATTGTACTAGCCCTGGTAATCTTAGCTTTCCTGTCAGACACATCTCAGCGGCCCAGGGGCTTCTAGGCTGCATCCCAGCCCGCCACTTTGCTGGCACCTGCTCTAAACATCTGGTCTCTGCTGCTTGGCTCTCAGGAGCAAAGGTATAAGGACGTGGCCAATGCTAGGTTATTAGCTTAGACTGCCTCAACTTCACTCAACTATGACATGTGTTACAGAACATTTTTTGGCAAAGCTGTTGAGGGTTATGGCATGTGTGTGGGCTCCATTTTCACCTTCTCATTCTCTTTGGATGTGAGGAAGCAGTTTGCAGGAGGAAAGTACAAAACTCTTGTGTTTCTTTGAATTGATGATGCTTTATGGGTTTTGTTATACTTGAGGAGGAAGGCTCTAAGTATAGAAGTATTTTAAGCCGGAAGGTACTCTCAAGGTCATTTTGTCCACTTCTTTCACTTTATGAAGAAATCGGGGACCCACAGAAATTTGAAACCTTGCCTCTGATGACACAGCCAGCCAGGGCTATAGTGGGTGCCTCTGACCCCTTAAGAGAGAGCGCTCAGCCTTTTGGGACTGTGCACCACCACGAGCCTGATTATTGGTTCTTTCTCCAGGCTCATGCTTCGTACTCATGCGTTCCAATTAAAATTGGAAAGGCAGGAACAACTTTGTACCATAGTGTCAGGTTTCTCTGCGAACAAATATTCTAACAGTCCTGTCTCCTCAGTGACTGTGTTCTCTTGCCATTCCTTCCTGTTCTGCCCCTTTAATAAAGATCTGTTTTGATTTTTCTGGGTAAACAAAAACCTCACACAAAAAGGAAAAACGAAAAATCAAATTATAACTTGCTTTGTTTTCTTATTGAAACTCTGAAATCAGCCTGTCAACAGTCCCTTTTCCTTCTCACTTGCCCTACGATTGGGCTTCAGTTAGTGTCGTGATTATATATGTGGGAAGAAGGGGTAGGGGACTAGAATGAGTTACAGGAAGAAATATCTTCCTGCCTGGCTGGTTCCCAAGCTGGCTGATCATCTGATGCCTTTGGGAAACCCTTTTAATAATTCAGGTTCCCAGGGCCCAGCCCTAGTAGTTCTGATTAAGTAGGTCTGAAGAGAGAACCACTGTTGAAGATGGTACAACATCATTAAAGGAGTTAATTACAGCAATCAAGGACATTTTTCCCCAGATAGAACTCTTACATTTCTGTTATTTAGTTCCTGAATGATTTGAAAATGGAGTAGCCATTGAATCCACTAATTACTGCTCTTGTGTCTTATGGCAACAGAGGTGAAATTATTAGCAGTACACTCCTCTAGCTTCACCCCAGTTTTATGGAGTAAAATGTTGTATTTCTGTTAGCTTTGGCCTGCAATAATCAGAGCGTGGAAGGCCATCCTGACTGTGGGCTATCTTGACAGCGGGTCAGCACCCAGGTCAGGGAGCTGGCACACACAGCCCTTTTCAGGATTCTCAGCGTGAATTGCTTTGAGTCATTGACTAATTCGCTTCCTGCCAGTTTGCATATTCCTATAATTCAACTTGTAAATGCTGATGTGTATTTTCTCCCTTTCTGTTGAGGTGAGAGGCATAGGCTGCTGATGTTACCGCGTGGCCTGCAGTGTTGTTGTCTTAAATGACTCAGCTTTCTCCAGCAGCTTTATTAAAACATTACCTATTCTACAAAAATAATATGATTATGAATCAGCCAAGGCCCAGCTGTAGATATCCAGCATATCTATAAGGATACTCCACATATCCTTGTAGATACATAGGGTCAAGCTTCCCTGTGTACCTACAACGGTCTCTCCTTCCACCAGCTCCTGAATATACGGTTTTACAAGTTCCCAGTGTGTGTGTATGTGTGTGTGTGCGTGCGTGTGCTCTCATTGCTACCAGGATATGGCCTACCCTATATGTGCATAGAAGTGTCCATTAAATACTGATGATGACACAGATTTTATGATGCTGCCCCTTTAAAAGAGAGTATAAGGGCCAGGTGCGGTGGCTCATGCCTGTAATCCCAGCACTTTGGGAGGCCAAGGTGGGTGGATCACTTCAGATCAGGAGTTCGGGACCAACCTGGCCAACATGACGATACCCTGCCTCTACTAAAAATACAAAAATTAGCCAGGTGTGGTGGCAGACACCTATGATCCCAGTTACTTGAGAAGCTGAGGCAGGAGAATCGCTTGAATATGGGAGGCGGAGATTGCAGTGAGCCGAGATCACACCACCGCACTCCAGCCTGGGCGACAGAGACTGTCTCAAAAAAAAAAAAAAGTAAAAGATGGTGAGAAACTGGAGTGGAAGTCTCTAAGTTTGCCTAGTTTAAATAGGGAGCTGTCTTCATTTCAGAAGGGTAGGCTTTGTTTCCATATGGGCAAATCTGGAAACAGATACCCTTCACACAGAAGTATAAGAAAGCCAATGGGTTAATGTGTGTAAAGTTGCAGCCTGACTTTCCTGGTGAGCCTGTCTCTCACCCCTTGAGTGAGGGTTGTTCTTCCACATTCCCTTTCTGCACTTGAGCTAATGATCCTAATATTAGAGACTGGGGTTTATACAGACTCAGGCTTCACCTTCTTAACACAATTAAAAATAGAGAATTTTTTTTTAATGTAGTTGTTTCAATTCCCAGGTGTTTTTCCTAGTTGAAAGTTTCTAACTTTTTAATCCTGTATTTATATATTTTGTCTTCATTTTCTCTGTTTTTCAAAAAGAATTCTGGGAAGTGTTTGTAGATTGAATGGAGTGAAGGTAGTGGGGAGCATGACAGAGCAGCGAAGCTTAAAATGGCTACAGCTGGAGGCAATGGATGGACTCCTGGCCAGCACCATCCACTCCTGACTCCATTCCACATTTTACTCTACAAGAGGAAACTTTCATATAATAGACAAAAGTGTATTTGGAGCATTTGTCTAAAATTACGTAGCTGGCAGTTGGCGCCTAATCTAAAAACTAACATTCACAGACCCTTATTACGAGCTCTGCACTTTATTATATCATTTAAGTGCATAACAGTGCTGTGAGATTAGCCACTGTCATTATTTCCATTCCTCAGATGGGGAAGCTGGGGAACCTGCCCAAGGGTACATGGTAGGTGATGGAGCCTGGATTCACATCCAGGCAGTCTGACTTTGGTGCCAGCCGACCAGGCTTTGTGTATAATGTTGCAAATATGCTGCCTCTGAGCGGCTTATGAAGGCACACCATGGAAGCACAGCGTTTAAGCCCACACTTGCTCTAATAGTTTGGAAATGGTGCACACAGTGCCCTCATCAATGAAGGTTGCACGTGGTGTGAAAAATGTTTACTTACAAAAAAACCGAACTCAGTATTTTTCTGGGGGTCTGGTGAGATTCCAGATGCACTGTATGAACCCCTGTGCTAGATTCTCACTGGAAAGATGGGTTGTCTCAGGGGTAAAAATGACCTCTGATAGGTGCTGGGAAGTCCCGTCAGCCTTCTGTCTGTGTGACATAGAAAATGTAGTTTTCGTTGTGTTTCTGAAGTGAGCCCAGACTTCAGGAAGCAGTTTTCATTGACAGGGTAGATCGTCTGCAGGGCAAGGCTATGATCTACAGTTTATTCTTTATGTATATGCAGACCTGTTCTTCAGTGGTTCTTTTAGGCAGCTGACCCATCTATTTGTCTAATATTTCTTTGTAAATCTTAGATCCAGGATATCAGTGTGGAAACTGAAGACAACAAAGAGAAGAAATCTGCCAAGGATGCATTGCTGTTGTGGTGCCAGATGAAGACAGCTGGGTGAGTGTGAATGAAGAGGGTATTGGGGCTGCTTCTTCCAGGACTGAATTCCACTGCAGTCATCACTTAGAAGGTGTTGACAGGTATCTTTTCCACTGCTTCCATTGGGAAGTCTTGTTAACTCGCAAGCAGTTGATATGACTTTTCAATTAGCTCTCAGAATGAAAGGAGCTCTAATTTATATTTTAGACCTGTCATGTCTTCATAATCAGTTTCCTTCTCTTTATTAAGGAAGCTCCAGAGAGCATTATATTTTGAATTTGAAAACCCTGGAAGCATGCTTAGGAATCATATCCATGATATTTTAAGAATACAGTTGTAGGTTTTCTTCACCCTTTAATTTCTGTTTTGGGGAGCTTTCTTTGCACAGTAAACAACAGCATAACCTTTTAATATTATCTGTGTCAGTTTCCCTTTTATTTTTTCATTGAAATTTCAGTGAAGTTGTTTTTAGAGAACCACATCTTTTTTGTTGCTTACTATTGTTAGGACTCAACTGATGCTAAGCCTTCGAGTTCTTAGCAAATTGGTTTAAGGTCATAGGTACTTACTGAGACCCAATTTTAGGTTAATTAGATTTACTGTCAGAACTACTTTAGGTGTAGATGTAACTCTAATGAACATTAATTCAGAATATGAAAATCAGAACTCCATCCATTCTGAGAGCTAGCTGAAAAGTCATCATGTCTATAAAGAGCTTATGGCCTAATAAAAGGGTCAAGTCAGGTATGAACCTTTAATCAGCTACTGATATAAAGTTATTAATAGTCAATATGGTATAGAATAGCTGATTCATTATGGGTAAGTTTCACACATAAATTTTTCAGGGAGGTACTACTTTTACAAACTTCATCCAATTAAGTGGCGTATGGAAGAAAGAAAGCTGAGTGTCACTTGAACAGATAGTCCCACCACTTCTTGTCCCAAAGTAACGTGTGACAAGGGACTGCAGGTCCTGGTGTCTTTGTAGGTAGAGTAGAAAGCCAATGGAAGCAGAGGCCTCAGAGGTGTCTAGGTTGTCGTCACTTTTTCCTAAGTAAGAGTAGTGTTTTAAATCTACGACACAGTTCACATCTTTTGTGAGACTGAATTACCAAGCAAGAAAAGCCACATGGATGCATGTTTTATTTTTATTTTATGGCAGGCTCGAGTTGACGGATTATTTGTTCTGACTTGATTGTCCTTAGTGATATTCACTGCTTTAGGTTTTACAATGCTTACAGACTTTTTATTAACAAAGCACTTGGCAAAAGTATAAACCTCCATGTGGTAATTGTGTTGCTTTTCCCTTCTGCTTTGTCCTTGGCAGGTACCCCAATGTCAACATTCACAATTTCACCACTAGCTGGAGGGACGGCATGGCCTTCAATGCACTGATACACAAACACCGGTAAGTCCATACAAATCATCCTAGCAATCGTGGGGTAAAAGGTTGCTGTCCTTCCATAGCAGATTTGGGTGACTTTTCCATATCCGTTGGCTTAACTGTCTCACCGTGGTGGAAATTTCTGCATTCCATGTGAGGAAAATATGGGAGAATATATAAATTCTTCCAAACAGAATAAACAGGTTCTCCCTTAATCTTTTTTTTCTTAATTAACTTTGAAGTGTTTATTCAAAAATCAGGTTTCATTGTTTGATGATTCCATGATAGTATATTTTAGAGTTTTACTCCACTAATTGGTGATTTTAACCTTTTTGGAGTAACAGTCATGTTTCATTAGTCATATTTCTTTTCAAGCCATGATTTTTGTTGTGTCCCACTGTTGTTCTGCACAGGCCTGACCTGATAGATTTTGACAAACTAAAGAAATCTAACGCACACTACAACCTGCAGAATGCATTTAATCTGGCAGAACAGCACCTCGGCCTCACTAAACTGTTGGACCCCGAAGGTAGGGACTCAAGGGATTACAGGTGGGATTTTTAGCATCTGTACCATCCAGGTGTTAATGTAAAATCTGTTTTGTGTCAGTCTGTTTCATTTGGGAGTTATCAAAGGAAGAGCTTAATTTTGGTTATGGGAATTTTTTGAGGATTTATGGAAAGGATGACACTCAAAAAGGCCTTGAAAGATGAATACGATTTAAACAGAGTCTGAAGGAGAGCGTGTGCGGGCAGAGCTACTAGCATGTGCAAAGGTGCAGAACCAGGAAAGAAGAAGGTATGCTTGAGGGCTAACAATTCAATGGGAATGGTGTTTAGGGTAATAGCAGGGAATACCACTATTCCCTTCTGTTAGTGGATGGGATCCCCATAGGGGCAACAGGCAACAGGGAGTCATTGAAGGTTCTTAGCAGCTGTGCTCGAAGTAGAAAAGTAGAAAACCTGGCATAGGCTGTTAATGAATACTTGTTGGCTGACATTTATCTGAAGGTGGCAAGCAGGTTGGATGGGGATGGGTGGAGATTGCAGGCAGGGGCCTTGTTAGGAGGCTGTGCTTTGCTTATGAGCAAGTAAGAGTTTAAATGAGGAAGGCACCTTTGGGAAAGGGGAGTGTAGGGGTGGAAGGAGCAGCAGTCATAGTCCTTTCTTACAGCTGCATCCCATTATCTGCACGGAACTAATCCCTCTTTACTCTGTGAGTCCCTGTGTAACTTGGAGCTGACCTGTTTGGAGCAGTTCCCCAGGTTGTAGTTCCCTTGCTTAATAAAATCCTAATTCTGGGTTTCATTTCAACATGAGCTCTCATAGGAACTTTTTCTAATTTTGAGAAGCATTTAAAATATCTGGATTTGTTTGAAGTGCTGGAGATATATAGATCCTCTCAGCTGTGAACAAATATTAGAGAGGAAAAAAACTGTGTGTATGTGAGTGAAAGTTTAAAGTTCTTTTAAATATAGAACAGGAAGTTTAACTCCCCAAAGGCAGATCAAGGTCATGAGGCTGCCAGGCAGGCTTCTTGCTATTTTCCAATGCATCAGATTCACTGATATGTTGGCTACAGGAAGCTGAGATAAAATTATCTTTGTACTAACCCATTAAATGGTTTCTCAATATAAACAGAAAACTAAAATTCCTTGGGCTTCGATAAATCTTCATGCTTAACCCCTATCTTACTATGGGAAGGAATTTTTCCTTAGCCCTAGTTCTTTGTGCTTTGATAAAGAACCTTTTTTTCCCTATCGCAGTGACAACATTTTTTAATAACTTGCTCATTAGTTAATCTTTCAATCACCGCCCAGTATGAAAAGGGGGATTGATGTTCCCCAGATCACAAGACGAGGAGCTAAAAATGGCAGCTGATTTCACTTTTATCCTGTGGGTTTGATCTTGATTATTAGTTGTCCAGGGCTCCAAAGAACATCAGTTAAAATCTACTTGTAGACAAGTTAAATAAAAAGTTTTACCTTCTCACTTCTTTGAGTTTTGTTGACATTTTGTGTTGATTAAATTGTATACCTACACTGGCATTTTTTCTGGCTGTCCTCCAGTTCACTCTCCTTTGTGCACACTTTGACGGGCTGAGCGGACACAGGAGCCCTGGGGTAGGGAACAGTAGCTGTGATTCTGGCCCTCACAACCACGGGCTGCCTTAGTGACCCTGGGCAGGGAGCATGCCAGCAGTGTGTCCTGATGTTCTCTTGTTTAAATTAAGAGAAACAATTTTGCTCCATACAAGGCTGTCAGGGGCGGCGATAGGAATGGGGGTGTATGTATGAATGTATATTGAAAAAGAGCCTGATAATATCTGTTAAGAGCTGTCCTTTGTGTTCTCTTCACAACCTATCCCAAGTTGAGTGCTTACTCAATATTGCCGAACTTCAAAGACTTGCCATTTTAAGTTGTTTGTTCCTTCTCTCAGTACCTATTTATTGACCACCTGCTTTGCGCAGGACAGCACAGCGGGAATGTGGTAGGTGGAGTGGCATAGGGGCTTGCCCGGACAGGCTTCTGCCCTTGGGGACTGAATTTTGTAAGGCAAACAAAACATGCATAAAAAATCATAACCTGGCAAAAAGTGGACTATGTGTCCATACAAAGCCCCAAGGGAATAGAGGAGGGAGACAATAATGTCAGCTGTGGGGATCATAAATGGTTGTATTGGGTGGTAACTTTTGAAATGGACCTTGATGGATAGTAAGAAAGTTATGGGGTCATGAAGGCCATTTCAGACAAAGGGAAGTCATAAGTTAAGGAAGGCGTATTGGAAATTATGTGTGTATAGGGAATGGTGAGGTCAAGTTTGATTCAGAGATACAGTGCTAGGTACAGTGGCTCTCATCTGCAATTTCACCTCCTTAGGAGGCTGAGGTGAGAGGATTGCTTGAGCCCAGGAGTTTGAGGCTGCAGTGAGCTATAATCATGTCACGGCATTCTAGCCTGGGTGACAGAGTGAGACCCTGTCTCAAAAAATTTAGTAAGGAATACAGTGTTTGAGAGGTAGTAGGCTATAGAATTTAGAAATGTCTAGACCAATGCTTGACACTTAAAAGAAGCCTGGTGAATATTTGACAAATTGATGGAAAAAAGGGAAGGAAAGTTATAGCCAGATTCTGGAGGACTGAAGCGCTTATAGTTTATTCTTCAGACTGAGTAATTTTGAGCTAGGAGAAACTGTGTTCACAGCTGTGCTTCTGAAAGATCAGTCTGGGTGCACTATGTGAAGGAAATCGGGAAAGCTGGTGGAGGGAGCCATTGTTTCAGGGCTGGTTATGTGACAGGATGGGTCTGAAACATGAGTGACAATAAGGATTCCATAAATAAGGGTCATCCCAACTTAGACTCAGTGACTAGCTGCTGGATACTGGTAACAAAGAGATAAAGATATCCAAAGACTGATTGACAGGGGGCGGTGCTGGTCCTGTAGGCAGCAATGAGGACTCAAGCAGAGCTAACCCAGTATGGTAGTAGGGCAAGGAGAGGAGGAACTATGTGTCTGTGGAAGGCGTTTCATGAATATTCACATAATGGGGAATCAGTGAGATGGTTTAACCCTCATTATCCTTGTAATTAATGCACGGATGGCAGAACACTCAGGTACAAACATGAAGACGCTGAACTGTTCCATGTTGACCAGCAGTCGTTGCATTTGTTCCTGCTACCTGGGTGGGGCACAGTAGCATGCAACACACTGAACAGAGTCTTCTCTGGGTTACAGACATCAGCGTGGACCATCCTGATGAGAAGTCCATAATCACTTATGTGGTGACTTATTACCACTACTTCTCTAAGATGAAGGCCTTAGCTGTTGAAGGAAAACGAATTGGAAAGGTGAGCTGGTGCCAATTTTGTGAGTTGTGAGACATAATTAAGGTTAATTGAGCCCTCATTCTCCCATGCACTCATAAAATTTGCCAATAGCAATTTGTAGTGGACTCTCCGGATGGTAGGGAAATCGGCAGAAGCCTCTTCATCCTGAAGGGTAACAAGAGGTGGGAGAGATGGCCACCATATTTAGGAAAGGATCTGGGGGCTATCTCAAACCCAGCAACATCTTTCTCCTCAACTGCTCCAGGAAATTGGGTATTGGAAATCTGATCGAGTTGCCTAATGTCATGGGTGTGACATCCTACTTACCACAGTTGAAAAGGCCCCAGCATCGTGCTTTTTACTTCTCATTTGGCTGATGTTCACCTGCCATGTTTTCAAAACACCTCAGACCAGATGACATTGTCCTCTCAATGCAGTGAAGTCAAAAATTAATGGGCATTTATGGGACAGGATCAAGCTAAATTGAGCCCTTTTTGTTTCTCTAGGGATTTCAGATGTTAGGCTACAGAAATCATTCAGAATCTCTTTGCTTGGGGGTTGGAAAGTTACAGAACCAATTACAGTTAAGCTGTCATTGCTCACAAATAATAATCACAGTCTGGGCCCCTCTTAGCAGATGGTTCCTTGAGTTAAAATGCTTGTGCCCAGGTACAGCTGAACTGTTTCAGAGCTGGCCAAACTGTTTCAAAGCCGGTCGTTTTGTGTGCATGCACTCGTATAGGGTTACAATCGTATTTAACTTATGGAGTGACATGATCTTTTCAATTTTTCTATCCCTTGTTGCCAGGTGCTTGACAATGCTATTGAAACAGAAAAAATGATTGAAAAGTATGAATCACTTGCCTCTGACCTTCTGGAATGGATTGAACAAACCATCATCATTCTGAACAATCGCAAATTTGCCAATTCACTGGTCGGGGTTCAACAGCAGCTTCAGGCATTCAACACTTACCGCACTGTGGAGAAACCACCCAAGTAAGATGCATATTGTAGTGTGATCATTAATATGGAAAGACACATCACTGTAGCCAACAGATCCCTATGTTCTGATTTCTGTAATCTCATCTCTTAACTGAATGCCTTTCAGTAGTGTGTCCTACTCCTTTTCATCTGACTCTGTTTTGCTGAGATTTATGATAGATCATGCTCTCTCTGAGCCCTTCCCAATATAAATGTGCCACTGACATACAGGATATATGAGAATTCCAAGAAATGGTACAAGTCCCCAACCCCTTATCCAAAACCATTGTACCTAGTGTGTTTCAGGATTCCATAATTTTTGGATTTTAAAAAAACAGCACAGCTCATATGTTGTATATTATAAGACCCCAGATGGGACTAAGGCAATAGCCCATAAGCCCAGTAAGTATCTGTAGCAAAATGTGTAAATATTCACATTGCATTAGATAAAGAAAGATAATAGATAATTTCATAACAGTTCAGAACAGGTTTTGCAACCCAAAAAAAGTTTGATTTTTTTTCATATCTTTTTTAAGTTCATAATTGTTGAATAAGGATTGTAGACCTTATCTATTGCTTACCATAGTTCCAAAGTCGTTTTTTCTTTTCTGAAAACTCAGTTGCATATATCTTGGTAAGGTCTCTAAAACCCATTGAAAATTATATTAGGTAGACATTTGAAATAATCCGTGTTGAATGCATTCAGCTACACTGAATGAATGAAGTAAGTCCATTGTCCAGGATTTGGGGTTTAAACCTTGATTTAAGTGAATACAAAAGAGTATTGCATGCCTTTGACACCCTCAAATATAAATGTCAGCAACAACAAAGAAATTCCACGGTTTGGTATGTTTCAAGGTTTGTAATAGCCAATAAGCAACCTACTGATGTCTCTTTGACATGCATTTCATGTAAGTCAGACCAGAGTTAAATGGTTTTTAAAATGCATGACAGTGTGAAATTTTTTTTTCTCCAGTACCAAATGAATGTTTTCCCCTGTGTTTAGATTTACTGAGAAGGGGAACTTGGAAGTGCTGCTCTTCACCATTCAGAGCAAGATGAGGGCCAACAACCAGAAGGTCTACATGCCCCGGGAGGGGAAGCTCATCTCTGACATCAACAAGGTAAAGTGGATCTGGACTCTGCATGGGCCCTGACCTCCTGGAGGCTTCAGGTTCTATCACTAGGTCTCGACTGCTAAGAGGACAAGAGACTGGAAGGGGCTGTCCCCACCTGCCGAATTGACAATTGGCAGCTGGTGCTCAGGTGTGGCAAAGGACCAAGCAAGCAATGGTACCGGGTTAGGCTGCTGGAGGCTTCAGGGGGCAATGTTAGATTTTATCAAACCAGCTTTGGCGTAGGCTATACACCTTGCTACTCAGATACATATCACTTTACTTCTCATCTGAGGCAATTGTTTCAAACATCTTTAAATTACAGAAAGGAGAAATTGAAACCTTATTTCATGTGTTTCATAGTAGTTGTGGGGCTTAGGATGTTGGCTTCTTGCATTAGAGATGCTGTCAAATAAGCAATTTTAATCATCATGCCTATTATGCCTGCAGTTATAGAAATTCACAGCAGGCATTATTTCCAACTAGAAAGAAATTTGAAAAATTCTAGAACTTTGGTCACTTGTACAGAACTACATTCCTTTATGCTGCTCATTAAAATTTTTTTTTTAATGGAGGCAGGGTCTCACTATATAGCCCAGGCTAGTCTTGAACTCCTGGCCTCAAACAGTCCTCCCACCTCGGCTTTCAAAGTGCTGGAATTATAGGCGTGAGCCACTGCGTCTGGCCCCACTTAGATTCCTTCGAGTGGAAGGTTTGATTTTTTTTTTTAGGTGAAGAAATAGATTTCCTAGGAATGAATTTAATATGGACAGTAGGTCAGGATTTTGAAAGAAATTTCAGATGTGTAAATTTTTTAAAAGTGGCCCAGGGTGGAATGAATGAGAAATTCATATGAATTCTTAGAAGAATCATTTATCTTTTTTATATGATCAAAGCTATTTAAGATAATTTATTTCCTCTTAAAGTAAGAGATTTATAATTTACTTATATTGCTTCATAGCTACAGTTTTGTTTTCCAAGTACAACACAGAATCTTTAGATTTAGATGACGGAAGAGTGTTCCCATGAGGATACACTGAGAGAAAAACCCGTTTTTTTCCTCAAGGCTTGAGAGTCAGTGAGAGTGGGAATGGGATTTCCCATTCAAGCTGTCAGGTCCTTTTGAGAAATATTAGCTGTTGACTGTAACCACGGAAGTTTCCTTGAACACTGCAGGAAACTGTGTTTGTGTGTGTGTGTATTTTCATTTTTGTAGGCCTGGGAAAGACTGGAAAAAGCGGAACACGAAAGAGAACTGGCTTTGCGGAATGAGCTCATAAGACAGGAGAAACTGGAACAGCTCGCCCGCAGATTTGATCGCAAGGCAGCTATGAGGGAGACTTGGCTGAGCGAAAACCAGCGTCTGGTGTCTCAGGTTCTGCTCTTGACATTATTAAAAAGACTGTTGCTAGGGTAATCTAGAAACACAGACCATCCCCAGGGGCATAGGGCCAGAGGACAGCTGCTTATCGACATTCATTATTCTGGAGGAACGTCAGGTCACCTTGGCCCCTTCCCATTAAGAGGATGTTTATAATTTCTAATATACATTTCTATTTATCTAACTTTTCATAGATTTGGAAGCAGCTCAAGCAGAGTTTGTTTTAGAGCCATTGAGTGTGTGTGAACTGTTCACATTTATAAGTTTTAACAGTTTCTCTCTTTTCTTTAATCTTTGACCAACTAATCCTACGAGGCAGTTAGACTGGTTGTGAAATAAACAAAAATGGCTTGCTTTTCCACCTGGCTTGACATAAGCTATCACCTGCTCTAGCTTTTCAGTAAGGTACTAGATACGAACTGGGCCCTTCTGCAAAATGAGCAGTTACTAGTTTGCTTTGAGGAGGGCATCTAAGCTCAAGGCAGAGACCAGTGGGGTGGGGGACTCAGGAGTCAGATTTGGCTTTAAGACCACCAGGGATTAATGTGTGCTCAAGATTTCATGTCTGTTCTTTTTCCTTTTTTGGAGGGGGGGTGGCGCGGGAAATAGGTTTTTTGGTTTTGTTTTTGTTTTGTTTTTGAGGCAGAGTTTCACTCTTGTCATTCAGGCTGGAGTGCAGTGGCGCAATCTCGGCTCACTGCAACCTCTGCTTCCCAGGTTCAAGCGATTTTCCTGCCTTAGCCTACCAAGTAGCTGGCATTACAGGCACGTGCCACCACGCCCGGCTAATTTTTGTATTTTTAGTAGAGACAGGGTTTCACAATGTTGGCCAGGCTAGTCTCGAACTCCTGACCTCAAGTGATCTGCCCGCCTCGGCCTCCCAAAGTGCTGGGATTACAAGCATGAGCTACTGTGCCCGGGTGGATTTTTTATTTTCCTTCTTTTCATTCCGTTTCTCTGTAGGACAACTTTGGGTTTGACCTTCCTGCAGTTGAGGCCGCCACAAAAAAGCACGAGGCCATTGAGACAGACATTGCCGCATACGAGGAGCGTGTGCAGGCTGTGGTAGCCGTGGCCAGGGAGCTCGAGGCCGAGAATTACCACGACATCAAGCGCATCACAGCGAGGAAGGACAATGTCATCCGGCTCTGGGAATACCTACTGGAACTGCTCAGGGCCCGGAGACAGCGGCTCGAGATGAACCTGGGGCTGCAGAAGATATTCCAGGAAATGCTCTACATTATGGACTGGATGGATGAAATGAAGGTAAAACCTGACCGAAAGGAAGGACGACAGAGCTGATCCAACCAGGGCTCTCTTTTCTGTGACTCATTCACTAAACCCCTACGTACAGCTGTGTGCCTTGTCTAACTGCCCACATGTACAGCTAGAGAGGAGCCACATCACCCATGGGAAGATTGCTAGCTCAGGAATTAAATGAGACGTGAAGTGTGAAAAAGTTGTAGAGACCAGTTCAGTAGCCAGAGCTCTGTTTCTGTGACTTAGATATATTCCAGTGTAGGGAATCAATCACATTGTGGTTTTCTTTATTTTTAAGTTTTCAGGGTTAAACTAACTTACCGTTTCATTGATCTGTGAGTGAGTGGTACTACTTTGGGCAGGGGTCCCGGAGAGGTGGTATGGGGAGAAGGGAGGAGTGGTAGGTGCCATGGACAGAGGAGAGGTCAGGAACCAGGCAGCCAGAGTTCTGATTGTGAGTGCCTGAGTTGCCTAATCCTCTTTGAGCCCTCTTTCTTGGTCTTTAAATGGAGATTGTACTTACTATCTACCTCATCCAATTATTGCAAGGATGGAATGCGGTAGTATGTGCACAGATCATGGGATGGGCTGGATGGCAGTGGCTGGTCATGCCATTTATTGACTGCTCTTAGCATAGAGTTCCAACCTTTCCCCCTTCCCAGGAAGAGACCTGCTATCATGCCATGGCCCTGTACCTGTTCATGTCCTCCAATGCAGGCCATGGAATGCTCAGCCATGCCAAGCAGTTCTCCAGCTGGGAGGCCTTTAGCCTTGTAGACAGAAGAAAATAGGACAGTTTTCAGACAGTCCCATGAAGCTTCCTTTGTCTCAGCACGCTGTGTTCCCAAGCTTGACCTTATGCAAGAGATTCCCTTCCCAGGATATAAGCTGTCATCTGTTGCCTACCTCTTGGACTGTTCCTGACAGAGGGGCAAAGTCATCTGATACCATCAGTTTTCCCTCCTATTGTTCCAGATTTACAGTGTTCTTAGGTCTGGTCTCTCTTGACCTCTCAAAATAGAAATGTTCGTAAAATGTAGCAGAGAGGGACTTTTCATTTTATAAATCATGATGCACATTGTAACTCAGTTGGTCCAGAGACTTCCTCAGAAGTAAGAGTGAAGTAGAAATCTCATCTGGCGAGGATGTAGAATGAGGCCCCCAAATTTCGCTGGTTGATGGAAGAAACAAGAAAATATCAGTGGGTTCAAACTTAAACTCTAGAAGTTGCTTGGGGTCTACTAAGCAAGACAGCCACCTGACCCTGCTCTCCTTATTGGTTTAAAGATGTGGCTTGTAAGCTTTTCAAGTAGATTGTTTTCCCATTGATTGTGTAAGTACAGTAGAGGCATACCAATAAGCTCCTAACAGAGGAAAAACATTCACTTACAGGCTCAGCAACTTCTAAAAGATTTCTTTCAACTTTGAAGTGACCAAGTCTATCACCTTTATTTATTTATTTTTGAGTAGTTGTTGCAGCGGTTTCTTCTTGAAGCTCCAGTTTATATTTTGGAATCTTTCATACAGCACCCCCGCCCACGCTCCCCACTGCCCCCTCCCCCCCACCCTGGCCCCGCTGGCCCTCACCATCTTTTTCTTCTATTCTGCACTTTTTAGTGTAGATTTGACTTACTTATTCCAAGTTTGGTGATCCTTAGTTTGTGATAGCTCTCCTGACTCAGGCCTTCAGGTATGATTTGTTTTGTTCTGGTTTGTTGGCCATCATCTTCCCCTGAAGGTGTGGGGTCCATGGCAGACTAGAGGGAAGGCATAGCTTCATTGCTGGCTCTCTGCTTGTCGAAAGATGATGTGATGCTGAAGTCAAGGCTATAGTCACAGATGTCCTTTTGGTTGCTTCTTGTGCACAGGTGCTAGTATTGTCTCAAGACTATGGCAAACACTTACTTGGTGTGGAAGACCTGTTACAGAAGCACACCCTGGTTGAAGCAGACATTGGCATCCAGGCAGAGCGGGTGAGAGGTGTCAATGCCTCCGCCCAGAAGTTCGCAACAGACGGGGAAGGTAAGGATGGCCCATTCCAAGCATTACCTCCGGGTCACCAGAGATTCATATTTATAGAAACACAGTGGGGCTTTTGAAGTTACTGTGCCACTATACATTCCTGGTGGGTTTGTCATGGGAGCATGAAATACGGTGGAGTGGCCTTCTGAACACTAACTCCATCTTGTTTTTCTGGAATTGATACATCCTTTCCTTAAATACGCAAATGCTGCCTTTGCTTTGAGTGGCTTGGTGTTTGGCAGTGAGACTTTGTCATACCTCAGTCTCTCTGGCCATGCACCGACACCCTGGTGTGGCTGTTCCAGCAGCTCCTGGCTTTCACAGCTGGTTGCATATACCTCTCTTTGGAGGATGTTTAGAATGATTTGGTTATGCTTCGTGTATTTCTAGAAACAATTATATGCAGCTGCCTTTTTCATATGATTCAAGTGCTTTCTTGCAGGAGGATGATCACTTTGTCTGCGGTTTGGCCAAAAAAAAATAATGTTTATCATTGCCCTCACTCCTGTTCTAGTCAAGTTGTTAGAAGGTGCTCCATTGCCTTATCGCATGGCCCTGCATTTACATTTAGCAGTGAGCTGGTAATCATAAGAATATGGGGTGTAGCTTACTGCCTGCCAGTGAGCCTGCACCCATGCTGAGCTCCCTCACACAGCCACGTTCCTTCCTTGATGTTAAACAGGTTACAAGCCCTGTGACCCCCAGGTGATCCGAGACCGCGTGGCCCACATGGAGTTCTGTTATCAAGAGCTTTGCCAGCTGGCGGCTGAGCGCAGGGCCCGTCTGGAAGAGTCCCGCCGCCTCTGGAAGTTCTTCTGGGAGATGGCAGAAGAGGAAGGCTGGATACGGGAGAAGGAGAAGATCCTGTCCTCGGACGATTACGGGAAAGACCTGACCAGCGTCATGCGCCTGCTCAGCAAGCACCGGGCGTTCGAGGACGAGATGAGCGGCCGCAGTGGCCACTTTGAGCAGGCCATCAAGGAAGGCGAAGACATGATCGCGGAGGAGCACTTCGGGTCGGAGAAGATCCGTGAGAGGATCATTTACATCCGGGAGCAGTGGGCCAACCTAGAGCAGCTCTCGGCCATTCGGAAGAAGCGCCTGGAGGAGGCCTCCCTGCTGCACCAGTTCCAGGCAGATGCTGATGACATTGATGCCTGGATGCTGGACATCCTCAAGATTGTCTCCAGCAGCGACGTGGGCCACGATGAGTATTCCACACAGTCTCTGGTCAAGAAACACAAGGACGTGGCGGAAGAGATCGCCAATTACAGGCCCACCCTTGACACGCTGCACGAACAAGCCAGCGCCCTCCCCCAGGAGCATGCCGAGTCTCCAGACGTGAGGGGCAGGCTGTCGGGCATCGAGGAGCGGTATAAGGAGGTGGCAGAGCTGACGCGGCTGCGGAAGCAGGCACTCCAGGACACTCTGGCCCTGTACAAGATGTTCAGCGAGGCTGATGCCTGTGAGCTCTGGATCGACGAGAAGGAGCAGTGGCTCAACAACATGCAGATCCCAGAGAAGCTGGAGGATCTGGAGGTCATCCAGCACAGGTGAGCGGGGCGCTGGTCAGCCACTGGCCTGTTCCTTGTGACCACCAGTGGCCCAGGAGGTGACCACCCTGTCAAATTGCCATTTCAGATTTGAGAGCCTAGAACCAGAAATGAACAACCAGGCTTCCCGGGTTGCAGTGGTGAACCAGATTGCACGCCAGCTGATGCACAGCGGCCACCCAAGTGAGAAGGAAATCAAAGCCCAGCAGGACAAACTCAACACAAGGTGAGCACGTGGCCAGCAGTGTGCCAGCCTCCCACGTGTGGGACTGGGGAGGGTGAGGTCACTCATCGAGCTTTGCTGTTGGGAATTTCCCACATGGGGTCATCGACATTGCAACACTGATGTCATGGCATTGGCACCTGCCTTTTGACATGTCCTTGTTTTGTAAGAAGTGTCTCTCAGGGCAACATCATTGGTTGCAGGAGGATTATCTGAGTCAGCCCAGCATCTGCCCCTCGCCACACCAAAGTTAGGGCCTTGGTTTGACCTGTGTCCAGTGTAGAAGGTATTAAGATGACACCTGTGCTATCCATTTTATAGTAACTTCAGGAACAGGACTCTAGCATGTTTAACACTTAATTTGCCAATGAAAGTCCTGATTGTCAGGGCAGACCTTTGTTCCAGTCTTATCTTTCTGTTGAGTAAACATGTTTGAGTAGGTTATGGCACCTGGCCCCAGTTTTGAAGGTTACCATCAGTCTTAGATTTGGAAAACGTTCATTAGGTAGAGTTCAGAGATGTGTAAAATGTGTCACAGACATGAATTAATTGACTCTGGGAATGGATATCTTGTAATTGCTCACATTGGAGCTCTGTAACACATTCCTCTTCGTGACAGGCTTTTTCCAGATTACATTGCATCCCTGAGCTATTTCCATTATATTTGGTGTTCACAGTTTGAGTGAGATGATTTTCCAAAAAAGCATGTAGTCAAAGCACAGATGGAGAAAACAGATAAGCAGCATTAACCCATCACTGTTCCTTTTGCAATCCAGCCATGGTCAGTCTTCCCTTTTTCACACTCGCTGTCTGCCCCTGCACTCACAGGTGGAGCCAGTTCAGAGAACTGGTTGACAGGAAGAAGGATGCCCTCCTGTCTGCCCTGAGCATCCAGAACTACCACCTCGAGTGCAATGAAACCAAATCCTGGATTCGGGAAAAGACCAAGGTCATCGAGTCCACCCAGGACCTGGGCAATGACCTGGCTGGCGTCATGGCCCTGCAGCGCAAGCTGACCGGCATGGAGCGGGACTTGGTGGCCATTGAGGCAAAGCTGAGTGACCTGCAGAAGGAGGCGGAGAAGCTGGAGTCCGAGCACCCCGACCAGGCCCAGGCCATCCTGTCTCGGCTGGCCGAGATCAGCGACGTGTGGGAGGAGATGAAGACCACCCTGAAAAACCGAGAGGCCTCCCTGGGAGAGGCCAGCAAGCTGCAGCAGTTCCTACGGGACTTGGACGACTTCCAGTCCTGGCTCTCTAGGACCCAGACAGCGATCGCCTCGGAGGACATGCCAAACACCCTGACCGAGGCTGAGAAGCTGCTCACGCAGCACGAGAACATCAAGAACGAGATCGACAACTACGAGGAGGACTACCAGAAGATGAGGGACATGGGCGAGATGGTCACCCAGGGGCAGACCGATGCCCAGTACATGTTTCTGCGGCAGCGGCTGCAGGCCCTGGACACTGGATGGAACGAGCTCCACAAGATGTGGGAGAACAGACAAAATCTCCTATCCCAGTCACATGCCTACCAGCAGTTCCTCAGAGACACGAAGCAAGCCGAAGCCTTTCTTAACAACCAGGTAAGGTTTGTTCCTGCCTTTGCTTCCTTTCGGTGAAAGCAGCCCTGGCTGCCTTTTGAAATGTTTTGGCTGGGGCAGCTGGTTTAAACCACACCTGTATGGAATTATATGGATAATTTAGAGACTGATTTTTTTTTCCCCATACTCTTAAGGCATTGAAATCCATCACGTTGTAGGGGACAGGAATTGAAAGTTGCCATAAGAGCTGCTTTGCCTTACAAAGTACTGTTTGATTTCAACTGCCATTGAGGATCTCTTATGTGTTCATAGTATGTCTTCATAATTGAGGTATTGATCCAATTTAAAAGATACAGTGAGGGCCAGGCATGATGACTCACTCCTGTAATCCCAGCTCTTGGGGAGGCTGGGACAGGAGAATCACTTGAGCCCAGCAGGTCAAGGGTGAAGTTAGCCGTGATCGTGCCACTGCACTCCAGCCTGGTGGCAGGGTGAGACCCTGTCTCTTAAAAAAAAAAAAAAAAAAAAAGTACGGTGAGGATTTTTTTTTTTCTTGAGACCAGTCTGTCTTCTTGCTCTAGAAGGGTCAGGGACTTCACCTGAGGACACAAAGTAGAGATTAGAGAAATAAAAACAGCTGAGGATAGTCACCAACTTCAGGGCTGTTACTGTCTCAAAGAGAGAGTATGAAGGGTACATTGCTGTTGCCTTGATAGGCACGTGAGAGGACCCTTGAGGCTGATACACAAAGCTTTGGTTCCTTTCCTCACTCTCTTTGGAAAAAAAAATTTAGAGCATTAACCCCTGAGGGAAATTCGGTCAGTTACAGTGTCCCACTGGGTTTTTTTCCTCCTAACTTTTAATTTGATGTGATTTAATTATTTCATGTAAGTGTAATGAAGAAAGTGTTGTGAACTATGTTGCACGGAAATGTAGAACACAGGAAAATGAGATCCTTCATTGATCTGCTATGATTTGTTCCTCTTTTTAAATAAGGAGTATGTTCTGGCTCACACTGAAATGCCTACCACCTTGGAAGGAGCTGAAGCAGCAATTAAAAAGCAAGAGGACTTCATGACCACCATGGACGCCAATGAGGAGAAGATCAATGCTGTGGTGGAGACTGGCCGGAGGCTGGTGAGCGATGGGAACATCAACTCAGATCGCATCCAGGAGAAGGTGGACTCTATTGATGACAGGTACAGTTTTCTGAGGTTCTTAAGGGAGCCTTGCACCTTGGGGCTCTCAAACTTCTGAATCATTGGCCAGAAGCCCTTGGGAGTTTAGGTATAAATTTCCCAGTGGGCAGAATATGGGTGCCCAGCAGAAGTTCATCTACCCATACAGAAAATTAGTGAGCTGTGCATGACTGCCTGAGAATGTGGGTCTGGTGAGACATGTACAAGTGTCCACAAAAGGAAAGAAAGCCTGAGAAGCCAAGCTAATTCTTAACCGAGGACCTGTAAGAGCCGTAGTGCTGCATCGCGATCAGGTGTAAGCCATGCCCTTTGAGGATTAACACACGCTTGTGTCACCTGATAGGACCCCTGGCGCCAGGTATTCCCAGCCAAGCCCGTGTTCCCCTTCATCCATGAGAAAGAAGCCTGTCAGGAGAGTGGGAAGGGAGGGTGAAGCTTGCTTGTTCTGAGTACCTGGCAAAGCTACAAAGGAACATTACCTGGACTTTTTTAGAAAATTGGCTTGGATAGTGCTGTAATAGGATCTTTTTCATGATGGAGAGGTAAATAAGAGCAAAGGTTATTTTCCTCTTCTGCCAGGGCATCTCCAGGATTGGATACACTTTCTTCATTTCTTGTTTAAAATTATTTTTTTATTTACGTGTGTGTGTGTGTGTGCGTGTGTGTGTCTGTCTGTCTGTCTGAAAGATTTCCTCCCCGGCTGGAGGCCAGTGGACTCTGTTTGACCCTAACTCTTTGACTCACTCCTTACTCTTGCCTTGCCCCGGTTACTTAAGTTGGAGGTTGGGGCAGATCAGGGGTTGGATGCACTAGCACAGGCCAGTCTGGGCCAGCCACTGGATCAATCACTAGCCCCTGTTCCAGTTTGGGTTGAATTTAAGGGCTTGCTGTGAGACTGATGTAATCAAAAAACAAGCCCTTCCTTTCTGCCTCTCTTCTGGCCTTCAAGTGTGTTGGAAAGGAAAAATATTCCTTTGCTTACCACATCTGAGAGGGTTTCCTGGGACCCCTGGTCAGGTTGACTTAAAATAAGATGGGTGGAGAGGGGATTACTCTGTTTCCAATAAAGATTGAGCTCCTGTCTTTACCACTTCCAATCTTTTTTTCTGAGCTGATTCCCAGGCTGAACTATATGTTCTAGGGTGGTATTGTGGAATAGAGAATAACTTATGTTAATTATAATTTTGTATCTGTTGCTTTTAAAACAGCTGCAAAAAAGAAAAATAAATCCACCAAACCCTCCTTAAATGAGCATGAGAAACAGCAATTGGGCAAAGCATTCATAACCTAGGGAAAAAGAATTTCCTTTTTTTGTAATATTAACTCTGAGTATTTTGTAAATAAGATATCCTATGTACTTCCATGTTAGATGCACACAGCTGGTTTCCTGCAGGCGGGCTTGGCTGTTAGGGATGTGTGCATTCAGGCAGGCATGCAGCTGCCTTGCTGCTTCCTCGGTTTCTTTTTATGTCCCCAGTGCTGCAACTGCACAAAGCTGTTGGAAGCAGATGATGCTGTCTAGACTCCTGGATATGATAAAACGTTTCAGCAGCAGCAGCCCTCAGTTGTGGCTTAACCTTCATTTTGCCCTTGACCAAGAGCCTGGGCTACTGGTGTTCCAGAGCTTCCTTAGGATTCCTCAGTTTTAAAAATGAAACGTAAAGATAACCCTGTACTATCAATAAGCATAATAAAGATGGAAGGAGGGAGCTTTCCGATGACCTGCCATCAGGAGAACTACATTTTCTTATTTTTCTCCATTGATGTTAACTGAATTCTGATTTCACTTTAATATCCCCAGAGGCCCACAGAATTGAAACTGACCCTAGAGGGTACTTGTCAGTTATGAAAACACACACATCTGTGAGTTCCAGGTGCTGTAGGAGCACAAACTAAGTAAACATCTAAACCTTCAGATATAATCCCCGCTCCTCGAAACATCCTGACACTGTGGTGAAGCGATTCTCCTAGAATGTAAAGTCATTATAATGTGCTTACGTTCAGGAAGTTTCCTGAGTTGTTGAAAGAGTACCAGAACAAAGACACTGACTCTAACAGATGTGGGTGGGGCATGAGTGGCCTTCAAAGTGCCTGTGAGTGGGAAGAGACTGTCCTCAGCCTGCCCCAGGGGATGTGAACAGGGAGGGAGGGAGCTCCTGACCAAGAGGGAAATTCCAGCCACAGCACAGTTCATGGGGAGCAAGGAACAGTATCCAGCTTCATAAAGCAAGACCCTGTCTCACACCGGAAAACAGGCTCAGAAGTTACCCAGCTGTTTCACTCAGGCACCTGGGGTTCTTGACTATTCACAGAAACCAGAACACCCGCATCTGCTTCATGTGATGAGGGAGCTTTTTTGAGTCTTATTACAGGGAGAGAAAGTGAGAGATGGAAAAGCACTCTTTAAGACTGTGGAAACTACTCCCTAGTTTTAAAAGGTCCTTCTCAGGCCCTTCCCTGTAATTGAATCCGTGATCCAACATGGAGAGAATTTCCTGAGTTTCACTTCCCACGAATGATGTCCGTTGCACTAGTAAACCATTAAGCCACACTCACTTCTTTTAAGCGTCTTCTGAGTCAGCGGCAGTCCCAGATGCCTGTGTGGCTGTGTTTCACACCACACGAAGGCCGTTGTCACACCTGCGCATAGATCGGTGTCATTTGGACATGTGACTCTAAATCCTTGCCTCTTTCTTCCCATCTTGATGGTCCCACTATAGGAGAAAGGCTGCCTGGGCCGGTAACTGCCGGGCATGCATGAGAGTTGATTATATAAGAAATACATTCAGGATTCTGTATGGTCATATTTCTCCCTTAATGAATCTTTCCAGTGTTTGAAGTTACTTTCATTTCTGTTATTTCCGTGAGAGGCGAGGATGTGTGTCCTGTTGTTAATTTCCAGTATCTGGGATTCTTCCCTGCCACTGTAGGACTTCAATGAGATGCCATGCCAAAGGGAATGGAATCCTTTATCCCTTTGACTACTGGCAGGACTCCTGCATTTGTCACTAAACTCCAACTCATATTATCTCCTTTCTAAAGATTTGCGTTCTTGAACTCCCCTAGAAATAGAACTGGAATTTGAGGGAAGGGAATTTCCTTTTGACATTCCTAACCCATCCACATTCTTAGATGACTAATTCTTTTTAGCCCAAATTCACTAACAATCTTTTATTTTTTTAAATTTAATTTTGGTTTCTGATGATAGATGGCAATGGCATAAAATGTCTCTGGCCTTTATTATTTTTTGTTGTTGTAAAAGCAGTAAATGTCTGACATTTTCAAGGGGAAAACTACTGCCCTTAATCCCATCTGTAGCATATGCCATTTAAGTGTTTGCTTTCTAACCCATGCCTTGGAGTTTTATATCATTTAATATGTATAAACTATTTTCATTTAGCATTATAGTATAATTATTTTTCTACGTTTGCATTTTGCCTATGTGGTATAAGCATATTAAGATCCCTTTTCCTGATGCTATGGAACTCCTTTCAACTTAAAAAAATTAAAAAGGCATTATTTGTGTCTAACATATGCCTAATGATATTTTTATTTACAATAATTGTATGTAATACTGTAATTTACATAATATAAATTATATATGATGTTATAACATGTAAATATGTATAATTTCTACTGTTCTGTAGCCACTGGTACCTGCAGGAGCTATAGGGGCAGAGGGCTTTTCCCTTTGATTCTCCAGGCAGACAATGGCTATGACACTGCATTGTCAGCAGCCACTGAGGGCCCGTGTGGTGCATGCATCTCTACTCTAAGATCTTTCTTTCTCCTGGGGAAGTTTCTTCAGACACCGGTCAGCAGCACGTGTTCACCAAGCTGCTCTTACTCAGCGTGTTGGAGAATCCAAGGCTATGTGTTCTTCCTCATCCCTGCCTCAGGGTTTGGTGGATAGAGGAGAGACCTTGTGCAGGCACAGGCAGAGAGAAATTGCTCTAAGAATCGAATGAAAACCCAGCTCTCCTCAGTTGCACTCTGCCTTTATCCATCTTAATACCCTGAATATAGACTGGCTTTCTTGTTTAGGCAACTCAGGAGTATCAAGGAAGTGTATGTGTGGCAGTGCTTTTGAATCCTCAGTGGGTCCTCCCCTATTGGAAATGAAGCTCTCCGCTATTGTAGTGGAGCCACTGGAAGGCAATCCTTTGCTAGGCATTCACGCTGCTATTTCTCAGTTTCCAGTCTCTAAGCCACTGGGTGCATGAAGGAAGTTTGCCAAAGAGTGCTGGCACCTTCACAGCAGATGGGGAAGGAGCCAAGTAGGGAGCGAGCACCCCCTTTACCTTAGCGTTTACCAAATTCAGCAGCTCTTTCCAGTTCTTACAAGTTATTTATTTAAGGTTTTGTGTTTTAACTTCTTTGAGCTTTAGTTACCCTTATCAATTGATTAAAAGTGGGATTGAGTTAGTATATAGTCTTACAGGTCTAAAAATTTTCATTCCTTTTTGTTGTATTTTTGGTGAGTTTTTTTCAAGATGAGAAACTCTTTATCAGGAAACATTTGTTTAAAGCCAGTTACATGATTATATATATTTTCTTAGCCTTGTATGTGTCACCCAGTTATGAGCTTCTTGAAAATAAGTTTCCACTTCTCCCCCGGTGCCTAAAATAAGGACTTGTACAAAGCGTGTGCTCATATTTTTTTCTTAACACCAGATTAGGAAGCAACAAATTTGTATAGATCATTTGACAGTATGTTCGGCCTGTTGTGTGGTTTGGGCAGATTTTTGGGTCTCTCTGGGACCATGGCTTACTCCTTTGGAGGATGCTAAAATCTCTTTATCTTGTCTCCTTCACATTATTGAGAACTGCAAGCAAACTCTTTTTAGCATAGTTAGGAATTCAGGAAATAAATTGATTTGTATTCTGTATTTCAAGATTCTCTACTTCCTTTTTTAAAAATTATTTTTGTTACCATTCTAATAGACATAGGAAGAATCGTGAGACAGCCAGTGAACTTTTGATGAGGTTGAAGGACAACAGGGATCTACAGAAATTCCTGCAAGATTGTCAAGAGGTATGTTACTCTTTAATCCCTCTATTCCTGTGTTCCAGTAATAGCAATTGCCAGCCAGCATTTAGCACAAGAGCCTTTTGAATTATAAAATTAATGAAACCAGAAATCCATAGCACCCATTTGACTCGCAGGCAGGGATACGTGGCACTTCATCAGTTCTCCAGCCTACAAGGTACAGCTTAATTAGATCATTATAATCTAGACTATTATATTAATAGTATAGTACTGCACTGTTCATTACAGTAGACACCAGCCACAATGTCTTTATGGTTGGTTGGCTATTTCATTTTAAATTAACTATAATTACATAAAACTAAGAGCGTGGTTCTTCCATCACTAGCTGTATTTTAAGTGCTCAGTAGCCAACTTTGACTAGTGGCTACCATGTTGGACAACACAGATATAGAACATTTCTGTCGTCAAAGGAAGTTGTATTGGATATTGATGTCCTAGAATATTGTGCAACCTAGAAGTATTTAGTGTCATGCTTTCACTCTTTAAAGCAATGTACATTTCAATGATATGGAAGGAAAGAACTAAAGGGAACTGAAACTGGCTACCAAGTAAGAAGCAGAGATTTTCAAAAGACAAATTAGTTTCTTATTCGCTTAAGACCTTCATCTATCCATCTTTCAGGCTGTTCCCATGTGTATCTAACATGCAAAGAGCAGTAATGCTGATTCCAAGCACCAAGTTTTAATGTGGCATTAATCTGATGATCATTGTACTATTTCATGCTCTTCTGATACATGCACAAACTTTGAAAACTAAAGTTGGCCAGAAAAAAGTAGTTTCTCTGCACGCTAGTTGGAGAATAGTATCTAGCTGATTTCACGTGTGAGTTCGTGAGCACACCATATTTCTCTGTCTGCCGGAGAATAACAGACTCAGCCCTCTCTGGTTTATTAAAATAAAAATCCTCAGGCAAAAATGGGGTGAGGAATATCCACAAAAAGCTGCAGGAACCTTGATGGGGCTAAGAGTATGGGGGTAGAATCAGGTCATACGCTGGGAATACAACTTCAATCATCACAGACACCCTGCATGCAAATGTGTGACTGTGCATTAAAAGAAATACGGCTCCAGTGACAGCTGCGTTAGATCACGTATGACAGAAGCAATCCTTTGCATCCGTTAAACTGCTGTCTTACTGTAAATCTTGTAATATGCTCTTGCAGCAAAACCTTAAGAAGGAAAGCCCCTAAACTATGAAGCTTAGGGTCTGTCAACTTTAAGCACCACATTGATGAATCTAGGTCTCTGGGGGATTTGCCCGGAGCCAGACAGGCTGAAGACAGGAGTGCCTCTTCTAAGTGACACGCAAGCATTAGTAACCCATTTGAGTAGGATACTCACTTACAGAGGCATTCATGTGCCAAGACAGGGCATAGAAGAGAGTAATGGGATCTAAAGTTAGCTATGTGGAGTTGCCTAGTGTGCTGCGGTAATACCAGTTGCCATTTTTCACTGGAGGGAGTAAAAGGGATGAAGAGGTGTTTGTAGCTTGGGCTGGGCCTTCCACAGATTGGTAGTCCCTGTTTCACCTTGAGAAACCATCTGTGACTCCCTGTAACCTCAGCCCATATTCCTGGGGGTAGGGGGTTCAATGGGATCCCACACTCCTGCTTTTAAAGGGCAAGTTAGTAAGATGAAATTCATTTACCTAACCATGGTAAAGCTCAGTTTAAATCTAAGAAAAAGAAGACCAGGGAGTGAGCAATGAGTGGCCAGGGGAACCCTTGAGAGAAACCTATTTGTATTTGAAATTTCCAGTCTCTTATTTTCCACTGACATATGTCGATTTCGTTAAGTAGACATGTATGGGAAAAGTAAGTAGATAAAGTTACGGTTCTTCCCGATAGAATCACAGGAAATGGTCAGTCTTAATAGGTCTTTAGATCTTTGTTTCCACTTGCTCTAAATGAGCATCCCTGGTTATGAGGAGTTCTCTCCTCCACACACACCTTGGCTGAGTTCCAGTGATTATGAGGCATGCCCAGGGGCTCTGTCTTCTGTGACTTCTCCTCAAAGGACACAGGAAAGTTTGGGTGGGGCTTTTTATGTCCAGGAGATGATTTGCAGATCTCTGTGTGACTGCTCTGCGAAATCATCCTGGTTTATCCTGTCTTCCCTTGTCCTGCCTGTCTCTCCTTGAGCCACATTAGAAGTTAGTACAGCCATAGTGTCTGTGGGAGGTGTCGGGTGTCCCACACCAGCATGTATAGTCTCTGCATGGTTGGTGGAATTTAGGTCAAGCTTGGGGGCTCTAAAACACTTGGTATAGTACTATAATCAAAAGGGTGATACAGTCATTGGCTATAAACTTTTCCATCATTCAGCCTTATTAAAATACACCCCTTTTAAGCCAGAATCTTTTGAGAATGGCGTTTGTGTGTGGACCAGCCCTACATTTGATAATCTACCTGTCATTCTGGTAGATATTTACAGAGCACTCAGAGGTCAAATTTAATACTATTACAGGATGTTGGTATTGTTCAAGGTATGGGGAATCCAGGGGTTTGTCTCTTTGTTCAGCTTCCTTCCTTGTTGGGTGCCTTGGTTAGAGAAGGTGTGGATTGTAAGATCCGCCCCTGTTACCACCCCCATAAACACCACCTAGATGAGGACAGCTATTGTACCAGCAATACAGTATGCTGGCATATACAGTATGCTGGAATGAGCAGGGACCCTCCTATTCCCAGTTACAGTGGAAAGATAGAGACCATCATCATCTTTGTAGTGGTTTTGTTTTGTTTTGTTTTGTTTGAGACAGAGTCTCACTCTGTTGCCCAGGCTGGAATACAGTGGTGGGATCTCAGCTCACTACAGCCCCCACCTCCCGGGTTCAAGCAAGTCTCCTACCTCAGCCTTCCAAGTAGCTGGGATTCCAGGCATGCGCCACCACACCCAGCTAGTTTTTGTATTTTTAGTAGAGACGAGGTTTCACCCTGTTGGACAGGCTGGTCTTGAACTCCTGGCCTCAAGTGACCCACCCGCCTTGGCCTCCCAAAGTGCTGGGATTACAGGTGTGGGCCACCACGCCTGGCCGGTAGTGTTATTTTAATGTGATATCCTGAAAAACGAATGAATGATTTTAAAGGTATTCCTTTTGTGTTGTATGTCCTCACATTACACCACCTATTCTCTGGAACTGATTTTTATTTTTCCAGGAAGGCAGTATATCTACATGTGTCTGGTACAGGGATGTGAGTTAGTCCTTTACTGTTAGCTTGATTCAACGATCAAAGCATTTTTTCCTTATCTTTTTCCAGTCTGCACAGTGTTCTTTTCTGCAGAGAATGAGTAAATTCTTAAATGACCTTTGTAAATGCCCACAAATAATAACTGTAGCTTTGGTTGCAGAGTGCTGATGAACTAGCAAGTTCCATAGATCCATTTCATTGTGCTGTATCGCATGATGCTTTATCTGTAGGATGATGTGTTCAGCAAAGAGCAGATTTGTTTATAAGCCTCTGATTTTTATGTAGCGCGCTCTCTCTCTCTCTCTTTTTAATCCCTCTTGGGTAAGTGGTTATGAATAGCGAAAATATGTGAATGTCCTTGGCACTTTGAATCAATAAATGCCTTCTGTTTTGTGTGTATGTACAGAATACTGGGAAAAATTTTGTCATTAAGTTTTACTTTAACTTCTTTTCCCCTAAGATTGAATAGCCATAGTCTTTCAGATTTTAGCTGCCCAGATAACTGGAACATAGATAATTTTTTCCAAGTAGGAAGTGCGTGCCTTTATTGTCTAATAGATCCATGGTCTTTGATGACAAAGGACTTTATGAGATTTGCTAGTTTTTCCCTCAACAAAGAGTGAAATCAAAAATCTCACTACCTTTTGCTTTTAACCCCCTCCCACCCCCGCCCCCTGCCCCATTCCCTGTGTGGTGAATAGCCTGAGAATAGGGACAGTGCCCAAGAGTTCACCCACTTTCAGAGCCAGAGGGCTCCTGTGACCCACGTCGCTCTCCTTGACATCATTTCCAAAAAACAAATCTCGGGGAGCCTTTCCTGGCAGCAGCCCACAGTGGGAGTGGAAGGGCCTTGGAAGTGTTAATTCTGTAAGTACTTCTACTGGTTTTATGTGTCACTTCTAGATCTTTGTTGGTAGAACCATGAAGGATTTAAGGTGCCAATTTGTTGTGACAATAACTGGTGTAAAAGTGGGCTTCTCACGGTCACTCAGGAGAAGGGACATGGTCCCTTCAGTTGGTTACTTCTGATTCCAGGCTGGCTCTGCATTCTTTTGTGTATCTTCAGCCTGGGCAAACAAAAAGCTCTTCCTAGGTTAGCAAAGCAAATGGGGCGGGAATCAGGACTCTGGCATGGCCCTTACAGGCAGGCAGTAATGAGCCAGGGCCGATTCGGGATGGAAGCCAGCAAAAGTGGGTCTGGGCCTGGCGTTTGGCTGACCCCGGTAAGAGAGCTCCTTTCTCAGGTCTGTCAGCGGCCAGCAGCCTTTGTGCGGCTCTCTAGAGTTCAGATCCAAGCAGACATGTTGGGTCTCAAAATCAAGTCCTGTGAAGTGTTCTTGGTGTGAATGAAAGGTTCTTTAGAGAACTAGAGGCTATAGAAAAAGAGGTGAAGGTGACTCAAACTTGAAGGAAACATTGAAAGGGCATGATTGTTGCCTTAGCCCTACAGTGAGCAAGTTATTTATGCCTTTTTGCATTCCCTTCGATGCACCCACAAAAAGGGGGAGGTAATAAATAAGTAGTTTTTTTTTTTTTTTTTTAATAAAAAGAACTAAGAGAGTAAGAAGGATTGCCAAATGGAGTAAAAGTCAATCATGATTAACATGGTATAGCTGACACAGGTATTTGGAAGAGAAAAAGAGTCATGTCTTGGAGTGGTTAGGGTAGAATTTTAAACACGGGCCTTTTGTGGGGAAAGCCAGTTATGAGTGCCAAACAGTTTGAAAACTGGCTTATAGAGCTTTTGTACTTCTGGAATGAATGTTAGATATAGTTTGGAGCAGAGCTCAGGTACAAGCTCCATCTAATGGACACCTGTCATGACGGGTCAGAGTTGTGAAGTTAAATATTTGGTTGTCTGTCACCATGGAAACGTGTGTAGTATGCATAATATGACATAAACACAACCCTTTCCAGGCGGAAAAAAGGCTGATGTCTAGGATCACAATCTCTGAATCCTTCTGATCTTTCTGTAGCTGTCTCTCTGGATCAATGAGAAGATGCTCACAGCCCAGGACATGTCTTACGATGAAGCCAGAAATCTGCACAGTAAATGGTTGAAGCATCAAGCATTTATGGCAGAACTTGCATCCAACAAAGAATGGCTTGACAAAATCGAGAAGGTGAGTTAAAACATTTGATGTGGCCATGGTGAGAAAACAAACAGGGTAGTAATAAACTCCTTTTTATTTAGCACATTTTCCAGCATATCTGATCTTATCTGTACATTTACGTAAGTTACACAGCCAGTAATAGCTCCCTTTGCACGTACGGGTTCCTGACTTCAACCCATCAAAAGGGAAAAAAGCAGAAACCCAACCAGTTAGTAGAAAATGCTTGATTTATCGTAGAACGAATACTAGGCATTTAGTTTCTGTTGTGCCTCTCATCTGCTGTTGCTGATGGACTGTGAGCTCTCATGCAGGGATTCCACTGTCTTGATCATATTATTTGTGTTGTACTGTGACAGATTGCACATAATTTTAAATATATACATATTTTTTAAAATTGCTTTTTCCTATGAGACTACTGTATACCAGGCGCTATAATAATTACTATGATGTGTTATTCTTGCACAGAGAGATTCTGGGCAGCATAACTGAAGATGAATATGGAGTCCCCCCCTTCCCCCCGACTTCTCTCCTTTTAGACTTTTTATAGTGTTTCAGATTCTTCACGGTTAAAATAATGTGTTGGCAGGGCACGGTGGCTCATGCCTGTAATCCCAGCACTTTGGGAGGCCAAGGCAGATGGATCACTGGAGGCCAGGAGTTTCAGACCAGCTTGGCCAACATGGTGAAACCCCATCTCTATGAAGCATACAAAAATAGCCAGGCCTGGTGGTATGTGCCTGTAATCGCAGCTATTGGGGAGGCTGAGGCACGAGCCCAGGAGGCAGAGGTTGCAGTGAGCTGAGATCACGCCACTGTACTTCAGCCTGGGTGATAGAACGAGACTCTGTCTCAATATAATAACAATAATAATAATAATAATAATAATAATAATGTGTTGTATATCATCTTTGGTCATGGAATGGAGGAGATAAAGTCACGTTATTAGCATTCAGTATTCCGTTGCCCCAGTTGAGACTATTTCAGCATGTAACATTTATTGCTTAATTCCCATGAAACCCTTGTAATGTACACAACCTAGGGGTCGTTGTTGATTTTATTGAGCAGTAACTTCATGTGGAAAGACTGTGTGTATTGAGTGAATGGTTAAATCACAGATCAAATGTCCTAGGTTTGTTTTTCACAGTGACATTTTTTCTGTAGCAAACTTGTTTATTTACAACCATGTTGGTTTTGTTTTCCAGGAAGGAATGCAGCTCATTTCAGAAAAGCCTGAGACGGAAGCTGTGGTGAAGGAGAAACTCACTGGTTTACATAAAATGTGGGAAGTCCTTGAATCCACTACCCAGACAAAGGCCCAGCGGCTCTTTGATGCAAACAAGGCCGAACTTTTCACCCAGAGCTGTGCAGATCTAGACAAATGGCTGCACGGCCTGGAGAGTCAGATTCAGTCTGATGACTATGGCAAAGACCTGACCAGTGTCAATATCCTGCTGAAAAAGCAACAGGCAAGTGGACAAGCCATCATGGACTTGGGTGTATTTCTGTTTTACAGCCATAGTCCTTAGAGTCTTTTCTCACCCACTGCATTATCAGGAGTCCACCTTCCATGGGAAGGCATTTTTAACCCAAAATATTACTTGCTCTAACAGCATCGTAGAACATTTCCAGAATAGAAAGACACTTGTCCAAACTAGAAAGACACAGTATTAGGAGTATTGGGTGTTGGCTGTCTGTGTATGGGATTGATAATTTTCTTAGTTAATGGGTATTATCACCGTTTAACAGTTAAATAAATGTTCATCTCATTCAATTCTGCATTTTACACGAAAGAAATATTCTCATACTTTGTTGTTTAACATCGTGATTTGTGACAGTTATCTGAGTTGTTCAAGGCACTTTATAGGTAATAAAAATAACTGTTTATATTATATCACCGTAGAGGGCTTTAAGGGCAAATGAATTTACCTCAGATTTACTTGAAAACAGTTCCATTGATGTTGAAAAGCAAGTCAGTGGCAAAATGTTTGAGTGGCTCCCATGGCTGGCTTTGCGGTGTGGCCAAGTCCCAGGCCCAGCAGTTCTGCTTAGAGCCAGTCACTGCAAAAGATAGTCTGTGCTGAGCGCTGAGGCTGCTTCTCTGCCCTCAGATGCTGGAGAATCAGATGGAAGTGCGGAAGAAGGAGATCGAAGAGCTCCAAAGCCAAGCCCAGGCCCTGAGTCAGGAAGGGAAGAGCACCGACGAGGTAGACAGCAAGCGCCTCACCGTGCAGACCAAGTTCATGGAGTTGCTGGAGCCCTTGAACGAGAGGAAGCATAACCTGCTGGCCTCCAAAGAGATCCATCAGTTCAACAGGGATGTGGAGGACGAGATCGTGAGTCGACCCCTACTGCACACATGGCTTTTCCACGAGCCCCCTTGCCTGTGCTAAAGCCCACATTCTCACTTCTCAGTCATCCTCACCTTGGGCCACGTTGGCAAGCTGAGCTGCCAAAGTCCACGCTCTGGATGGTCTAAAGTTTCTTTCCCTTTTCACCCTAAATGTAACTCCATTGGTCCTCTCACGTTATCTAGGGATACTGTAGGATTTTAATGGCCCTAAAACAGACTTTTTAAAAGTAATGAGGACTCACAGTGAGTTTGACCTTGAGGATGAGGTAGAGTTGGAAAGACTCTCCCTAGCCCTGTCTCGGAGAACAAGGGCGTGCTTCCCCAGACAGCCCTCCCGAGGGGGCTGAGCACTCTCTGAAGCTCACCCTTGCTGTCCCTCACTGCCCCTCACTGCTCGTTTGTGTCGTATATTTGTTCCTCTGAGTGGATCTGACCACTTATTTAAAATTCTTCCCAGTTGTGGGTTGGAGAGAGGATGCCTTTGGCAACTTCCACGGATCATGGCCACAACCTCCAGACTGTGCAGCTGTTAATAAAGAAAAATCAGGTAAGCCTTTCTGCTCGAGCTAGTTCTGTCTGATAAATAATTGCTCTAAATTATGAGACTGGGAATGGCAGAGAGCTTTGAAGCCTTGCTATTTCTTTCTGGCCCTAACAGCTTGACATAAGCAGCAGACGGCTGCCATTTAGCAAGCCTTTGTGTGTATTTTCCGCTCCCTCCAGACCCTCCAGAAAGAAATCCAGGGGCACCAGCCTCGCATTGACGACATCTTTGAGAGGAGCCAAAACATCGTCACTGACAGCAGCAGCCTCAGCGCTGAGGCCATCAGACAGAGGCTTGCCGACCTGAAGCAGCTGTGGGGTCTCCTCATTGAGGAGACAGAGAAACGCCACAGGCGGCTGGAGGAGGCGCACAGGGCCCAGCAGTACTACTTTGACGCTGCTGAGGCCGAAGCCTGGATGAGCGAGCAGGAGCTGTACATGATGTCAGAGGAGAAGGCCAAGGTGAGAGGAGGCGGGAAGCATCCCTGTCCCAGGAGAGCCTCAGATTCAAACCCTGGGCACACTTTCTGCTGGCGGCTCTGTCTGTATAAAAACTTCCCTTGTAGCCTTTGAGTGTTAAGGGGACACCATGTGCATGAAGGTGTCTGAAATCCAGCTGCTGGTTTCCCTTTGGTGCAGCATTTTCTTATCTGAATCCTAGTGTGCCATTAAGAACAGGTTCATCCTTTCATCTTTGAAATATGCCAGAGTCCTTCCTGCTGTCTATTTATAGGTTCCCTAAACTTTACAAAATACAGGATGGCTTGGAGACAATTTGAAAGTATTGCAAGGTTCCAGGAATGCTGCCATTTACATACTTGAGGGACCTTGAGGAATTCCAGCGAACCAGGCACACTTGGTCTGCCCAAGCTTTTCTCTGAGAGGGGCCCTGCTCATTCTGCGTTCTCCTTGTGTTTATCTTCTGCACAGGCTTCTGTGGTCCAGTCCATATGGAAGCTCTTGGAACACTTCTGTGTTCCACTGTCCGTACTGCACCTCTGGAGTTTTTCTTTCTACTGATCCTTCCTCCTACCCTGCTGAGCAGCTGGTCTGTCACTCCTTAAGGGGTAGGGCCAGAGGGGACCGCTATGGTTGTGATGTTCTCCTGTCTTTGCAGGATGAGCAGAGTGCTGTCTCCATGTTGAAGAAGCACCAGATCTTAGAACAAGCTGTGGAGGACTATGCAGAGACCGTGCATCAGCTCTCCAAGACCAGCCGGGCCCTGGTGGCCGACAGCCATCCTGAAAGGTGAGCGCTGCTTCATGAGTGTGAGACCCGGCTCTCGATTCCTCTCAGTTAGGGTCTCTTGCTAACCCCCACCAAAAGAAAATGTCAGCATTCATCATGACTTGCTGGTAAGGCAAATCTTTGAGAAGCATTTTTAAAACAGACCCATCATTTAAAACATCCTATCATGATTAGGATGGGTGAACTGTTATATTAGGAAATTGCTCTTGTGGGTTAAATATCTCCCGTTGGCCAAGGCTCTCCTGAAAGAATATTGGTGTCGTGAGTCAAAAGTACAGGTTGACTAGGCTGGGCAGTCAACGTAAAGTGGCTTACACTTGTAATCCCAGCACTTTACCAAGCCAAGGTGGGAGGATTGCTTGAGCCCAGGGGGCCAAAGACCAATCTCGGCAATGTGGCGAAACCTCATCTCTACAAAAAATACAAAAAATCAGCTGGGTGTGGTGGCACACGTCTGTACTACTCAGCTATTCAAGAGGCTGAGGTTGGGAGGATGGTTTGAGTCCAGGAGTTTGAGTCTACAGTGAACCATGTTCACACTGCTGCACTCCAGCCTGGGTGACAGAGTGAGACCTTGTCTCAAAAAAATAAAAATGATCAGAAGTACAGGTTGACTTGCATGGTGGATACAGATAGTCATAGCACTTACACTTGGGTTGAAAAAGTCATCCAGTTTAGTAAAGTAATTACTAGTTTTAAGAGGAGCATTAGACAAGAATGCATAGACCTGTAAAATGAAGGGGCTCCCAGGAAGAACAAAGTGATAACACCTCCTAACTCTTCGATATCAAGTGATTAGAACACCTTCGAGGAAAAAGAAGAGGTGAGTGTGTGGTACTCATCAGGCCCCTGTATTAACTTCCAAAGCAGTCATTTTAGGATTTTTGTGTAAATGCCTTTTATGACTTGGAAAGGAATTGGCCTTGTGCATTTAACCAGGGCAGGTTAGGGGAGATGAGGTCAGTGGCTCTGTTGGTGTAGGAGGTTCTTAAGATGTTCATGATCAGGATTCCCAGGAAAGTGGCCTTCCTAGTCTCCAGGGATAGGCACCAACATGTCCTTTGTCTCTGATATTCTGGTTTGTAGACCATCACTCTGGGGAGAAGTTGGAGGGAGGGGGATTCAGTCTCCTGACTGCGCACCTGGGAATCATGAGATGGAGCAGCCGGTCCAGCCCTCCTAACAAGGATGGGCACTCTGCCCAGAGAAGGTAGAGGGCCTTGCGTGCCACACTGGCTGTGTCATTTGTCCCTCTGGCAGCATGGTACCAGAGAATGCAAGACCACTCTGGATTTTGCATTAACTTATTTTCTCTTTTGTCACCTTCCTGACTGGGAAGATTTTGCATTAACTTTTAACATCAAAGGAAATCCTGATTTGCAGAGCCAGAGGTGCAGAGAGAATTTTCCCCTTTCCCCGCTAAATTCTCCTGCCCCCACTATTCACTGCAGCAGAATGAGGCACTACCCATCCCTAGTGTAATAGTAGGGATAGGTGAATGTAGTTTACATATTGGCTCTTTTGTTTACATATTGGCTCTTCACGACTTCAAATTGTGGCCAATTTCAGAATTTTATTTTTCATGCTAAGTGGGTTAACCAGAGTTTCCTTTGAGAAATATGATGTAATATGCTCTCCCATTATCTCCACCTCATTTGTTTTTCCCCTGAAGAAACTTGACATTTAAGATCCTTTTTCTCCCCATTGCTCCTTTTCTTTTTCAGTGAGCGCATTAGCATGCGGCAGTCCAAAGTGGATAAACTGTACGCTGGTCTGAAAGACCTTGCTGAAGAGAGAAGAGGCAAGCTGGATGAGAGACACAGGTTATTCCAGCTCAACCGGGAGGTGGACGACCTGGAGCAGTGGATCGCTGAGAGGGAGGTGGTCGCAGGGTCCCATGAACTGGGACAGGACTATGAGCATGTCACGGCAAGTACTTGAGGCAGTGCATGAGTTGGTTGTGCAGTAAGCGATGGTGTGGAAGGCCATTTGCATTCCTTGTCTGTGAGCAGATAAAATGCCCTGGACTCCAATCAGAGGTCTTGGGGTTTAGTTTTAAGGTGGTGTTTCTTTTATAAGCTGGTGACTCGCATTTAGGTTGGCTAACCTCTCTGTGCACCCCTTCCTCCGGTAGTAAAAGGAGGTGGAGGTAGTGCCTCACTCTGCTGCAGTGAGCAAGAAAGGAAACCCAGTTGCTAAGAGGTTCTCGAGCTAAGATCTATTGTTCTGAAGTCATGAGTATTATTGGCTACATCTTGCTTAGAGGCAGTTTCTTTCCAAAGGGTATTCATGTGATCAAGAAATACAGAGTTCACAGTGGGCTCTCTGATTTCCTTACCCATCCCCGTTTCAGATGTTACAAGAACGATTCCGGGAGTTTGCCCGAGACACCGGGAACATTGGGCAGGAGCGCGTGGACACGGTCAATCACCTGGCAGATGAGCTCATCAACTCTGGACATTCAGATGCCGCCACCATCGCTGAATGGAAGGATGGCCTCAATGAAGCCTGGGCCGACCTCCTGGAGCTCATTGACACAAGAACACAGATTCTTGCCGCTTCCTATGAACTGCACAAGTTTTACCACGATGCCAAGGAGATCTTTGGGCGTATACAGGACAAACACAAGAAACTCCCTGAGGAGCTTGGGAGAGATCAGAACACAGTGGAGACCTTACAGAGAATGCACACTACATTTGAGCATGACATCCAGGCTCTGGGCACACAGGTGGGTATGGCAGCCACCCAGGGGTGCTGGGGAGGCTTTTTCTCCATAGAACATCTTTGGGCATCTGTAAGTATCTCCCTGTTCCTTGGCTCTTCAAAAGAATTGCCCCAATTAAGCACATACATGTACCCACTTTGTAATAGTGCTCCATTTGGGAGAACTTATCAGTCCATAAAGGTCTACGTTTGCCACATTTGTGAACATTAGATGAGTGCCCCCATGATTAAAATAAATAAACCAGATGCATACACAGATGTTTGCAAGTTATAGGCCTCAGCAAGTGTTTTTATTATGTTAGCATATCCATCCAGAACAATTTCCAAAATAATATTTTACTATTTTTCATCAACCAGGTTCTAAGTTGTATGTCTGGAAAAAGAAAAAAACAGGATTCTGACATTTTATCATGCCTCGTCCCCAGTATGAAATGACTGGCACTAAGACTTTGTTTAAAAGATGTTTGACAAAGTAGTAACAATATAACAGAATCTAGTGTAATCACTCTCTAGTTTCCTTTCTGATCTCTGCACAGTTTCTTGTTTAGTCTTATGCCTTTTAGTTGAAAAACAAATTGTATTTTTTTTCTTCTAAGTTTCATGGCCCTAGAGAAGAAGCCAATTTTATTAAAGATGTTATCCCTGATTATGTCAAGGGTTCTTGTTGTTAAGAGTATATTGAGTATCTAAGTTATCTCAGCTTTTTCTGTTAAAGGCCAAATAGTGTTTTTCGCTTTATGAGATACATACTCTGTTGCAGCTCTGCCCTCTGTCATTGTAGAATAAAGCAGCCATAGACAGTGAGAAGATGAATGAGCGTAGCTGTGTTCCAATAAATCTTTATTTACAGAAACAGGCCACCCAGATATGGCCTTGGGCTGACCCAGTCTAGTGCCTCAGCCTCTAAATAGCTTTGGTATACTTTGGGATTTGTTCTATGAAGGGACCACCTTGATAGTTGTTCTCTCTCACTTCCCCTTAATTCTTAATTCCTGTCACTATGATGGCAAGTTTAATTTACCTCTCTAAGCTTTGGTTCCCTAATAGTTTAAGGATTGAGGTGCAAAACATATGACATAGTGAGATCTCTAGAAATGTTTTCTAATTATTATTATATAACAAAAGTTTAGGGAAACATGGGATATCTAGAGATAGAATTAGAAAACACCTTGACAACATAGGTCTTTCCTCTGCACCTCTAAAATCATTTACTTTTAGAACTGCAAGACACTTGAGAGACAGTGGAGTTGCTCTCTCATTTTTTCATTAAATCCCTTCACCTCATTAGACTTAGAGATGAGGAAGCCAAAGAAGGGTCTCGGAACATCCAGGGTGGGAATCTCGTCCCTCGAGTCTGATAGTCTGCACCTCACCATACCCACTGGGCTATGATGTTATAGCAGTGAAAAGGATGTGTGTCCTACTGCAGGTATTGACCTGATCTGGGTTTCTTTTCACAGAATAACAGAGCAAAAGGGAAGGCTCATGGTGCAGGCTCCCAGGAGTACATGGTGCTTCTTCTTTGGTTGTTTCCTTTTGTGCCAACTTGAAGTGCCACTGTCTCCATTCTGCACGGGAGCTGTGGGAATGACACATAGCACTGATGGAGGTCTTGAGTGGTTATGCAAAGCAATAGTTCATATTTGTGGAAATTTTCACTTTTGCTGTCCTCTTGTACCTTACATTTTATTGCGAGCAAATTGAAAACAGCCAGAGACACAGAAACAGGTGTTTTGAAAAATATGGTTCATTGTGTAGGAAAATTAGCTTTTCAGATAATTTCCTAGGAATTTGCTCATTGTAATTTGAGTTAAACCTGAGCCATAATCAAAGAATATTTCCAAAAATCCTTTAGGATATGGAAATCAAATCACACTGGAAACCAAAGCCTGTTGGTTCTTCTTTGTATCTTTTGCAGAAACTGCTTTTTTTCTTTTTTAACCTGTTATCACCTAAAGTGCTTCTGTGCAATCAGGGGTCAGTAATCCACCTCCCCACAAGCCCTACTGCTGTCCGTACCCCCCCGCCTTTTACCCCACTTAGCATTTCTCCATATTCTACTCTCATAGACATCTAAAAGCTCTCATAATCCAGGACAGTTGTCTGCGGACTTCTTTGATCACGCAGCTTTATCAGTACGTGATGATTGTGTGTCCATTCCCCTATATGTGTATGCCTTTAATTAGACATTGTACACAAGTATGGCACTACTGATGTTACATACTTTATATAAGGCATGTAAGAGGAGAAAATTTAACTATAAAATTAGCTGCAGTTATTAGCTTCAGTTTTAAAGACATATACCGTTCCCCAAAAAAAAGGTAAGAATGTAATCTTATTTTTGTTTTTACAGAAGAAAAATATTATGCACGTTGTCTTCCACTTCATTGTCATCTTGGTGTGCTTTTCATGTGACTACACAGAGGCCCTTCCTCATTCTTTTTCATGGCTGCACAGGAGTCTCCTGCTGGATGCACCATCATTAATTTAACCAGTCCTTCACTGATAGTCACTTTATTTTCAGTCTTTTGCTTTTACAGACACTGCTGCAGTAAATAATCTATGCATATTTCGTATCCTAAATATGCAAGAATGTATATGTAGGATCAATTCCCCAAAGTAGGATCATAAAATCAGAAGGTACCACATTTATAATTTTCATGGGTACTGCCCATTTACCTTCTGTAGGAGCTGTAGTCTGTTACACTCCTGTCTACAGAGAATGAGCTCACTGACAAATATATCATCACACTTGGATTTTTGCCAACTAATAGATGACACATTACAGTATCTCCATGAAGCATCTTTTCATGTTTAAGACCCATTTGCATTTCCTGCTTTCTGAATGTTTTCTTCATGCCAGTTTCTGTGTTGGTTTGTTGGTTTTTTTCTTTTCTTTCTTTCTTTCTTTCTTTCTTTTATTTATGACTGTCATAGCTGAAAAAGATAACTCAACCAAAATATGTAGATGTAAGTAGAAGTGTACCATTGGCTCCATTTACCAAATCACAATTCTCAATGTATATTTTTAGTTTTGCAAGGTTTTTGTTGAAATTTGGCTATTTCAAGTTTCACCTTCTTTAACGTTAATTAGTTATTTTAACCACATAGGGTGCCACGTTTTTATACTTTTTGAGTGTAAATGTCCCACGGTGAGAACTCTTACAGGCGATACATACATTGTATTCACATAGCAATGAGAAGTCATTTTCAAAATGTGCTCTTCATGGCAGTTTCCCATTCATCATAAAAACATTTATCTTTACCCCGAGATAGCAGATTAGGTATTTATTTTTTGGACTGTATCTGAATATGTCCCACTCAGATATCCCAGGCTGCCTCCAGGGGACTTTCCCTGACTAAACTCTCCTGCCTGTCTTCCTGTAGCATTTCATTTGTTTTATCATTCATAAAGAACTTAATAATGTAGTTGAACAGATTTATAGAAAACGGGTTTTTGTGACTTGGATCTCCCCAGTGAAATTGAGGGCTCCTTAAGGGGCATGGGCCATATTTTGACTCTGTGCTCCCTTTAGTGTATGAGCAGAACAGAATAGGGCTTGGGGTGATGGTGGGAAGGCCGCCATGGGCTGACCTGGCTCATCCCCTACATGGCTTCACAGGTGAGGCAGCTGCAGGAGGATGCAGCCCGCCTCCAGGCGGCCTATGCGGGTGACAAGGCCGACGATATCCAGAAGCGCGAGAACGAGGTCCTGGAAGCCTGGAAGTCCCTCCTGGACGCCTGTGAGAGCCGCAGGGTGCGGCTGGTGGACACAGGGGACAAGTTCCGCTTCTTCAGCATGGTGCGCGACCTCATGCTCTGGATGGAGGATGTCATCCGGCAGATCGAGGCCCAGGAGAAGCCAAGGTAACGCTTTCAGCCCAAAGGAAATTGGACTTATTGGCGCTTGGTTAAAACACAGGAGTCTTCCAGAGAGAAGCAGGAGCCTTGAAAGCGTTCCTGCCTGAGCGCTTCAAGGCCAGAGTGGGGGTGGGGCGGTGCTTGGAGTGCGGCACCACTGCTTGCCTCGTGCACTTGGCTCGTGCACACCATCACCAGGGAATGTGGGAGCCTGGGGTTATCAAAGCCTGTCCCATTCTCCCTACTCCTGGCTCCCTTGACCCACAGTCACTCAGGCCCTCTTGCCCACATATGTGCTTGAAGTAGGACCTTGGGCTTCAAGTAGCCACGTACCTTGGACATGACTAACTGCCCCGTCTTTGCAATGAGATGACTTTTCTGAGTTATTTTTCTGTGCCTGCTTTTTGGATTAAAGACCACTCTATCCCTTTCCATGCACATTACTAAAGGTGTCACCCTCAACATCTGCTTTAATATGGTGTCCTTGGGTTATTATTTAATATTTGTCCTATATCTTTGGCTTTGTTTCATGCAAATTAGTGAAGAGAAGTTAATAGAGGAACACACAGGTACATATTTAACCTCCAGTTCACCCCTCTGCCAGCTCCAGCCCCCACTGTAATTGAGAAACTATGCTGCAATAAAAGGGATTTTTTATGATATATATTTTTTTGAAGCAGTTGTATTTCCTGGATCAGGATCAGTAGGTTTTGATCCATGCTGGTCACTGCTGTCTAGGCTAGTTCCCATCCTGTGTATCTTTTTGTGTCTGAATAAGGAGACCGTATTAGCTGCTCTTTGATATGGCCATCCTGAATCTTTGACAGCTAACTCATCAAGGTGCGATTGCGGCACCTCTTGCTGCTTCTCTACTTTCTAGAAGAGAGTCTTTCTGACTTGCATTTCAAAGTAAAAGTTTGAACAGAAAACCATTGCTTTTTCTGGCACCCACCTAGCAACCATTTTGAATTATTCAGGCACACACACAAAAACAAAAGCAGCCATATTCTACAGTTTGGTTACCTGGCTGGTACTGAACTGTGCTGTCACTGTGCTTTGGCTCCAGTGGCCCAGCCTAAGCTCAGGGAGTGATTCAGACCTGAAAGACCATCAGTTTCTTTCAAGGCCATCAGTTTCTTTCAAATTAATTGTGTGTTTTAAAACCTACACATTTTTTGAAAAGCTTGATCTCCTAACGGAGGCATCGTTTGTCTAATTTTAGGGATGTATCATCTGTTGAACTCTTAATGAATAATCATCAAGGCATCAAAGCTGAAATTGATGCACGTAATGACAGTTTCACAACCTGCATTGAACTTGGGAAATCCCTGTTGGCGAGAAAACACTATGCATCTGAGGAGGTAGGTTGCTACTTTGCTTTGGAGCTGCAGCTGGCGTCAAGATGTAAAATGACTTTGTTTTATATGTTTGTGTGTGTCAGAGATACTGTGTTTACATTCTTATACACACACACATATGTTTTAAAACTCCTTTCCTGTGCGTCTAGAATAATGCAATTATGCAAGACTCTAGGCCCAGGCTGGTAAATCTCTGGCACAGAAGACAATTTTTGAGGGCTACAAAATGGACTCCGCATCCTCCCCAATCAGTACTCTTTCTAGGTGACGCCAATGTCCATTGACTATGCCCTAGATCAGTTTGCTGTTGAGTGCATGGTTGGTGATTCTGGTTAGGATGGTGGTAATAAAGAGGTAAATTATTAGGTGCGTGTGTGGCCCCCTGCATGGGAATGGGCATCCTCTCCAAGAGGTCAGGGCTTTGTCCGTCTTGCTGTCCCTCTCCTGAACGTGTTTGCCGCAGGGAGCCTCCTCACGACAAAACAGCTTTGGCAGGGCTTCCGCGCCTTCCTCCAGCCCCTTCTGGAAGGAGCAGTGCTATGCTTTTCTTTCCTCTCCCAGTCCTCAGACAGACTGAGCAGTCCTTAGATATCTCCCAGCTTAATGGTGGTCTTTGCAGAAAATGTATTTTTCTAGTATAAAATGACCCCATCAAGAGGATGTGGTGCATTCCATTAAGATGTCCCGGGGATCCTCTTTTTCATACAGATCAAGGAAAAATTACTGCAGTTGACGGAAAAGAGGAAAGAAATGATCGACAAGTGGGAAGACCGATGGGAATGGTTAAGACTGAGTAAGGATGTAGTTTATCTTTCTGCTCTTTTGGGTATCAATGGAAAACATGCACGTTTATTTTCTTGCTTTAATTCATTAATGTTATCATTTAAAGATTGTTCGAGTTGTAGATGCCTTTTTAGTGCCCCGTTTCACCATTTCATGGTAAATACTACTTTTAAGAAGCTTCCTATGGCGTAGTCATTTTTCACCTCTTGATTGATCTCAGTGTCATAGGTGGGATTTGGATGTTCTTTAGGGATGACAGAGGGCACCTCCCTGGGAGAATACAGATAGAAGCCCTCTCCCCCATTTGTCTTCAAGAATTCTTACTACAGAATCAAGTTGGAAAGTTGATCTCATTAAGTCATATTTGGTGCTCTTAGTGGAATGTTGATAACATAATAAAAACTAACATCTATTAAAATTTTGCTGTGAATGAGGCATTGTTCTAAGTGGTTTTTTAATGTATTTCTGTGTTTATTCCCCAAAGTGACCCTGTGAATTAGATTCTATTTTTAATTCTCATTTTATAAGGGAATATGTGAGCTAATACAGGGTTTATAATGTACAGTATTAGGAATAGCATTTCATAATTGGTATGAGCACTAACAGCGCAATTCTAGCATTGCTTACCATGCTTTGCCATTCTCTGTTGGAGTTCTGGGCTCTGTCCTTATGTTCTAACTCCATCTATGCATGTTATGGGGGTTTACTAGAAACCAAATGCAAGGGCCTTTTCTGAGAGGTTTGACGGCACACTCTGTTGGGCCCAGAGCCCTCAGAAATCCCACTTTTTGACCATTCTTTGCAGGAGGATTTGGTCTGTATGTTTTGAGAATTGTGGGGCAGTTTCATTCAGCTCAGCAAAACCCACATTACACACTGAACCGGGCACCAGCTTGTACACCAGGGACACAGTGATATGCACAGTCCCTGCCTTGAAAAGCCAGTAAGTCCCTAGTGCAGAGGTGGCATCTTCTTCATGTAGTCATGTTGGGGGCTACCGAGGTGCTGAAAGCAGATAGCTAGCCAGCTCCTTGGGACACCAACGCTGCCCACAGTCCATTTTTTACCTCAATGATCCCAGGCTTTGCTGCATGAAATGAAGTGAAAATCAGTGTTAACTATAGCAGAAAGCCTGGTTCTAACCTACCTTCTCATAACTATGTTGGAACTAGTGTTCCATTTCCTCACAGGTGGAAGAACAGAATGAAACAGAGCAAAAGCCTTGGTCCCCACCATCTGTAGTGTTCCCATATCCTTCCCTCCCTCTAAACCCCCCAAAATAAAACACACAACTACCGCCCAAAAGAGGGCGAGTTAAGAATGCCTGCCCATCTGGCTACGTGTAGATTGTGAATTCCTGCAGGTCTCTGAAGGCTTAGCTCATGAAGTGGGGCCGAGTGAACAGAGCGTTCACTGTAGACCTGCGCTGAGCAGTATGATAGCTGCTTTCCCACGTGTGGCTCTTGAGAACTTGAAATGTCTCAAATTGAGATGGGCAGTGAATGTGTGCCGTAAAATGCACATCAGATTTAGATTTAGAAGAAAAAAGATTGTAACAGATCTCAATAGTTTTTTTCATATTGATTACATGTTGTAATAATTTTATACATATTATGTGAAATACACTATTAAAGTTAATTTCACCTATTTATTTTTACTCTTTTTAATGTGGCTACTGGAAAAGTCAAAGTTGCAAGTGTGGCTCACATTACATTTACATTGGACAGGGCTAATTTAGAGTAGACGATAGACTGGTTATGCAGGTAGCCATCACCAGAGGGCAGCAGTGCCAAGAGGTAAGGCCATATGACTGCCCGGCACCTCCTGGTCAACGTGTACTAACTCATGGTACCCTGTGCAGTTCTGGAGGTCCATCAGTTCTCAAGAGACGCCAGTGTGGCCGAGGCCTGGCTGCTTGGACAGGAGCCGTACCTATCCAGCCGAGAGATAGGCCAGAGCGTGGACGAGGTGGAGAAGCTCATCAAGCGCCACGAGGCATTTGAAAAGTCTGCAGCAACCTGGGATGAGAGGTTCTCTGCCCTGGAAAGGCTGACTACAGTAAGTGGCCGCTGGGCCCTTTGTCTGTTGGTGCCCTGGGCAGCCTTTTCTTCCTGCTTGCCTCTTAGACCAGGGAATTCACACGATTGCTTGTTTTTGTTTTTTGGGTTTTTTTCAAGTAGTGAAGATCATCTTAAAATGGGTGGCTCCTGTGGAGCAGGACCTAGGGAGAGGGTCAGGACTGTTACCTCCTCAGTCACATCCTGGGCACCTGGATTTATGATCCCTTATAGTAGCTTCCTGCCTGGGGGTTGATTGGTGGTGTTTGCTTTTTTCTTCGAATCTTTCATTCTCCCCTATCTCATAAAAGCTTTGTTCTCAAGGGGGCATGGCCTCAAAATTTTCTTCAGAATTTCAGAATTAGAATTCCCATCAAATGGAAGCTTAATCCTAGCCTGTTGTTAAGTCCCCAGTCCTGATCCCCTCTTCTGTCAACATAAAGGCCTTAGAATAGGATTTGTGCACTGGTGTTTCCTCTCCCAAGACTTTTGCATTCCTGGTAGAAAGCTGATCCTTTGCAGTGTACAAAAATGGTGTTTCTGGTTTCCAGTTCTGGGTGTTTAAAATGTACCTGCATACATTTGTGTTAAAACAGAGTACTTCTGGTACATCCATATGACTCATGAAATGGCTTTGTTTCAGTTAGACTATTCTGTGGCTTTTTAATGTGTTGTTTGGGTTTTGGCTGAACACAGATCCCCACCACAGCACAAGCGGCTTCCTTGAGAATTATTGCAGCTCTGTCCCTGGTGTTTGTCTGAGCTCTCCTGGGGAGTCCAGCATGAACCCTCAGGCTCAGGTACTTTTCTCCTCAGCAGAGTTGAGAGTTGCATAGTTACTTTAGAAATTAAACCCAAGCTCCCAGGGGTCCTACAAACAACTCACAGGAATTTTGCCAGCCCATGGAATAGACTATTTCCTGTAGTTTTAGGTTGTAGCTGCAGTTCCTGTGAACCTAATTCCATTTGGCTCAGGATGTTAGAGCTTCTTGTCCAGTGTGGTCCAGTTTAGCAAACTAGACAGGAGGACTTCCTGGGTTCCTAGAACCTTTTTCTGAAAAGAGGCAGAGTTTGGGACTCTACCAAACATCACTCTATTTTCTCTTAGTTGGAGTTACTGGAAGTGCGCAGACAGCAAGAGGAAGAGGAGAGGAAGAGGCGGCCGCCTTCTCCCGAGCCGAGCACGAAGGTTTCAGAGGAAGCCGAGTCCCAGCAGCAGTGGTGAGTCCCAGCAGCTCCAGAGGCTGGACCCTTAGCCTCGGTGGCCAATGAGGTTTATGGGGCATCTTTCTGAAGCCTTGCATTGCTAGGCCTAACCACATGCCCTGCCTACTGATTGCTTCCATAGACTGTTTAAAGGCTGTACAGTTATCCCTAAATAACCTTGGAGGGCACTGATTTGTCCACAGTCACATAGGTATGTAGGTGGCAGAAGTAGAATGTAGACAGTGCCCTTTCTCATCCTGTGTGCACACACACAGGATGCTCAGAACTTCCATATGATTAAATGCATGGAGTGAACTGCCCAGATTTTAGGCCAGTGATTTTGTGGTGATGCGTTTTTTGAGAGTTCTAAGTAACTTCACACAGAGGGCAGCAATTATTCTCTACTTCCAAAGGGCTAATTATTTTGCTATGGTAAGAGTTCCATGGCAACCTCTAATGCTGCCTTTATGTGGTGGAGCGGGGCATAGGGCATTCCTGTAGTCGTATTTTTCTGTCTAGAGTCTATTTAAAACACTTGGAAGTTTCAGATTTAAAAAGAATTAAATTATGTGAAAAGGTTGCACGTAATAAAATTGAGTGATGATGTTCTCCCACCCTTTCTTACTGTTTCCTCTTTCTCCTCTTCTTCCTTTCCCTTCCTCCTTTTCCCCTCTTCCCTAACAGGGATACTTCAAAAGGAGAACAAGTTTCCCAAAACGGTTTGCCAGCTGAACAGGGATCTCCACGGGTTAGTTACCGCTCTCAAACCTACCAAAACTACAAAAACTTTAATAGCAGACGGACAGCCAGTGACCAGCCATGGTCTGGACTGTGAAGTTCACTACCATTTGTCAAGAATCACCCTTTCCAAATCCTCTGGGTTTTGACTTTTTGGCTTCCACTTCACCCAAAATGTTAAAATTTTTACTTAATTCATAGCCTTCCTTGGTTTCATATTTGTTTGCATTTAATTCATGTTTGAGTCTCTTAACTGATGGATGCCCACTTGCCTTAAAGCAGCATACTTATTTTTTGTTTATTTATTGTGAGCTTTTTACTTTATTAAGATTTTACAGCGAAACCCTTACATGAGTAATTGAAATGAAATTAAATGAGATTACAGCATAATGAAGAAGAAAACTAGAATCTAACAGGTATGACACATTCAGTTATTCTAACAGGGCACAGTACTGTGCTATATGTAGCCGCCTTTACAGATGTTATTAACCTATAGTAGTTTACTATTAACTAGGAAGACTGGTGTATGAGGAGGGAGACATTCTGTAATAAGATTAAAACCTAAAGTCAGCTGTGTAACATTCCATGAAAGATGCATTCATTTATTGAAGATGACAAAAAAGGGAGTCAGATATATTCTGGAAGCTATTTTAATTTTAGGCACACAATCTCATACATTTTGAGACCCTTGGGTCATTTATTACTTTTTACAAACTAGTTCCTCTCTTTTTTTCTGCCAAGTCCTGAATTGAAAACTGTAGGCTTCCTTGCACAGATGTTGCAGCCAGCCTCAGGAGTAAAGTGCCCGCTGACTGCTGCCGCCACCTCTGTCTCGCTCCCTGTCAGTGCTGCTGGCACGTGGGACGCGGCAGGTGACAGCCGTTCTCAGCATGTTTTAGAAGCTTGCCTCACAGACTTCCATGCCTCTCCATTCAGCCGATGACTTCAGGGTGTCAAACTGTTTTAATTTTTCAAACAAATGGAACAGAAGCCATTGTGGTTCATCCTGATTACTTGAACGTTGCACTTGGTGGACCGTGCCTGGGAGCGCTCGCATGCCCCCTGGCTTCAGAAGTCATGTCAGTGTCTCTGTAGACAAACTCCACTGTACATCTTGGATTAATCTTCTGATTCATTGTTCATTTTCTCAAGACTTTTTGTGGAATTCTCTGATAAAGGAAGCTTTTAGGATGGTATCTATCAGGCCACCAGCAGGAATTGAAAATGTTTTCACAAAAATCCTTTTCCTTAGAAATAAAAGCTGGTGACAGAGATGGTTTCCTTGTACCGATAAAAACAAAACCAAATCCATATTATACATCAAAACCTTGTGAGACATTCACTTGCTCTTTTGCCATATTTAGATGTGTCAGTGGAATCAGAAACCTGTTTTGATATGTGTTCTCTATGAGTTAAGTCTGATTTGTCTTTTTATTTCATGATGCATGTCTTTTTTTTCTTTTGTCAGGATAACGTCATATAGCATCTTGTTTGTTTTTCCTTATCTCTATGTACATATCTATCTACTTCTGACTGTAGATGGGTATATAGATAGATGCCAAGCTTCTTATGTTCTGGGGGTAGTATGCATCATTATTGGGTCTCTGCCTTAAAACACATCAAAATTCATTTTAGACAAAAAAACTTCTGCTTTGTCTTTGGTCATTAGGGAGCTCTAATGTGTGTTTGTGGCTCCAAGTTACATTTTGTGTTTCATTGATCTATATGTATATATGTGATGTTTTCATATATATATGTGTGTGTGTTTAAATTTTGTATCATCAGGACTGACACCCAATTTGACACTTTTTGTATCTAGAAGACCCTCCAAAAAAGGAACCACATAAGCACACAAGAAAAGAGTGCTATGATGTTCTTAGCATTTGCTATCATGCCTATTTTTATCTAGATTTTTAAATGTAGCTTGTCATAACAAAATTTTAATTACAATTGGCTTGTATGAGAAGAAAAAGTATTTTTATTGTTTTGAGTGATGACGCAGAGACTCAGTGAACTTGAAAATAGCATTGCTTCGTGCACTTTGAATACCAATCAGGTGTTTTCTGTGCTACTAGTTGTCACGTTGCATTCATGTTCACCTCCTGATTTAAGTATCTCGGGTGTGCCCAGCCACTAAAGCACTCTGGACTAATCGCTAAAGAGAAGCAACGTGGGGGGTGGGGTTGCGAGGGATGTGTTCACATGTACCCATCATTTGATCATAGCACTGTGATTGCTTTTGATGTGTGTCTCTAGTGGTGTGCTGTCTGTTGGCATGCTTAAAGCACATGTCCATTAAAATTCATTTTGTTCCTTTTATTTTCCTTGTTTTCTTGGTTAGTGATTCATTTGCATAAACATTAATGATCTCTGCATACTGGTTTGGGGTTTTCTCTTTCCTTCTAACTCTAAAGAAAAAATTTTTGCTGCAGAATTATCCTCAGAAGAGGCTTCCCTGGCCTTCATCTACCTTGCAGTCTGACCAAGTATGATAAATTTTAGCCGTTTTCAAGGAAACATCTCTCTACCCAGGTCATTGCTGTCACTAGCAGCTTTCAAGTCAAACCTGCAGCACTAAATTTTTTTTTATCCTGGTTTCTCTACATACTAACCCCATGTCTCTCTGGACTCACACCTGGCTCAGGCCTTCCAGACCAAACTCATACTTCCTCCTCACCAGAAGTTTCCGAATCTCACACTAGAGAAGATTTGTCACCTTTAAAGTCCACTCACATTATTTTGACTCAGGGTTTTGTTTTTTGTCTATTTCCCCTCCTGCAACTCTCCTTTAAAAGTGAAAAGAGAGAGAATGGTTTAAGTAGTCTGTTGCTCATAAGCACGTGTCTGCAGTCTGTCACTTGCAAGGCCTTGGTGATCACCATGCAGCACTTGTGCGCACACACACCCCCACAAGTCTTTTTTCCTAATAATCCATTTTCCACATTGCCATGAGGGTAAAGGGTTCCAATCAAAACCACCATTAAACTGCATAGTTTCTAGTCTTCCCTCAGCCCTGATGCTAATTATGATAGTTTGCATAGACATAACTTAAACTTGTGATTCTCCCTCCTTCCAGAGCTTTTTGTAGCCCTTTTTCCCCCCAAAATTAGTTTTGTTCAAAATCAAGCATTGGGCCCAGCCATTAAGATAAGACCTAATAAGTGAGAGATACAGTTCCCAAGAGTTTACAGATCCAGGTGTTCACATGGTGGTGGCCAGTCTACCGTTTATCTTGTCAAGGTTGTTACTGCTAATTTGGTGTCACTTTGGTCTTGGGCAGCAGTGGTGGGCGACGTATCTAATGAGCGTGCCATTGACTTCTCCATGTTTGTCTGTGTACGAGGGGTGCAGGTTGTCTGTAATCCACTAAAGTGTCAGCCACACCCAGCTTTAGTAACTCGCTAATCGCACACCCTGGGTGTATCAGCCAGGGGCTGCTACAGTTAATGGTACACAGTTGATGGTACACAGGCTGAAAATGATAATGAATCAAGACCCTACTACATTTCCAAAGCCGAAAAGCCATGAGGGTTACAATTTAAATGAGCTTGGGAAGGAACGCTCCCGAAGACGTCTCCAGCCTGAAGGGTCAGAGCCGCTGGAAGCCTGGCTGTCTCTGGGCTTTCTCGTCTCAGTGCAGCAAGGCACCGTGATCAACCAACCCGTGATGGGGAAGGCCCTGGTTCTGTCTTTGTTTGGGGGTAAATAGCTGTGTGGTGTTGAGTGACTGTGATTGGCTTTTCCAGCTCCTTTAACACAAACTACAACCCACTCACGATACAACTTCGGCAGATGTGGTCAAATTGATGTTTGTTGACTTGCCTCATTTCCTTCCAGCTCTTAAGTTCCAAAGTCTAACTGGGATGGTAGATGTGAAATGCATGATTGTCGTCCTAATTTCTGCATGTGTTTATGACAATGTGTTGAGGGGAGGGGGAGGAGAGCCAGAGAGCATTTTCAGGAACCGAGGTCTTTCCTTGTCTTACTCTGGGGGAATGCCATGTAGCTCTGATAGAGTTGTCTATCGGTCTGTTTGTGAATGCCCTTTCGCTTAAACTTCCAGCCCTTCTGGTGGCATCCTTGGTTGTAAGGTGGCTGCTGTATAACGTCCACTCTCTTTCATATTTAATATGTGTGATTGTTACTGTTGTCTTTTTGTTTTAAAGTAACCATAAGAGGAGATGATCTGAGTTATATTTATTGATCAGAGGAATAGAGTGCAGTAAAACTCATACTGGCATTTCGCTTTTCTCATTTCCCTGTAAATGGGCGGGTATTAATCCATTCCCACCTTCTAATGTCCTTGATGTCCAGCTGGCTTTGTGGGTGTGCAATGGTTTTACTGTACTGCCTCGATCTGTGCCAGGCATTTATACACAGCCACATGTGCGAGTCAGGTAGAGCGTATGTGGTCACCCCCATGGCTCACGGAGTTAGCTGAATGGCCTCTCCGCTGTCCCTAGATGGCAGAAACGGTGGACACAAGCGAAATGGTCAACGGCGCTACAGAACAAAGGACGAGCTCTAAAGAGTCCAGCCCCATCCCCTCCCCGACCTCTGATCGTAAAGCCAAGACTGCCCTCCCAGCCCAGAGTGCCGCCACCTTACCAGCCAGAACCCAGGAGACACCTTCGGCCCAGATGGAAGGCTTCCTCAATCGGAAACACGAGTGGGAGGCCCACAATAAGAAAGCCTCAAGCAGGTAACAGCAGCAGAGGCTGCCACAGTAAGATGGGAAGTCAGCCTGTGAAGGGATAAGGCGGGCCACTCTTGAATTGGAAGAGAAGTATGTGCTCATGTAGTTTTATTCCTTTGGTAGCTTCCTGGACATTGCATTCTTCTTGGGCTGACGCTGGAAAGCAGGAGTAGAATGCTGGTTATTCACTGAGAGAAGAAGAGTTGAGTTTGGATGGGAGTAGCTAGAAGGGGCTTTAGTAGTTCATCTAGAGAAGGAATTTGCTAGATTGAGACTGAAGAGTCTTCTTTACTTTAAGTGATTGATTTCATTTAGGACTCCTTGTGGGTTTTTTGTAAAAAGCCATTAACCATTTCCCCTGCCCTGATCTCCATATCAGCCTTTATATATATTCATTGTCTCTCAACAGCCCCAATTTTTTTATTTAACAGATGGGGAACAGAGGCTCTGAGCGGTTAACAAAGCTTTCTTTCTGTGGAAACCTAGTAAATGGCAAAGCTGGAATATGAAACTGCAAAGCCTATGTGCTTAACTAGTAAACCCAACCACCTGGGACCACCATATCTTACTGTGCAGTTTGTTGCTGTGTGAGGGGATCAGAACATCTAAGAACTGCCATTCACGTTGAGGACAACATAGGGATTTATATATTAATACATGCTGGTGTAATACAGGCCGGTGTTCTGTTAAAATTAGTATATTAGGACAGTTTGCCATACCATAGGGGAAAAGCCACTTTATTCTAATTCACCCAAAGGTACTGTAAGTGCTGATGGCTCTGGGTCTGTCTTTCTGTCAAGTTGCCAAGTCACATAAGTAATGAATCCGCAGCTGGAGGAGCTGCTGCTGGAGGACAGGCATGTTTTCAGACAGGAGCATGGCCTTTAGCTCATGACCATAAGAGGGCGCTACAGCAAAGAGTACTAAATACCAATCAAAGTGAGCTCAGAGTACAAGAGGGTAACTTGCTTTTCTCCGAAGTGAAAGAGAAGACATAGTCCTCAAACACTTGCCCTGTGCCCTGTCCCTGAACTCTCCATGGAGGAATTTTTTCTGTTGTTTAGTGTTAGCAGAATTTAGGAAGGGCTTGTAATAAGGAAGGTTGAGGGTTGGGTGGGGTCACACTGTGTTGTGTGAGGATCATTTTCATGTTAATGAAATGTTTAGTTCTTTAAGGGGAATGTGGTAGAGCCTTTATCTCCCCCTGCCCTTTTTTTTAAACTGCACAGGTCCTGGCACAATGTTTATTGTGTCATAAATAACCAAGAAATGGGTTTCTACAAAGATGCAAAGACTGCTGCTTCTGGAATTCCCTACCACAGCGAGGTCCCTGTGAGTTTGAAAGAAGCTGTCTGCGAAGTGGCCCTTGATTACAAAAAGAAGAAACACGTATTCAAGCTAAGGTGAGAGTCGCCGTGCTTCATGGCTGCCAGAGTGGGTTTGCATTTACTTCCACTCTGGGGTTTGGTTTTCTTATACAGCTGCTGTGATTAGTTGGTTCTGTCTTCTGCCATTTTAAATCCCCAATAAAGTGAAAAACCAGTTTGGCACGTGTCTCGGTTAGGCTGAATTCTTTGGCAACTGTGGCCAGCCACCAGCTTCCCTGTGGTTAACAGTACATCTGAGCATTGAAGGATAAGGAGCTTTTGCTTTTATAACCAGGCACTTACTGTTCCCTAAGACTTAAAGAGAGCTAGTCACATTTCACAGTTTAAGGGAGGCTTTGAAAAATAGTTTCCCCATCTTTTCAGCTTATCCCGACCCAGGAGATGCTATTCTTTGCTCATGAATTATCTGGAGATGGGTCAAGTGAGTCATCCTGGAGCTGGATGGAGACAAACAGGAAATGTTTGGGTGGGGCCTGGGACCCTGTCCTCCCCTGACTCTCCCAGCAGATGCTCCAGCTGTCTCAGAACCATCTAGTTCCAAATGTCTCTACCCTGTAGGATACATGTATCTCCCTACAGAGTGGAGCTAAGCTCAGAATTTCTCCTCACACTTGGAAGTAGGCAGAAAAATTATTTTATCTTGTAAAAAGTGGTTAGAATGCTTGTTTACTGATTTGTGCTGTTGCTTTGGGATCTGAAAAGCTTTGGTCTTCCATTTATTTGTATGTTTCATGCCAGTTGGACTAGGCCCAGGGCTCCAGAGGAGAGAGTGTCAGATGGTTTGATTTATTAAGCTCTGCTGCTGCGCAGTGCAGGCAGGCTCTTTGGGTCCTGGAACACTTTACATTTTGTAGGACAATGCACCGGCAGCCTGGCTCCTTGGCTGCTTTCCCCTTTGTACTCCCTTCATGCAGCTTCAGAGAGCTGGGATATTAGCGAACGGCCCCTACCCTGTGTTACACAACAGTACCCTCGTCCTCTCCGCAGCCACAGAGTGAACCTGTGACCCTTCCAAGCCTGGGGACCTCCCAGTGTCACACTAATAGGGCTTCTTAATTCTGAGACATACAGTAGAAGAAAAGTTGAAGGACATTTTCTGTTTGCCTATTCTGAAACTCTGGAACATGTGAATGTAGGGGATACAAGCTCAGTAGCAGAATTTCAAAAGGGCTCATTGTGTTCAAAAGCTTTCTCCTGAACTCAGTTTAGACCAGTAAGTGATCAGGCATCCACAAGTGATTTTTGCCACAATAAACCCAAATGTTATGTTTGGGGCTTTTTAAAATCCTTCCATTGGATTGAAGCACAGGCTCCCTGTGTGTATCATTGGCGCGATTATATGGCTTCTTGATCTCCAGGGGTCTGTTGCTGGGCCTGGGCGGGTCCCCAGGCTTGGTGGTGACATATGTAGGTTGACGCTTCTGTTGTGACTCCTGTGGTCTACTTCTGTCCTGCATGGGATATGGGAGTTGGGGGATTTTTATTTCTCTGTAATTAAGTGGTGACTAACTTTCTTCCTTGAAATTACAGACTAAATGATGGCAATGAGTACCTCTTCCAAGCCAAAGACGATGTAAGTTTCTAAATGTTATTTCTCTCCACTACTTAGGAGTTTGCAAGTGTTTGTGTGATGATGGGCTTTATTCAGAAAGTTCTTCATGTAAATGATGATCAGTGATGGTTTCTATCACTGGGCTCCAGTCACCAGCACTAGAAGGTGTTTGGTTCTGTCTCTAGAAGGCAGTGAATATGATCTCACTGTCCCTTTGCCGAGGCAGGATCCCTTAAAGTCGATGGAATCTTTGCCTGTCCCCTCCCAGGGATGAGGCATAGTGAGGTGGTCCCAGGACTGGTTGTGGATCATGATGGGACCCCCGCTGCACCCTTCGCCAGCAGCCAGCTGTTTAATGGGTGTGTACCTCACCTCAAGGAAAGAGAGAGTCCATTGATGGAAAAACAACACCTGTAATGCTTTAAATGTGAAAAAGCACCTTCTAGGGTGGGATCTGACCACCTCACAGATTGAGACTGGTCTTCCAGCTGTTACAAGTTTGTAGGGCCACATACTAGGGTGATGAGTAGAACTGAATTCTCATGAGAAGCTGAACCAGGTTCCCTCTCCTGTACTGATAAGGCAGAGGTGCATTTGGGGACAGTGCCCAGAAGTGACTCTGCTTACCCCTCAGTTGGCCAGATGCGCCATTCCCAAGCCTTGGAGCCAGAACCCCTCATGCCTACTCTTAGTTGAGTCTCACCTGTGTCCCTTCCTCTGTCCAGGAGGAAATGAACACATGGATCCAGGCTATCTCTTCCGCCATCTCCTCTGATAAACACGAGGTGTCTGCCAGCACCCAGAGCACGCCAGCATCCAGCCGCGCGCAGACCCTCCCCACCAGCGTCGTCACCATCACCAGCGAGTCCAGTCCCGGCAAGCGGGAAAAGGACAAAGAGAAAGACAAAGAGAAGCGGTTCAGCCTTTTTGGCAAAAAGAAATGAACTCCTTTCCTTCACCTCCTGCCCTTCTCTTACCTTTTCAGTGAAATTCCAGCATGCAAGCTCAGAACCAACACATTACTCTCTGTGCCTAATGTTCCTCAATGTGGTTGATTTTTTTTTTTTTTTAATTTATAGAGCATTTCGGGGGGGGTGGGGGAAACACACCTAAACACTTTATCTCCAAGTTACAAAAGTTTGAGGTGCAGAGGGAAGGCCAGATTTTTTTTTTAATGAAATTATATAGATTAGATCTCAGTATTTAAACTGTTCCTCAATTTTGTGAGGCTGTGTTGGAAATAACCCGCCTCTAGTGCTGTTGGTATGCAAGGCAGCGGTGCTTAATCAATATTTCCTGTGCTCACCAGAGGCAAAATGTACCAATATCCTGACACCATTCTCTCTCCATTTACTTCTGGTGGTTACCCTGACTCTTGACTCTTAGAAGTGCCCGAGATGGGGCTAACCTTTATTAAACAGATCGCATATTATGATCTTGCTGCAGCCACAGTGCAGCTCCACATTAACTCTACAGACCAAACCATTTGTATCTGGCATCACTTACTAACACACGACATGCGGCTTTTCTGCATCAACTGCTATGACGGTTAAGAATGTCAGTATACAAGAAGGAATAGAAAACTGATACTGTTTTAAATAATCTGTAATTTCAATTTTTTTTTTTTGCTGAAATACATTATATTGTACGTTTGAGATAATTCTAGTACAAAGTATAATAAAACTAGATGTATAATAAACCCTTTAAATCATTGGTAAGTGTACAAGTGGTGGAACTGAAGCATTTACTGGACAAAGTAATGTTACTCTAATGGTTACTTGCTCGTGCGTTGCCACACTGTGTTATAATTTGCTTCATTTCCTTGCTATTTGATACATAGTGTGCATTTCTCTGTCACTGTAACTATTGTAATGACAAATTTTCATCTTACTGCACAATCAAAATGACATTGATAGGAATGAACTCCAGAGGCTGGGCCTGAACAGGGAGGTGGTCGCTCAGGCCTGGTGCTCAGTCGTACGACCTGTACCTCTCAACTTTTGCCCTATCTGTTAAATATATGCTATGTCATTAAATGCTTTTAAATCTAGCACGGTGACTAGTTGTTGTTCTTCCTCTGCTGCGTGTGCATGCCCAGTAGGGAAACTGCAAAGGGAGAAATGACAAACAAGAAACATTTTACAACCAGTCTGGGCTCACTTTTGCATTTTTTATGCATGTCTGGTGCACAAGCTTTGAAAACTACAGCAAACAGTAATAAATGTGACTGTTTTGTAGTTATACATTCAGGCTTTATCTTTTATTTATGAAAAAGTTACCAGAGCACTTGTGAAACCTGAACTCTGAGATAGGGGTTGGCAAATTTGTTCTGTAAAGGGACAGAGATAGTAAATATTTTAGGCTTTGTAGGCCGTAACTGTCTCTGTTGCTCAATTCTGCTGTTGCGTAATACAAAGGCAGCCATTGACGGTATGTGAATGCCTGGGCATGGCTGTGTTCCAGTAAAACTATTTAAGGACATAAATTTGAATTTCATATAACTTTGACATGCCATACAATATTTTGATTTTCTTAATGATTTCAAAATGTAAAGTCTATTTTATACAGATCAGACCAAAAAGAAGAAAAAAAAAAAACAGGCAAGAGGTTAGGTTTGGCCCATGGGCCATAGTTTGCTGACTTCAGCATAGAGTCGTGGGTTATTTACAAGTGACATACTTTTCCTGGGTTATCTGGGTATGTTGACTCCATGCCACTTGCATAAAGCAGCAATGGATATTAGTATTATGGATGTCCAGTAAGTTATTCCACAAAGACCATGCCTAAGGTGGCATCAGCCCTGGGCTCCACAGCTGCGTGGCATCAAAGCTTTCTCTTAACTCTCTTACCTCTAGGCAAACTGAGACCTCACCATCCTCTCCCCTGCTTCCCACGACAGTCCTTTGCCCTTGCCATGCTCAGGGTTGGAATCAAGTTGTTCTATTCTCAACAGACCAAAATGTTTAGTTAAGGCAAAGTATCTTGGAAACAATTGTGATTAATTACAGTCTTGTACTCTTGACAAAGCTGTGCAGATGGCAATAAGTTCATACCAGCAATCCTGGAGTCCCATAATAAATACGTACATGTGGAACATCGTGCACATAATTTCAACAGTTCGCAGATCTGTAGTTATGAAGCCAGGGTTTGGTGGTATTTGCTCTCTCTTGGTGCATTTGATAAGGATCCACTGAGGCCTGAATGTGGAAGATGATGGGCAGCGAGAGGAGCGTCAGAAGACCCCAGTCAAGACGTGTTCGCCATCAGAGGTTACAGGCCGCACAGCCTGATGAGCTTCAAGCCTGGCAGGGTAAATAGTTTTTGGGTTTTTTGTTTTTTTTTTATTCTTCCACTATCATGTTTTTTGAGGATTTTGCATATTTCTTGTTGCCATAATGCTGTGCTATTTTACCCTGATTTTCAGTGATACAATATGGGTGACAATACTGGCCCCTCCATAAATCTGAAGAGTAAGAAGTAGTGAAAATAAGGCTTAGGATATGAAATGGCGTTGTCACTTGAATCAAGGCCACTTTTTGTCCTACTTGAGCATCTCAAGTTGGGATGCATCTTCTGATGGCACTTCCGGAACTGGCTGTGGTTTTTTTGGGTGTACCGAGAGTGCCAGTGACTGTGCTTCTTACAATTCCTGGCATCTTGAGTAGGTGAAACACTGTATCAGACTGGGTGATGGGCACATTGTCATTTCACCAAGTTCCTGGAACTGTTAGAATTGCTTGTGTATGGGGATCCTATGTTAGTTCCCCTGGATACATTGTTTTATCAGTCGGAATTCTTAAATAAAGACATACTTCCCTTCATGTAGTGGTGCAGTCCATGTAGAAAAGGCAGGATCAATGCTGGAGTCTTTCCCATTATTTGCATTACTTTCCTATAATCAGCGTTATTTATGAGTTGGTTCCTATCCTCTAAAGATGAACAATTTTTTAAATATTATGAATTTATGGGCTTAAATATATTTGAGTTTTCTGGTGAAATCCTCGTTTTTTGGTGAATATGTTTTATAATTTTGAATTGACCTTTCTAAACATGGTCCATAACACAAAAACATATTTTAACAAAGAAGAAAAAAGACTTCTTTCCATCAAAGCTCAATAGAGATTTCTGTCTATTGAAGATCATGGTGAAATATTTCATTTTCCACTAGAATAGTTTAAAATTATTCATTTGCTTTATTCCATGTTATAAAAACTCAGAATAGCAATACTAATACTACCACCACCAATAACTGAGAACAGTTTTTTTTTTTTTTTAACTCTTTATTTTGCAATACTTGTATACTGACATGCAGTTGTAAGAAATAATACAGTGCTGTTTACGCAGTTTCCCCCAGTGGTAGCTTGCAACACTATATAGTATAGTATCACATACAGAATATTGACATTCAGTCAAGATACAGAACATTCCTGCCACCACAAGGGTACCTCCTGTTGCCCTTTTATAACCACACCCACTTCCCACCTCCACTCCCTCCCCAACCTCTGGCAGTCACCAGTCTGTTCTTTATTGCTGGAAACCTGTCGTTTTCTTCCCCTAACAAATATTTATTGAGCACCTACAATGTGCTGAGTTTTGGGGATCCACTGAAATTTCTTATCTCAAGAATGTTGTATAAAAGGAATAATGTAGGATGTAACCTTTCAGGATTGACTTTTTTCTCTGACGTAATTCTCTGAAGATTTATCCAAGTAATATTGTGTATATCAATAGTGCATTCCTTTGTGTTGCTGAATAATATTCTGTGGTATGGATGTACCACAGTTTTTTAGCCATTCACTTACGGACATCTGGGTTGTTTCCAGTTTGGGCTATTGGGAGTAGAACTATATTAAACATTTATGTTTGGGGTTTCCTATGAACATAAATCTTCATTAATCTGGGATAAAGAAATACCCAGGAGTGCTGAGAAGAATTTTGAAAAACACTTATTCTACATGGTCTTTCCATTCTCCCCTTCAGCCCCATTTTTAGGTAGTTTCACCTCATCTGCAGTGTCTGAGCAAGTAACTCTTACTCTCTGCCTCTGAGCCCTCATTCAGTCTTCTACAAATCTTCATATATTTAACCAGCCTTATGTCATTGTCTCCCATTTTGGCTGAAGCTCGTTCCCTTGGTATGCAGGGTGTGTGTGTGTGTGTGTGTGTGTGTGTCTTTCTTGAACCCGCCTCCCAGTTCTCTGGATCAAGTACTTGAAGTGCTCTTTTTTACTTTTCAGAACTGAATAAAGATTTCCCTCGGGGAGAAATAAACGTGAGCTTCAAAGTTTTTCAAGGTTTAGACCCAACTTAAAGAACACAGGCCACCCTAGAAAAACGAGTTTTTCAACTTGTAGAAGGAAAATTCAACTGGCCTGCCTGTGAGAAAGAATGTTATATCCTATTTGAGCTTTGAATGTTTTTTTGTTTTTTGTGGGGTGTGTGTGTGTGTGTGTGTGTGTGTGTGTGTGAAAGGTCAGCCTTAAAAGCAGCATTTCAGAAAACAGAAGTGAAAGGTCCTGCTTGTTCCCTTTCATGTAAATAGGGATCACGATGTGTGAGTAGCTGACGCTTCTCTTCCATGCGGTTCAGGGCATTTTCACTCAAGTTTTGAAGAAGCTTCACCAATCCCTCATACTCGTGAACTGGGCTGATTTGGGAGAGTGATAGTGGGTGATAGAATTACTGAGTAGAATTCAAGTTTTTCCAAGGTAATGCCTCATTTTGACTCTTCTGTGCAGGGGAGCTTGGAAGACCTGCTTCCTCAGGGATGCCCGGGTTTTCTACGGCCCCTGGCGTTAATTGCCTGACCTGTGTTTTCAGTGTTCCTTTCAACCTGGTGTAACTTATCAGGGTTGGTTTTTCTTATGGTCAGGGCCGAGTCACAGCAGGAAGAGGACACATAGGCATAGGACTCTGTAACTGAAACTCAGAGAAGCTGGCAGGAGCTCCCTTCACTCCCTTACCCGGCACCCACAAGGCCTGTGGCTTCCCCGTGGTGAGCCTGGGCTCTGTGCGTTCTTGCCTCAGCACAGACATCCTGGAGGGCGGCCATGCTGGGGCCCGCAGGGGCGTGTGGCTTGCGTATGTTTCCACTTGGCCTTGACTTGTCTTTTCGGATATTTATCACACGGTGGAGACCCATTGTGTCCGGGAGTGGAAATCAGGGAGGCAGGACGTTAGTGGTGTTTCCTGAAACTGGTTCTTTAAAGGGAAGGGGAATTTCCCTTACATAAGCCCGCAGCGACTTTCTCCACAGGGTGGGGCATCCTGTGTTCTGGAGTCTGGGCGCTGGGCGGGAACCTGGGAGCTTTCTCCAGTGGAGCTGAGGCCAAGTCTTGGCTCACAACATTTCTCCCGGGGAATCTGCTCCATCTTCGGTCATCATTTACGTTTCTCCGTCACAGTGAATTATTTCCAGTGTTCCTGTTCCTCAAGTTTTGTTTTTTTTCGGAGGAAACAGTCGCTCAAGGTTTTAATCTTCCATCTTAGGGGAATGTCCACAGCCCTAATTAAAATGGCCGTGGCCGGGCTTGGTGGCTCACGCCTGTAATCCCAACACTTTGGGAGGCCGATGCGGGCGGATCACAAGGTCAGCAGTCTGAGACCAGCCTGGCCAATATGGCGAAACCCCATCTCTACTAAAAATACAACAAAATTAGCTGGGCGTGGTGGCGGGCACCTGTACTCCCAGCTTCTCCGGAGGCTGAGGCAGGAGAATTGCTTGATCTTGGGAGGCGGAGGTTGCAGTGAGCCGAGATCACACCACTGCACTCCAGCCTGGGCGACAGAGTGAGACTCCATCTCAAAAATAATAATAATAATGGCTGTAAGGAGCGTGCGTTTCTGAGCCAGTGCTCGCAGGCGTGCATACGGGGCCTTCTCCTAGCTGCCATCTGTTACACGGGTCTGTCATCTCCCCACTTGGATTTGAGGACTCTTGTCTTTCCTGGGGACACATGATTGGATTACTTCATCCAGCTTGCTCAGCCTCTGCTCTTCTGAGGAAAGAAGGTAGGCTCTGAAGCCAGATTGAATGGTGGCTCCTTCACCTCCCAGCCCCGTGACAAGTAAAAAAAGACTCCCTTATCCCCTCTGCAAAGCACCCACCACGCACCAGCCATGCTGGGAAGCAGCCCTTGTGGCGCTTACAAATGTGAGACTCCTCTTCGTCTGCTTCATCTGAGCCTTGGCCTCTAGAGGAGATTAAATGAACTGATGAACGCCACACTCCATAAATCGGTTCCTTTTCTCCCATGGTAGTCTGTCAGGCAGGAGCCTCTTTTATTTTAAAGCATATTTGCTCCTGTGTTCAAGGCTGCCCCTGACTGCAGGTGTTGATAACCCCCCACCCCACCCCCGCAACACCACCTCCGTGTTTTCCCTCCGAGGTGCTTCAGTTGGGGCATACCTGGCTTCAGAGAGCAAATGTAGGTTAACAAGCAGGAAGGACCTCTAGGGGTCTAGTTCCCCTTGCTACCACCTCCCGAGCTCCCTTCTCCACCAGGCATTGGGGGGTTACTTCAGACACTGGCACAGCTCATCAGCAACAGGAGCTGATATGGGAATGCAGTAAATTTACAAATTAACCAAAAGTCAGCCTAAGAAAGTATTTTCTTTTGAAATAAGGCCCTCCAAAAGGCGCTACTTCTGTTTCTTTGAGGAGTCAGAACATCATTTGGCTGGGAAACAATCTGTGTGGTGCACACTGTCCCTGCTGCCTGGCCCCGTGGCGGGGTTGCAGCTCCCTCATCGCTCAGCACCCTATTATTTACAAAGTCTCCAGCTCTGACAGGGGGTAAAATTACCCAGAGAACTGATGACCCAAAAGCCAAGGGTGTCCCATGTGCCTGAGAGCTTCGCTGTAGATAGGAGGGTGACTGGGCTGGGGACACTGAGCCCGGGTCCCGGGGAAGCCATTTACTCGGGCATGAGGGTTTAAAGGAAGAGGGTGCCACTGGTGTTTGGAAAAGGTGAGAAGGCAGAATGTCTGGCTTTCCTCAGGTGGGGAAAAAATTTCAATTCCATAGGAGAAAAGTTTGCGAAGATGAACCCATCCTTATGTTCTCTTTTCACCTGTGACACACGATTTCCATCATTTCTCTATCACAGTTGCCTCAGGAAGCGGGGAAGGAGGGGGAGCAGCGCTGTAGCTGGAACATAACCTGATGGCCCCCTCGTGTCTCAGATCATCGGGCACCAGTACTAGTGGCGGCTGTCCTTGTAGCACTTGGCGCAGAACGAAGAGGAATACCATTTCTGCTCTGGCTCTGACACAGCCAGCATTTGGCCAGGCGCCTACTGTATGCGTCAGTCAGGTGCTGCCCTTAGCACTTTCCCCATGTTAACTCGTTCCAACCTTCACAATGACCCTGTGAGGTAGAGACTTATTAGTGAGGTGTTGTTAGACCCACAACCTGAACTGTCAGCCCAGAGAAAAGAAGACTGAGCTAAGCCAGAGCTGGTAGAACCAAGACCACAGTGCTCTGAAGCTTTAACACGGTCTGGCTGACCCCAGGACTGACCTTCCCCCTGCCTCATCTCCATTCAGCTGCCTTGATATCTTGAGCTGAGAAGGAGGTGTGTGTTCAGGATCTCAGTGGCATCCTGCGCTGTGTAACAAGTGGATGTGTGAGTGTGAACACACTGCATAGGAAAAGGGAGAGAAGCCAGGAGCTCACGCTGGATCTGAACCTGTCAGGACAACTGATTGAAAAAAATCAGTCAGTGATTTAGGTATGGGACTCTGAACCACTGGTTTTGTTTCCACCATTTGTTTTCCTCCAAATGGAATGATTTCATCTTGCTAATATTAATAGGTAACCAACTATAAGGTTGTCCAGGCAGTGTGCTAAGTTTTCAAGTTGCGTTCTCATCAAATCCTTGCAGCAATTCTACCAGGCAATGTCTTCATTGTACAAAGAAGAAAACAGAGGCTTAAAGAGTTAAGTACTTGTACAAATCGCAGCTGGATATTTGAATTCTGACACATCTCTCCAGAGGCCACACTCTCAGACTACACTAACTGTCCCCCACCTAGATTCTTTTCCTGCACTTCTCTGTGGGCTGAGGAATGATGGTCATGGAACCAGTGCCAGCTGAGAGGGCATCTCATGTGTGTAAGCTGTTGCCCCAGTCGTGGGCTTTCAGAGAAAGGACTGGATACCCAGTGTCATGTCCACTCAACAGCCATGCAAGGCTGGGTTCTTGAAGCCACAGCTCTTCACTGACTCCTTGAGCATCCATGTGACTCTAGAGTTTAGCTATGCAAGTGCAAGCTTTGCTCTCAAATACATGTGCAATGTAATTAGAGGATAGCTGATGCCTGATTCACTGGCCTTACAAATCTGTAGCTGCCTGGATTTCAACTGTCAATACATGCTGAAGTCCTTTTCGGATCAAATTTAAGTTCAGATAAAGAGTGTGTGGTGGGGACACAATAAATATTTGGAAGGAAGAAAAGATGGAAGGAAAGAAGTAAGGAAGGAGGAAAGGTAGGGCAGAAGGACCCTCCAAACAGCTGGGTACTCTGTAGCCTCAGAAGGTTGGCAAGATAAATCACAGCTCAGCATAAAGCCTATGTCGGTGTCTGGTGTTTAAAAAGTGGGGAGGAGAGGCTCAGCCCACAGCCTCTGTGGACAGGTTTTCTTTCATCTGCTTTCTAGCCAAAGGATGTGAAGACAAGCTACAGGAACTGATGGGCTGCAGCTGAGATAGGTCAGATTTTCACTCTAGCCCCCTGAACTGGCCACAGGGCCCCTTCGTTCCCTGACTTCCATCATTGCTCTTTCCTGTGATGTCTGACCTCCCCTGTGTCACTGCATCTGACTCTTGCTGCCTCCTCAGCACCTGCGGCCCCATCTCCTCCAAGTTCTGAACTGCACAGGCATCTTCTGAGGTACAGCCATGTTTGGGTGCCCAGCCGGCTCTTCCTGCAGGTCTTCCTGCTCTCCTGATGTCCCTCAGCTCACAACCTCTCTTTTCTAGCAGAGCATAGAAAGACAGGAGCTGACTTCTGGATGCCTGGTCATCATTTCCTTCTTTAGTTCCATTTTACAAGCCCAGGTGCTGTATGAAAAACAGGGCATGCTAACCCTGTCTTCCATCCACTAGGGCGGAGCTGACGGTTAAAACAAGGCTCTTTCCCATGCCAGCAATTAGACCTCCATTTCTCAGAAGAGGAAAGAGGGGAAGCGTGAACAGACAGAAGGGCTCATTTTCTGTTTGTCAAAGGAATAAATGGATTAAGGATCCTTGCATTTCAAGATGCATTTCAAGATTTCAGAGATGGAGTCTTGATAAGACAGTGAGAACTGACTGAGAGGGAGCTGCACCCAATCACGGGGCCACGCACCCAGGGACAGTTGCACCTATATGGATTGTTTCCCAGCCAAATGATGTTCTGACCATTAACTCAGGCATCTGGGATTCCCCAAAGAAACAGATGAGTAGCATCACTTGGGGGACTTTATTTTTAAAAATAAAAATTCAGTTCCTTAAATAGGCATTTGGTGACCTCATGTTTTTTTAGTGAAACATGTTGGTAAGAGATGCAATATTTTGAACAGGAAAGACAGTATGATAAAAGCATTCTTGGGCCAGGTGTGGTAGCTCACACCTGTAATCCCAACAGTTTGGGAGGCCAAGGCGGACAGACCACTTGAGGTCAGCAGTTCAAGACCAGCCTGGCCAAAATGGCACAACACCATCTCTACTTAAAAAAAAAATTAGCTAGGCCTGGTGGTGCACGCCTGTAATACCAGCTACTTGGGTGGCTGAGGCACGAGAATCACTTGAACTTGGGAGGTGGAGGTTGCAGTGAGCTGAGATCATGCCCATGTACTCCTGCCTGGGCAACAGAGAGAGACTCTGTCTCAAAAAAAAAAAAAGCATTCTTCCTTTTTTTTTTAACTCTAACAACCCACTGGCCCACATGCCTCAAATCCTACATAGTTAAACATCACAAGTACCTATTCTGCATACAATTTTTACTTACATATGCATCATAAACATTTTGCTGTGTTTCTACAAGACTTTGTGATGCTTATTTCAAGGACTATTGGTAGTTTTCCACAAGTTGATGCAGCATCAGGCATTAAAATGCTCCCCAGATGCTGAGCATTTAGCAATAACACCATTCTCCACCAAAGAGGCTTGTGTTCCCAAAATTACAGCTCTTGGTTCTTTTTGAGAGCAGTTTTCTGGGGGCATAAACTGCCCCCTGGTATGGCTACTGCACAGACCATATTCCCCTTTAATCACGTGCCTTGGTGCAGGGTACGCATCTACTAACCACTTTCCCCTTGTGGAAATGTTCTCCCAGGGGAGTCATTCTCCTGCCCAGCCTCAGAGAGAGCCTTGATCTCAGCCGCTCTGACAGCTTCAGTCACTTTACATTTCAGGAAACTGAATATAGGTTCTAATCTCTTTGCTCTCTAAAAGCTTCTGGGGTCCTAATGCAAATTTTATCACCCCTAGTTTAACACACTGTAAGCCCACATCAATAATTTTCAAACACAAGCACACAAATAATTTTTATCTTACCAAACACCCTCCCAAGCTTCTTGGCAATTGCCAGGTCAGAAGCTAAGGACACGTTTACAGATTTTTGCTAAATATTCCTATTACTCCTTTCCAAATTACTTTCCAAACAGTGTATCCATTTAGTTACTAGCTATAAACAAAGGTACAGTCAGTCCTCACTTAAGGTTGTCAATATGTTCTTGCAATCTGAAAGTAAGTAACACCAATTTTACCACAAGCAAATTAATATTCCTATGGTTTATTTCTAGTCACAAACACATCAAAATTCTAAATAAAAACCAAAGGCCGGGCGCGGTGGCTCATGACTGTTATCCCAGCACTTTGGGAGGCCGAGGCGAGTGGATCATAAGGTCAGGAGTTCAAGACCAGCCTGACCAACATGGTGAAACCCCGTCTCTACTAAAAATACAAAAATTAGCCGGGCATGGTGGCGCATGCCTGTAGTCCCAGCTACTCAGGAGGCTGAAGCAGGAGAAACACTAGAACCTGGGAGGCAGAGGTTGCAGTGAGCCAAGATTGCACCACTGCACTCCAGCCTGGGCAACAGAGTGAGACTCCGTCTCAAAAAAAAAAAACACTTCTGATATTAACCACTGAAATAAATATGAGCTATACATACATTTAAGAAAGATAAATAAAAGCAAGTAAGATAACTTACTCAATAATAACAGTTCTCTAGGTTGCCGGAGTCTCCAGTCTCCGGTTGCTGTAGCTCATTCCAGCAGCTCAGGGCTTAAAGTAAGAACCAGCCCTGAACAGGACACTGTCACATCGCAGGGCACACTCACACACACCCCACACTCACACCAGGACCATGTAGACATGCCGGTGAACTGAACATGCACCTCTTTGAGGGGTGGGAGAAAACCAGAGCATCCAGAGCAAAACCCCTGTGGACGTGGGGAGAGCATGCAAACCACACAGACAGTGGCCCTGGCAGAGAATCAATTTTTTTCTCATCATTAAAAAAAAAAAAAAAAAGTTGAATGAAATGACATTATCTGAGGAACTGTTCTCGTTGTTGTGCTACAGAAACAATTGTTTTTGTTTTTAGTAACTATCATATGGCACCTCAAGCTGTGAGTTTCTTTGACTGCTAGCTAGGGTCAACTTTTTCTCCTGTTTTTGTCATCTTTCTTTTTTCTCTTTCTTTCTTTCTTTCTTTCTTTCTTTCTTTCTTTCTTTCTTTCTTTCTTTCTTTCTTTCCTTCCTTCCTTTCTTCCTTCCTTCCTTCCTTTCTTTCTTTTTCTTCTTTCTTCTTGCTTTTTTTTTTCCTTTTTGTTGAGATGGGGTCTTATCTGTCACCCAACCTGGGGTATAGTGGCATGATCACGGCTCACTGCAGCCTCGACCTCCCAGGCTCAATCGATCCTCCTGAGAGCTGGGACTACAGGGATGTGTCACCACTTTCTTTTTGAGTGAATTGAATTGTTCATTCATATCTGATTTACTGAGGGTTCTGAATCACAAGCCACAAAAACCAACTCTGGCTAATTTAGCAGAAAAGGAACTTATTAAGGCTCCCAGAATCTCCAGGAGGACAAGGGCACCAGGCTTAGGGCTTATACAGCCAGGAAAAATGTCCAAAGTCCAGCCTAGGGCAGGCTCCTGGAACTCGTCACTGGACTCTGACACTGCCAGGTGCCCACCATGACACCATACTGTGCGCAAACCCTGCTGTGGGAATTGCTGTCTTTGACAGCAACACGCTGCTGCAGTGACAGCTGTCCCTGCCACTGCCCTCACAGAACAGATTCTGCCAGGCTCCCCTCTGCACATGACCAGCCTCTAATTCAAAATCATGCAGGTGTACAATTGACAGATACTGGCCATGGATCTGTGCCCTTGCTGCAAGTGCAGCTGGGAAAAGACCTCATATTCTGCAGAAGGAAGGTTCTGCCCCTTGAGGTTACAGATTCTGCAAACACAGGAACAGCGTTTAAAAAGTAGCTGGCTGTGTGAATTTCCCTTTGCTGCTATACCAAATTACCACAAACTTAGTGGCTTCAAACAACATAAATTTATTATCTTACAGTTCTTCCATAAGTAAGAAGTCTGACACAAAAACTCACTGCATTAAAATCAAGGTGTTGGCAGGGCTCTTTTCCTTTTGGGATGCTCTAGAGGAAATTTCAATTCCTTGCTGTTTGCAACATTTAGAAGCTGCCCACATTCCTTGGCTCATGACCCCTTCCCCATATTCAAAGCCAGCAATAGTGATCAAGTCTTTCTCACACTGCATCACTGTTGCCATCCTCTGCCTCCTTCATCTACTTTCAAGGACCCTTGTGATTATATTGGGCCCACCTGTGTAATCCAGGATACTCTCCCTGATATGGTTTGCCTCTGTGTCCCCACTCAAATCTCGTTTTGATTTGTAATCCGCACAGGTCGAGGGAGGGAGACCGTTGGACCATGGGGGCGGTTTCTCCCATGCTGTGGTCATTGAGTTCTCAGGAAATCTGATGGTTTTGTAAGTGTTTGGAAGTTCCTCCTTGCTCCACTCTCCTGCTGACTTGTGAAAAATGTGCCTGCTTCCCCTTCCACCATGACTGTAAGTTTCCTGAGGCCTCACCAGCCATGCAGAACTGTAAGTCAATTAAACCTCTTTCCTTTATAAATAACCCAGTCTCGAGTAGCATCTTTATAGCAGTGTGAAAGCAGACTAATACAATCCCTATTTTAAGGTCAGCTGATTAGCAACTTTAATCCCCCTTTGCCATGTAATGTTAAACATATTTGTAGTTTCTGTGGATTAGGATGTGGACATCTTTGGGAGACCATTATTCTGCCTACCACAGTTGCCAAAAACAAAAAAACAATGAAGCTATCCACTGCAACATCCTTAGTCTGCTTATTTATTGGCATCACTATGATTTGCTTATAAATTGAAATGTTTTCTCCAGATTTTTACCTTTTATCAATTACACCAAATGAAATATTTCCCTCAGTCTGCTGTTTTGTTTTTGTATGAAATTTATGTTTCAGTATTAAGGTCTGTTCATTTCCTTGTGGTTTTATTTCTTCAAAACTGAGGACATGAATCTTCTTTCACAGATCTGATAACACATTTATTTTGTGCTTTTTAATACCATGTTTAAATTTAAATAAATTCTTCTGAAATTTGTTTTGATGTCTTTTATAAGGGGTACCTCTACCAATTGTTTTCCCTGATCTCTAGCCGGTTATCCTAATACTATTTACCTAATACTATTTAGTAAACAATCTCCATTTGACCTCTTTTCCTTTTTTTTTTTTTTTTTTTTGAGATGGAGTCTCGCTCTGTCGCCCAGGTTGGAGTGCAATGGCATGATCTCAGCTCACTGCAAGCTCCGCCTCCCAAGTTCAAACGATTCTTCTGTCTCAGCCTCCTGAGTAACTGCGACTATAGGTGCACACCACCACACCCAACTAATTTTTGTATTTTTAGTAGAGATGGGGTTTCACCATTTTGGCCAGGCTGGTCTCGAACTCCTGACCTCAGGTGATCCACCTGCCTCGGCCTCCCAAAGTGCTGGGATTACAGCCATGAGCCACTGCGCCTGGCCCTGTTTTCCTATATTAAAATATTAATAACTGATTTTCATTGAGGATCTAATATTTACTAAACACCAGGATTGGTACAGTTAGCATTATTTTGTCTCTTAACAAAAATACAAGGTAAACTCATGTCTATTTTGTTCCCATTGAACCCCCTGTACCTAGCGCACAGAGTACCCAAACCTAATCCACAGCAGGCACTCAATAGGCATGTATTGAATGAATAAACAGCTAAAGTAAATTTGTATTTGAATCAGTCCTTGTTGATTTCACTAATTCACTCTATCATCCTCTTCTGTATTTGGGTCCCATTTCTAGTTTCTTAACGTTTTTCTATTTTTTTTCCACTAGCACCACACATTATATTATTGCCATTTTTTAACTCCAAGGGTTTTTAGCTGTTGTTTTTCAAAGTTTTATTTTGTTTACATAGAATTCAGTCCAGCATAAATATCTGCATTCAGATGTAGGTGCTGGTGCCAGGGGGGATGGGATGGGATCGGTGGTAGCGGGGCGTATGTTTGGTAGAGTTTGTAAACTGGGTGGACAGAGCTTTTGATTCTGAAGATTGCGATGGTTACTATTGTGAAAGAGAATCTTGTGAAAAGTCCACTGAGTGATGCAGCTCTTGATAAGTTCCTTATCATTGACCATTCAAAATGTAATTCATTTGGACTTTGCTGTCTTATACCTTACTGTGCAAGTAGATATAATCTTTAAACTTTCATTTCTCCCTGAGTATTTGTAACAGAATAGGGTTTGTATTCACACCTGGAGCCTTTTTATAATGTTTTCATTTTATTTTTGGAGCATTGTATTGTTATCATTTGCTCTCATGTTCTGAACCAACTGAGAAATAAGAGGTATGTGGATGAAGGCCAAAATATCAACTTTATTACTGGTGAAGTTTAGGTTGTGGGAGGTACCTTTGTGCTTATATCTGAAGCTGAGCATACAATAGACATACCTGCCCAGTTATGGAAGGTACTGGACCATCTCAGGTCTCCTCTGATGAGGGCAGGACATTTGTTATTAAGCCTATAGCTTGGCCAAGGGCAGAGAACATGAGCTCCATGCAGGCAAGCTGAGTTTCCATGAGCAAAATGGGAAGGGGCTGAGCTGGGCTTGCCCTTTCCCATCAGATAAACCACTCTATTGCCTCAGGGTGGAGTGAATAAGTGGCGACAGGAAGTGGAAACCATAATTTAGCTCCAAGTGGGGTTACATTTTTTCTTATCATTACCCAACTTTTTCTTCTGTTGACCTATCACGTATAACCACTTAAGTTATGTGTTCTATAATTTACATGTACTTTAAATTCTTCAGCCTAGGTACTGTGATATAAATACGTGAGTTTGCTTTAATCTACACTCTTTGAGTATTCAATTTTCCTAATTCCAGGTTCTCTTTAACCCTGATTAGCAAGAGAGGCTCTGTTAATTAGCCTAACAGGAGTTTTCAGTCCAAATGAGTGCCATCAAGATGAGGGTTGAAAATTACAGGCAATCCTACTCACTAAATAAGGTTTAAAATTTTGGTGGTAGTGGATTATAACCCATTAAATAAAACCAAGTCAAGTTCCATGAGTTCATACAGATACAGATAAATGAATAAATAAATGAAGAAGGAAAAGCTCTTTGCTTATATTGTGATAGAAATTCAACAATAAAACATAGAAAAAATGATGAAATTAGAAAATCATCAATGTTGCCCAAAATAGGGGGTGAGAGTTTCAAGACAAACTGTGTATTTACACACTCTCAAAGTATCTTCCCAGGTATTGATTATTAATGACAAAGGCGAAAGTAGTAACTTTATTCTGAAGAATATTGGAGTGCCCCACCTTAACCAATCACCAAGATTAGCGTCACCACTATAGGGGCAAACGAATTTCATATGCTTCCTGATATGATACACCCAGAGGGACACATTTTCATTTGTGATATTTTTGCCAAAAATGCATGGCCTTAATTTAATCAAGAGAAAGTATCAGATAAAGTCAAATAAAGACTATCCTTTAAACTAACTGGTCTTTATTCTTCAAAAATGTCAAGGTTAGGAAAGGCAAAAACTGATGGAGGAACTGTTCCAGATGAAAGGAGGCGTAACTAAATGCAACGTGCAATCCTGGCATGGATCCTGGGCCAAGAAAAAGAAATAGCCCTAAAGGACATTACTGAGACAATGACAAATTTTGACTATGGACTGTAGATTATGTAATAGGTTTGTATTAATGTTAAATTTTCTGATTTTGATATTAAAAATGTTCTTATGGAGGGGAATGTTCATCTTAGAAAAAGACACTTACATTTAGTGGCAAAAGGGCATGATATCTCCAATGTACTGTCAAATGATCTGGAATAAATATTAATAAAAAGAATGATAAAGCAAATAAGAAAAAATGTGAATAATTGTTAAATCGGGATGAAGGATACACAGGAGTTCCTTGTACTAGTCTAAGTTTAAAATTACATCAAAATAAAGTTACCCAAAACCGTTGTGCAATAAAAAACACAAAATCAATATTAACAATTTTTAAAAGCTTCTCAATAGTCTACTCCCTTTAGAATGGCTCTGAGGCTTGACTGATTTCAAAACTGCCCTGTGTTCAATTGGCTTGGAGGGTCCTTGTGCCTGTATCTGACTATATCCTGCCACCAGGAGACTGTCACGTTTCCATCTCGTTAACTCCTTCCTTTCTTTCTTCCTTTCCTTCTTCCTTTCTTTCTTTTTCTTTTTCTTTCTTTCTCTAGCTTTTTTTCTTTCTCTCTCTCTCCCCCTTCCTTCCTTCCTTTTCTTCCTTCTTTCCTTTCTCTCTCTTTCTTTCTTTCTTTCCTTCCTTCCTTTCTTTCTCTCTCTCTTTCTTTCTCTCTTTCTTTCTCTCTCTCCCTTCCTTCCTTCCTTTCTTCCTTCCTTCCTTTCTCTCTGTCTCTTTCTTTCTTTCTCCTTCCTTCCTTTCTTTTCTTCCTTCCTTCTCTCTCTCTTTCTCTTTCTCTCTTTCTTTCTTTCGATGGCGTTTCATTCTTATTGCCAAGGCTGAAGTGCAATGGCATGGTCTCAGATCACTGCAACCTCCGTCTCCCAGGTTCAAGCGATTCTTCTGCCTCAGCCTCCCAAGTAGCTGGGATTACAGGTGCCCACCACCACGGCAGCTAATTTTTTTTTATTTTTAGTAGAAACAGGGTTTTACCATGTTTGGCCAGGCTGGTTTCAAACTCCTGACCTCAGGTGATCCACCCGCCTTGGCCTCCCAAAGTGCTGGGATACAGGCATGGCCACCGTGCCCAGCCCCATCTAGTTAACTTTCTATGCACAGAATGGAGCTGGGACTTCACTGAGTTTTCAGAACAAGTTGTAGAACTGTTTTGTGCCTCCTTGTTAATAAATATTTCTATGTGTGGCAGAATTCAATAAAGGACTTACTTTCATTATAACCTGATAGTGAGGTTATAACATAAGCCATAGACATTCACGAAGGAAGTCTCTTGTGAATAACCAAATCATCTTAGGTGAGTTTGCAACAACTCACCCTTGGTCATCCAGGGATGTGGCTCTCCTGGGAGACAAGATCTGCAGCCCACGTGGAGGAGGGTCGTGCTCCTGTCTGTGTGGACTAGCTAGCCACTGTCTCTTTGGGTATCCCTTAGACTGCTGCTGGCCAGCAGGGGTGGATTTATCACAAAATGGAAGCTTCAGGACCCTTCACTTGCTCAGGCTCCTTCCAAGGCCCTATACCTAATTTTGTTTTCATCATTTTATGTTCTTTTTTTTTTTTTTCTTAAACCACTCCCTTTCTGCAAATTGTATAAGCTTCAGGCCCCACAGAATCTGCTGGGTAGCTTAAATTTTGTCCCCAGAAGGTTCTGACGTGGGTCAGAACAGTACATTAAGCTCCAAGGTCGCTATTACACAAAGCTGAAAATGTACTCCCTCTCCCGTTTCTGATCCCCGTTTAGGTCCAATCCCATTGTCTATCACTAGGAGTTCTGCAATAAGAGGAAATAATAACATTAAGATACTCCAAAAAACAAAATGCAAACATTTTATGTATGTGTTTATTTATTTTTTTGAGACGGAGTCTCACTCGGTCACCCAGGCTGGAGTGCAGTGGCGCAATCTCGGCTTACTGCAACCTCTGCCTCCCGTGTTCAAGTGATTCTCCTACCTCAGTCTCCCGAGTAGCTGGGATTACAGGGGCGTGCCACCATGCCTGGCTAATTTTTTTTTTTGTATTTTTAGTAGAGACCGGGCTTCACCATGTTGGTTAGGCTCGTCTTGAACTCCTGACCTCATGATCCACACTCCTCGGCCTCCCAAAGTGCTGGGATTACAGGCATGAGCCGCCCCGCCTGGCCTACAAAATGCAAACATTTTAAAGGGGCCCCAGATGTGGATATAAATCCTTCTTCTGCAGTAAATTCTCAGGGAGAAATAAAAGTTTAAAGAACAGACCTACTTGCATGTTGAAGTCCAAAGGTATTAAAATCTGAAATCAAATTATCTTGCCCTTGTGAGTTAAAGTTCAAATAAATGAAAGTCAATTTAAAGTCCATCTCCCCACACCCATTTCAAATTCCTAGTGGCTGGGGGTCTCAAAGCCTGGGTAGAGTTGAAGTCCTCTTAGCAGCTGTAGCTGGCACCATTGCTTCCAGGAAAGGAGGTGGTTCCTTAAGGCATGGCCTTGGTTCCCACCAAATTTAGAAAATGAGTGAATCTCCCTCCCTGAATCCATTTTCTCAGGGAAAAAAAAATGTTTTTTGTGTTGCCAAAAACGATAGCAGAGACTCAATTGTATCTAAGGAAAAGAAGGTGGAAGATAAAAATCCCTTCTTTCTCTGGAGCAGACCCTAGGTCTGAACCAATGTCCTAAAGAACAGGAAGTCCTGTGGAGCAGCAGAAATAAGCAGATAACAAAATCGAAAACATAGTGTAGGGCAGGTCTTCATGTAACATATTTACTAGGTGTCTAATGGTGCCATGCACTGTCATCTTCTGGGGCTGCAGTGGTGACAAGGCAAGCAAGGCCCTTCCCTGGCATGGATAAGACCCATGCACCCCGATGCAAGGTGGCCAGGTCTGCTCATAGCTTGAGGGAAAAACAGATTTACCAAGACAGGATATTGGTTTGAACTCCTCACTTCTTAAGTAACAGAGAATGATGGTTCATCTTGATTTGATGGCAGAGCAAACCACAAAGAAAGTAGTCATCTGGGAAGAGGAAGGGTTAGAAAGGAAAAACAAGAAAAGCAATTGAATACCTGCTTCCTCTGGCCTTGCAGACACCAAGCTATGACAGTGTGAGTGGGCTTCTTAGAGAGTCTGCCACTGTGCATCTTGACTCTAATTTTCTTATTTTATTTTATTTTTATTTTGAGACAGGGTGTCGCTGGCACTCCTGGACTGGAGTGCAGTGGTGCAGTCAAGGCTCACTGCAGCCTCGACCTCCCATCTCAAGGAATTCTCCTGCCTCAGCCTCCCAGGTAGATGGCTGGCTCCACTTTTGAAGCAGAGATTGCCACTTTTCTTGTACTTTACTATTATTTTTAAAATGACCTTTTTTTCTAGCATCCTCCCCAATCCCACTGCTTCTCAGGGCATAAGTCATTTCTCTTAACTCTTTTCTGGCTACATTGCTTTGAAACTCCTAGCATTGAGCTGATGTTGCTCAGTGGAAATACTCCTGCCTACTAATGCATGTGTGCCACTTGCACACATGTCCTCTGCTAAATCGCTACTCCATCTTGACATTTCACTTGTCTGCCTTGACTAAGATTTGGGAGTTGAAACAAATATAGCTGCTCACATGTTATGGTCCTTTCTCTTCACCTTTGTCAGGAGATGGGGATGCATGTGAGTTAACACCCCAAGCAGGCCATTAACAACTGGAAGGCAGGAAGTTTCAGTCAGTATCAGAGGGGAAATCTGACTTCTAGATGCTGGAGCATACACAGAGCACAGGGGATGGATGACATCAGTCCTTTACTTTACTCTTAAGACACGTATTCGTCCACACCAAGGCTTTCTGTTTCCCTGCCTTCTCTCCCTACTCCTGAGTCCTCTCAGTTTGTTTCACTTCTTGGCTAAGATGAAAAGAAAGCAGCATGGGTATGTCCCGTAGCAGCACTGGATATGAAGTCTCCATGAAGCCAATATCTTTCTGATGCTAAGGAATGTTTATCTGTGCAAAGGTGATAAGGTAGAATCAATTAAATGCAGAATGGATTCAGACATCTGGGCAGATAATTGCAGCCAGCCACAAATTCAGTCATTCTGCTGTCTTCTATTTCCTTTCCATTTTAGGATTCTCACTTTTCTGACCTATGATTGTCAAAACAGAGTGAGAGGAGAGTAAACTGAGGCCACTGATCAGACCTAAATCAAGGACTGAGAAGGTATTTGCAGTTCATTGGCATATGTTTGCATTTCTGTTTTTGCAGTGTTCCATGATAACATCCCTTAAGTACAGGGTGTGTCCACAAAACCTTAAAACTGATGGAAAGTAAACATTTAAACCAACTAGTTGATTGCCCATTGTGATACCATTAATGATTTTTCCCCTCCTTGAATTAACAGAATTTTGGGCTAATTGAAATGTCAAGACAACTTTTAATCCCAGAAAACCTAAATGGGAAATCATTTCCCAGTAAGATCATAGAGCCACCAAAAGGACCACATTCGAGGTCAATATACAACCAATAGCACTCTTCCACATAAAGAATAATCAGAAAAATATAATAAAAAGAGATCCCATTCACAATAGAAACAAAAACCATAACGTACCAAGAAATACCTTTGATGTGAAATTTTTTTGACCCAAGAGAAGAAAACCAACCAATCAAACAAAATGGCGGTGACAAGAAAGCTTGACTAAATGGAAACAAGAACCATGCTCTTTTTTAAAGGAATGAATTCTACTCAATCTAACTTATAGGTTTGACCACTTCTCAATAAAAAACAGAATGTTTCTGAAAGTTAAAATTATTTACCTGAACTAGAGAATGAATAAACATAAAACAAGAGATAGCATCAAAGAAAAGGATTGTGATGATCATGGTGGGTACTAGCACCACCATTTGTGAAAAAATATTCTCAATCGGTGATAAAGACTATGATGTTGATGCATGTCAGCGGAACTGATGCAAATCAATGGAATAGAATATAGCAGCTAGTACATAAATGAACATTATTATGCATAAGAACCAAAAATACTATAAGGAAGTTCATATGATCAATGGGAAAAGAAAGATTAGATACTCTTAAAAGTAACTATTCATCTTCTAATTGCACACAGAAATTAATTCTAAATGAATTAATGAGAATTTCAAAAAGGCAAAAATTATCAAACTAGATTATGGAAAGGAATCTTTGTCAGACCTCTGATGGAAGGGAGCAATGTCAAAGCATGTAAGAGTAGATACAAATGCATAAAAACTTCACACTCTAAAATGCAATAACATAAAGGAAAGCAAAATCAGGTGACAGAGGGCAAATATCTCCACTGTAAAGGGTGGAGAAGATTTAACATTTGCTGATTTTTTTTTAAAAAAAGCAAAGCCTCTAAGATGTCAATATGGGCAAACATACTCAGGGAAGAAGTAAACTGGTCAACACACAAACGAAAAAATATTCATTTTCATTAGTTGCAAAAGAAGTGTAAAGGCAAAACATAAATAGATTCAAATTTTGCTTATTAAATTGTATTTCAAATGGTAGTATATTCCGATGGTTTAAAAATCAGAAAGTATAAAAAGTGTATAGTGGAAAGTCTCCTTCTTGTGTTTATTCCCCTAGTGCCAGTTTCCCAACCCTGTGCTTAGATTTTAAAATATTATGGGTCTATGCAGATACACATATAGATTTTCCTCCTTTTACTCTGAAGGTAGCATACCAAAAACATCATTCTGAAATTTGCTTTTTTGACATAATAATATATCTAGGAACCCTTTCCATATCAGTACTTAGCTTGCTCATTTTTTGTAGTTATATAAAACATTTTTCATTAACATTAGTATGTTGAAGTATATCTGAATTTAAATTGGTTTCATTTAGAGTTTTTTAATCATTTCAGAGGTACACACACATAAGATATTTACAAGTTATTCATTCAACATTTTTTGAAGTCCTACTGTATGGTAGAAAACAGATATCTATCTAGAAACTAACAGACAGCCTGGTAAATAATAAAACTCCATTGTGTAGCTATCCTACAGTTTATTTAACCAGGTCACTGTTAATGTTCATACTTTTCCTATAGGTGAATTGTTTTCTTTATAGTTTTCTAGTTTCATAATTACATTTAATAAATTTTTATTTTAGGCTGGGCACGGTGGCTCACGCCTGTAATCCCAGCACTTCGGGAGGCTGAGGCGAGTGGATCACAAGGTCAGGAGTTCGAGACCAGCCTGGTCAATATGGTGAAACCCCATCTCTACTAAAACTACAAAAATTAGCTAGGCGTGGTGACGGGCACCTGTAGTCCCAGCTACTCGGGAGTCTGAGGCAGGAGAATCGTTTAAACCTGGGAGGCAGACGTTGCAGTGAGCTGAGATCGTCCCACTGCACTCCAGCCTGGGCGACAGAGTGAGATTCCATCTCAAAAAAGAAAATAAAAAAATACACATTTTTATTTTAATAAAAGGAATTTGCATCTCATTAATGCATTTAATAAAGTTGTTAGAAATATTGATTCAATTATTAAAACTACATCAAAATCTATAGATGTTAATTATCATTCAGAAATATTGAATTCCCAGTTTCAGGGATTAAGCATAAACATAGTCATAGATACCTAACAGGATAAGACCAATTCCTGCAAAAATGTGCTACCATGAAGGCAACTCAAGATTTAGTAACACGATATTATGACAATATTCTGTGAAACAATCTGTCAGCATTTTCAGAAATATGACATACAATGCCTGGAACACCAGCCAGCCAGGCTTCTTGGTAGACATGTCAGTGAGGACAAAGCTGCACCGGGGTGACATATGTTTTTAAATGGCTCAGAGGCCAAGCACATTGCAAGGTGTCAGGCATCCCTCTGACATTTCAGTTGAATATAAATTTGGAGCTGAATCTTTATCAAAGGTAAATATGTACACACAGTAATGCTTTCATAAGAGAAAATCTCAGGTAAGCACCCTATGTAATGAAGACAGTAACTTATTAACACATAGCTCAGCTATCGATTGCTGTGTTGTAAGCCATCTCAAAGCACAGTAGCTATGTGATTTATTACTTGTCATGGTTCTGCGGTTGATGGAGCTCCACTGGGAGGAGCTTCTGCTCCACGTTGGGTGGCTGAGATCACTCATGCGACTGCATTCAGCCGGCAATTTGGCTGGAGCTGGGATGTCCAAATGGCCTCTCATCCTCCAGGATCTCCTTGCACTTGGCTTTTCACCCTTCAGCGGTTCCTATGGTTTGGATGTCCCACCCAAGTCTCATGGTAAACTCTAATCCCCAATGCTAGAGATGAGGTCTGGTGAGAAGTGTTTAGATCATGGGGGCAGATTCCTTGTGAATGTCTTGGGCCATCCCATCCCCTTGGTGATAAGCAAACTCTCACTCTAAGTTCTTGTGAGATCTGGTCATTTAAAAGTGTATGGCACACCACCCCCTGACCATGCTCCTGCTTTTGGCTTTTGCCATATGATGAGCAAGCTCCCATTTCACCTTCCACCATGAGTAAAGGCTCCCCAAGGCCTCCCCAGAAGCTGAGCAATGTTGGCACCATGCTTGTACAGCCTGCAGAACCATAAGTTGATTAAACCTCTTTTCTTTATGAATTACCAAATTTCAAGTATTTCTTTACTGCAATACAAGAACAGCCTAATACAGTGGTCTAGCTCCAAGGAACATTTGAAGAGGACAAGCCCCCATGTGAAAGTGTGTATTAAGCCTCTGCTTGCACCACACTAGCTAATGTCCCATTGGCCAAAGCAAGCCACATGGCCAAGGCCAGAGTCAAGAGCTTGAACACATAATACATAAGGGCATGACAACCAGTAAGTGTATTTCCCTGAGGCCATCAAAGTATAAAACTGCCACATCATGGTTTTTCTCTGTTTTACTTGAAAGGATGATAAAATTACTAGGAGGGAGCAAGTGAAACACTGAAATAGTGCCAGAGGAGACTACACAAGAAATTCCTCTAACTTTAAAAATCAGCCTCCTGCTGGATGCAGTGGTGGGCACCTGTCATCCCAGCTACTCAGGAGGCTGAGGTGGGAGGATCACATGAGCCCAGGAGTTCAAGACTAGCTTGGGCAACATAGCAAAACCCCATCTCTAAAAAAAAAAAAAAACCATCCTCTCCAAATCTTTTTCTTTTTCTTTTTTTTCTTTGAGACAGAGTCTTCCTCTGTTGCCCAGGCTGGAGTGCAATGGCGTGATCTCGGCTCACTGCAAGCTCCGCCTCCTGGGTTTCACGCCATTCTCCATGTTAGCCAGCATGGTCTCGATCTCCTGACCTCGTGGTCCGCCCACCTCGGCCTCCCAAAGTGCTGGGATTACAGGCATGAGCCACTGTGCCTGGCCCCATCCTTTCCAAATCTTAAGAGTGCAGCTGAACAATGTTGATTACAAAGGGGTGAAATGTGTAAACTTGTTGGTAAAGCTCATTTACTGACAAGCTTTACCAATAAGCTTTACCAAAGGGCAGCACACTTTTAGAAAATGTCAGTTTGTTCAGCTAATGGAAAACAAGCTTTACCATATGGATGGGTCCTTTTGACTCTCCTTGCCCAGGGTTCTTAGGGGAATCTCTGCTGTGGGCCCAGATGTCTCTGCAGGCCATCAGATTGAAGCAGGGGGATGAGTGTGACCACATGGATGGTATGATGCCAGCCTTCACCACTACCAAAGGGCCTGAGTCTCAGTGACACTAGGTAGATCAAAATGAGGAACGATTCCATCAAAAAATAAAGAATTCAAATTCAAAAGACAACTCTGTGCAGAGGATGAATAATTAATTAGGTAAGGGATGGTAGCAAGAAAATTGGGATTTTGTGGATAAATTGAACTGTTTACATGGAAAAACAAAACAGACCAACCATATCGACAGACTCACTGAATCTCGACCAGCTGGAAGCAGGCATATTGGTTGCTAATATGGAAAACTATTCTGACAGTTAAAAAAATTAATGACAGTTAAAAGGATGAATGCTGAAAGAACTGCTTAAACCCTCAAATAATGAACAATATCAAGAAGAAAAGGCAAAAAGAGGATAGTAGTGAAAACAAAATACAGAAGACTTACTTCAAAAGGAGGAGCAGAGCAAGATGGCTGAATAGAAGACTCCACCAATTGTCTTGACTGCAAGGGCAGCAATTGAACAACTGTCTACTCACAAAAAGCACCTTCATAAGAATAAAAAATCAGGTGAGCACTGGTTTTAACTTTATCTAGCTGAAAGAGGCATTGAAGAAGGTAGGAAAGACACTCTTGATTTGCTGACACCACCCCTCCCCCGCCCCCTGGCAGTAGCAGCATGGCACAGAGAGAGAATCTGTGCACTTGGGAGAGGGAAAGTGCAGTAATTGTGAGACTTGCATTGAACTTAGTGCTGCCTTGTCATGGCAGAAAGCAAAACCAGGCTGAACTCAGCTGACACGTACCCACAGAGGGAGCATTTAGACCAGCTCTAGCTAGAGGGTTATTCCTCATCCCAGAAGATGGAACTTGAGCTGTGGCAAGCCTTGCCACCCCAGGCTAAAGTGCTCTGGGGCCCTAAATAAACTTGAAAGGCAGTCTAGGCCACAAAGACTGCAACACATAGGCAAGTCCTAGTGCTGAACTGGGCCCAGAGCCAGTGGACTTGGGGGGCACACAACCTACTGAGATACCAGATGGGGTGGGTAAGGGAGTGCTTGTGCAACCCCCTCAATCCTAGGCTGCTCATCTTACTGCTCCAAAAGAGACCTCTTCCTTCCACTTGAGGAGAGAAGAGGAAAGAGTGGGGAGGACTTTGTCTTGCAACTTGGATACCAGCTCAGCCACTGTAGGAAAGGGCACCAGTCAGAGTCATGAGGCCTCTTTCCCAAGCCCTAGCTCCCAGATGCCATTTCTTTTTTTTTTTTTCTTTCTTTTTTTTTTTTTTTTTGAGACGGAGTCTCACTCTGTCGCCCAGGCTGGAGTGCAGTGGCGCCATCTCGGCTCACTGCAAGCTCTGCCTCCTGGGTTCACACCATTCTCCTGCCTCAGCCTCTCAAGTAGCTGGGAATACAGGTGCCTGCCACCATGCCCAGCTAATTTTTTGTATTTTGTTTAGTACAGACAGGGTTTCACCGTGTTAGCCAGGATGGTCTCGATCTCCTGACCTCGTGATCCGCCCACCTCGGCCTCCCAAAGTGCTGGGATTACAGGTGTGAGCCACCGCGCCCGGCCCCAGATGCCATTTCTAGACACATCCTGGGCCAGAAGAGAACCTGCTGCCTTGAAGGAAAGGAACCAGTCCTGGCAGGACCCGTCACCTGCTGACTAAAGAGCCCTTGGGTCTTGAATAACCAGAAATGATAACCAGATAATACGCCCTGGGCCTTGGGTGAGACTCTGAGTCTTACTGGCTTCAGGTGAGACTCAGCATATTCCCAGCTGTGGTGACTATGGGGAGAGACTCCTTCTGCTCAAGAAAAGTGAAGGGAAAAGCAAAGGGAACTTTGTCTCGCACCTTAGGTAGCAGCTCGGCCACAGTGGGATAGAGCACAAAGTGGGCTCTTGTGGTTCTCGATTCCAGGACGTGGCAATTAGACAGCATTTCTGGACCTGCCCTGGGCTAGAGGGGAGCCCACTCCCTTGAAGGGTGTATCTCAGGCCAGGCAGCATTCACCACAAGCTGACTGAAGAGCACTTGGGCCTAAAGGGAACTTCAGCAGTAGTCTGGCAGCACTCCCCTCTGGGCTTAAGGTGGCAGTAGCCATAGGATGAGAACTCCTCTGCCTTTGGAAAGGGGAGGGAAGAGTGGGAAAACCTGCGTCTTCTGGTTTGAGTGCCAGCTCAACCACAGTACAACAGAACACCAGGTAGACATCTAAGGTTTTTTACTCTAGTTCCCTGATTCTAGGATAAAACCTCTGGACCTACTCGGCCTGGGGGAACCTGCCACCCCAAAGGGAAGTACATAAGTCTGGCTGGCTTTGCCACCTACTGAATGTAGAGCTCCAGGGCTTTGAGTGAACATAGGCAGTAGTCAGGGAGTGGTTACAGCAGGCCTTGGGTGAGACCCAGTGCTGTGCTGGCTTCAGGTCTGACCCAGCACAGTCCCAGTGGTGGTGGCCACAGGAGTGCTTGTGTCACCCCACCCCAAGCTCCATGCAGTTCACAACAGAGAGAGACTTTATTTGTTTGGAAGAAAATAAGGGGAGAAAACAAGGGTCTTTGCCTGATAATCTAGAGAATTCTTCTGGATCATATCCAAGACCATCAAGGTGGTACCTCTACGTGTCTGTAATAATCAGACCATTTCTGGGCTAGAGGTGCCCCCTAATGCAGCTACGGCTTAGATCACAACACCTAAGTATTTTTGAATATCTGGAAAGCCTTTCCAAGAAGGACTGGTACAAGCAAGCCCAGGCTATGAAGACTACAATAAATACCTAACTCTTCAGTGCCCAGACACAGACAAACATCCACAAGCATCAAGACTATCCAGTAAAACTAAATAAAGCACCAGGGACAAATCCTGGAGAAAAAGAGATATGTGACCTTTCAGACAGAGAATTCCAAACAACTGTGTTAAGGAAACTCAGAGAAATTCAAGATAATACAGAGAAGGGATTCAGAATGTTATCAAATAAATTTAACAAAGAGATTAGTAATTTTTAAAAAATAAAGCAGAAGGCCAGATGCGGCAGCTCATGCCTGTAATCCCAGCACGTTGGGAGGCCGAGGCGGGTGGATCAAGAGGTCAAGAGATTGAGACCGTCCTGGCCAACATAATGAAACCCTGTCTTTACTAAAAATGTAAAAATTAACTGGGCATGGTGGCGCCCACCTGTAGGCCCAAGCTACTCAGGAGGCTGAGACAGGAGAATCACTTGAACCCGAGAGGCAGAGGTTGCAGTGAGCTGAGATGGCACTGCACTCCAGCCTGGCAACAGAGTGAGACTCCATCTGAAAAATAAAATAAAATAAAATAAAAAATAAAGCAGAAATTCTACAGTTGGAAAATGCAATTGACATACTGAAGAATGCATCAGAGTCTTTTAATATCAGATTGATCAAGCAGAAGAAAGAGTTAGTGAGCTTGACAGACTATTTGAAAGAAGATTTTGTCACAGGAGACAAAAGAAAAAGCAATAAAAAGCAATGAAGCCCACCTACATGATCTAGAAAATAGCCTCAAAAGGGCAGATCTAAAAGTTTCTCCTTTACAGAGGAGGTAGAGAAAGAGAGAGATGGGGGTAGAAAGTTTATTCAAAGGGATAATAACAGAGAACTTCCCAAACCTAGAGAAAGATATCAATATCCAATTATAAGATGGTTATAGAACACCAAGCAGATTTAATCCAAAGAAGACTATCTCAAGGGGTTTAATAATCAAACTACCAAAGGTCAAGGATAAAGAAAGGATCCTAAAAGCAGCAAGAGAAAAGAGACAAATAATATATGGAGCTCCAACACGGATGGCAGTAGACTTTTCAGTGAAAACCTTACTAACCAGGAGAGAGTGGCATGACATATTTAAAGTGCTGAACGAAAAAAGCCTTTACCCTAGAATAGTATATCCAGTGCAAATATCCTTCAAACATGAGAGTCAAATAAAGACTTTCCCAGACAAAAGCTGAGGGATTTCATCAACACCAGCTCTGTCCTGCAAGAAATATTAAATGGAGAACTTCAATTAGAAAGAAAAGAATATTAATAAGCAATAAGAAGTCATCTGAAGGTACAAAACTCACTGGTAATAGTAAGTATACAGAAAAACACAGAGTATTATCACAGTAAACTACTCAAGTAGAAAGACTAAATGATTAATCAAAAATAATAACTGCAACAAATTTTAAAGACACAGACAATACAATAATATATAAGTAGAAACAACAAAAAGCTACAAAGCGAGGTGGGAGGACAAAGTTAAGGTGTAGAATTTTTATTAGTTTTCTTTTGCTTGTCTGTTTGTTTGTTTATGCAAACAAAGTTAAGTCATTAAAATAAAGGGTTATAGGACAGTATTTGCAAGCCTCATAGTAACCTCAAGTCAAAAAACAAACAACAAATACATAAAAAATAAAAAACAAGAAATTAAATCATACCACTAGAGAAAATCACCTTCACTAAAAGGAAGACTGGAAAAAAGGAAGAGAAGACCACAAAACAACCAGACAACAAACAATAAAATGACAGGAGTGAGGGCTTACTTATCAACAACAACACTGAATGTAAATGGGCCAAATTTGCCAATCAAAATATGCAGAGTGACTGAATGGGGGGAAAAAAAGACCCAATGATCTGTTGCTGACAGGAAACGTACTTCATCTGTAAAGACACACATAAACTGAAGACAAAGGGCCAGAAAAAATTCCATACCAATGGAAACCAAAAAAGAGCAGGAGTAGCTATACTTACATCAGACAAAATAAATTTCAAGATGAAAACTATAAGAAGAAACCAAGAAGGTCATTATATAATGATAAAGTGGTCTATTCAGCAAGAGGATATAATAATTTTAAATATATGCCCTCTCCCTCTCCCTCTCCCTCTCCCTCTCCCTCTCTTTCCGCGGTCTCCCTCTGATGCCGAGCCAAGGCTGGACTGTACTGCTGCCATCTCAGCTCACTGCAACCTCCCTGCCTGATTCTCCTGCCTCAGCCTGCCGAGTGCCTGCGATTGCAGGCGGCGCCACCACGCCTGACTGGTTTTCGTCTTTTTTCGGTGGAGACGGGGTTTCGCTGTGTTGGCTGGGCTGGTCTCCAGCTCCTAACCGCGAGTGATCCGCCAGCCTCGGCCTCCCGAGGTGCCGGAATTGCAGACGGAGTCTCGTTCACTCAGTGCTCAATGTTGCCCAGGCTGGAGTGCAGTGGCGTGATCTCGGCTAGCTACAACCTCCACCTCCCAGCCGCCTGCCTTGGCCTCCCAAAGTGCCGAGATTGCAGCCTCTGCCCGGCTGCCACCCCATCTGGGAAGTGAGGAGCGTCTCTGCCTGGCCACCCATCGTCTGGGATGAGAGGAGTCCCTCTGCCCGGCTGCCCAGTCTGGGAAGTGAGGAGCGCCTCTTCCCGGCCACCATTCCGTCTAGGAAGTGAGGAGCGTCTCTGCCCGGCCGCCCATCGTCTGAGATGTGGGGAGCGCCTCTGCCCGGCGGCGACCCCGTCTGGGAGGTGAGGAGCGTCTCTGCCCGGCCGCCCCGTCTGAGAAGTGAGGAGCCCCTCCGCCCGGCTGCCACCCCATCTGGGAAGTGAGGAGCGTCTCCGCCCGGCAGCCACCCTGTCCGGGAGGGAGGTGGGGGGTCGGCCCCCGCCCGGCCGGCCGCTCCGTCCGGGAGGGAGGTGGGGGGCGCCTCCGCCCGGCCGCTGCCCCGTCCCGGAGGTGGAGGGCGCCTCTGCCCGGCCGCCCCTTCTGGGAAGTGAGGAGCCCCTCTTCCCGGCCACCACCCCATCTGGGAGGTGTACCAACAGCTCATTGAGAACTGGCCATGATGACGATGGCGGTTTTGTGGAATAGAAAAGGGGGAAAGGTGGGGAAAAGATAGAGAAATCAGATTGTTGCTGTGTCTGTGTAGAAAGAAGTAGACATGGGAGACTTCATTTTGTTCTGTACTAAGAAAAATTCTTCTGCCTTGGGATGCTGTTGATCTATGACCTTACCCCCAACCCTGTGCTCTCTGAAACATGTGCTGTGTCCACTCAGGGTTAAATGGATTAAGGGCGGTGCAAGATGTGCTTTGTTAAACAGGTGCTTGAAGGCAGCATGCTCGTTAAGAGTCATCACCACTCCCTAATCTCAAGTACCCAGGGACACAAACACTGCGGAGGGCCGCAGGGTCCTCTGCCTAGGAAAACCAGAGACCTTTGTTCACTTGTTTGTATGCTGACATTCCCTCCACTGTTGTCCTGTGACCCTGCCAAATCCCCCTCTGCAAGAAACACCCAAGAATGATCAATGAAAAAAATAAAAATAAAAAAATAATTAAAAAAAATAAAAAATAAAAAATAAAAATAAATAAGATTAAAAAAAGAAAAAAATAGAAATAAAAATAAATATATGTACAATCAACACTGGAGCACCCAGATATATAAAGTGAATATTTTTAAAGCTAAAGGGAGAGATAGACTCCAATATAATAATGGCTGGAGACTTCAACACCCTACTTTCAGCATTGGGCAGATCTTCTAGATAGAAAATCAGCAAAGAAACATTGGACTTAATCTGCACTATAGACCCAATGGACCTAATTTATATTTACAGAACATTTCCACTAACAGCTACAGAATACACATTCTTTTCCTCAGCACATGGATCATTGTCAAGGAGAGACCATATGTTAGGTCATAAAACAAGTCTTAAAACATTGAAATAAAATCAAGCATCTTCTCTGATCACAATGGAATAAAACTAGAAGTCAATAACAAGAGGAATCTTAGAAACTATACAAACACATGGAAATTAAACACCATGCTCCTGAATGACCAGTGGGTCAATGAAGAGATTAAGAAGGAAAATTCAAAATTTCTTGAAACAAATTATAATGGAAACACAACACGCCAAAATATGTGATATATATGAAAAGCAGTTCTAAGATGAAAGTTTATAGCTATAAGTGCCTATATCAAAAAAGAAGAACTTTAAATAAACAACCTTATGATAGATGTTAAAGAACTAGAAAAGCAAGAGCAAACAAAATCCAAAATTAGGAGAAGATAGAAAATAATAAATATCAGAGCATAAATAAATGAATTTAAAATGAAGAAAACAGCACAAAATATCAGTGAAACAAAAAGTTGTGTTTTTTTGCAAAGATAAACAAAATTGGCAAACATTTTGTCAGACTAAGAAAAAAAGAGAGGACCCAAATAAATTAAATCAGAGATGAAAAAGGAGACATTACAACTGATACCCCAGAAATTCAAAGGGTCATTAGTGGCTACTGTGAGCAACGATATGCCAATAAATTGGAAAATCTAGAAGAAATGGATAAATTCCTAGACACGTACAGCCTACCAAGATTGAACAATGAAGAAATCCAAAATTTGAACCGACCAATAACAAGTAATAAGATCAAAGCCATAATAAAAAGTCTCCCAGCAAAGGAAAGCCCGGAACCCGGGGGCTTCACTGCTGAATTCTACCAAACATTTAAAGAACTACTACCAATCCTACTCAAATTATTTCAAAAAGTAGAACAGGAGGGAATACTTCCAAACTTATTCTACGAGGCCAATATTACTCTAATACTAGAACCAGACAAAGACACATCAGAAAAAGAAAACTATGGGCCAATATCACTGATGAATATAATTGCAAAAATCCTCAACAAGATAGCAAACTGAATTCAACAACACATTAAAAAGATGATTCATCATGACCAGGTGGGTTTCATTCTAGTGATGCAAGAATGGTTCAACATATGCAAATCAATCAATGTGATATAGCATATCAACAGAATGAAGTGTAAAAACCATGAGATCATTTCAATTGATGCTGATAAATCAATTAATAATAAGTCATTATATCAATTGATGTTGATAAAATCGAACATCCCTTCATGATAAAAATCCTCAAAAATCTGGGTATAGAAGGAGCATACCCCAACATGATAAAAACCATATATGACCGACCAACAACTAGTGCCATACACAATGGGGAAAAACTGAAAGCCTTTCTTTTTGATCTGGAACGTGACAAGGATGCCCACTGTCACCACTGTTATTCAGCGTAGTACTGGAAGTCCTAGCTGGAACAATCAGACAAGAGAAAGAAATAAAGAGCACACAAATTGGAGAAGAATAAGTCAAAATATCCTTGTTTGCAGATGATATGATCTTATATTTAGAAAAACCTAAAGACTCGACCAAAAAACTATCAGAACTCATAAATAAATTCAGTAAAGTTGCAAGATACAAAATCAACATAGAAAAATTAGTAGCATTTGTAAATGCCAAAAGTAAACAATCTGAAAAAGAAATCAAGAAAGTAATCCCATTTATAACAGCTACAAATAAAATAAAATACCTAGGAATTAACCAAAGAAGTCAAAGATACCTACAATAAAAACTGTAAAACACTAATGCAAGAAATTGAAGAGGACACCAAAAACTAGAAAGAGATTCCATGTTCATGGATTAGAAGAATTAATATTGTTAAAATGTCCATACTACCCAAAACAATCTACAGATTCAATGGAATCCCTATCAAAATATCAAGGACGTTCTTCACAGAAATAGAAGAAAAACAGTCCTAAAATGTATATGGAATCACAAAAGACCCAGAATAGCCAAAGCTATCCTGAGCAAATAGAACAAAATTGGAAGAAACACATTACCTGACTTTAAATTATAGTACAGAGCTATTGTAAACAAAATGACGTGGTACTGGAATAAAAACAGATATGTAGATCAGTGGAACAGAACAGAGAGCCTAGAATAAATCCACACATCTACAGCAAACTTGTTTTCAACAAAGGTGCCAAGAACATACACTGGGAAAAGGACAGCCTCTTCAGTAAATTGTCTGGGAAAACTGGATATCCATATGCAGAAGAATGAAACTAGACCCCATCTCCCTATCTCTTGCCATATAAAAAATAAAATCAAAATGGATTAAAGACTTATATTTAAGACCTCAACCTATGAAACTACCAAAATAAAACATTAGGGAAACTCTCCAGGACATTGGACTGGGCAAAGATTTCTTGAGTAATAACCCACAAGCACAGGCAACCAAAGCAAAAATGGACAAATGGGATCACATCGAGTTAAAAAGCTTCTGTACAGCAAAGGAAACAATCAACAAACTGAAGAGATAACCCACAAAATGGGAGAAAATATTTGCAAACTATCCATCTGATAAAGGATTAAAATCAGACTATATAAACAACTCAAACAACTTCATAGGACTAGTCTAATAATCCAATTAGAAATGGGCAAAAGATCTGAATAGACATTTCTCAAAAGAAGACACAAAAATGGCCAACAGGGATATGAAAAGCTGTTCAACATCATGGATCATCAGAGAAATGCAAATCAAAACTACAATGCGATATCATCTCACTCCAGTTAAAATGGCTTTCATCCAAAAGTCAGGTAATAACAAATGCTGGCAAGGGTGTGGAGAAAAGGGAACTCTTGTACACTGTTGGTAGGAATGTAAATTAATATAGCCAAAATGGAGAACAATTTGGAGGTTCCTCAAAACAATTTGGAGTTTCCTAAATATAGAGCTACCTTATGATCCAGCATTCCCCCTCCTAGGATAAACCCAAAAGAAAGGAAATCAGTGTATCAAAGAGAAATCTTTACTCCTATGTTTATCGTAACACTATTCAAAATAGCCAAGATTGGGAAGCAACCTAAGTGTCCATCATCAGATGAATGGATAAAGAAAATGTGGTACATAGACACAATGGAGTACTATTCAGCCGTAAAAAAGAATGAGATCCTGTCATTTGCAAGAACATGAACGGAACCGGAGGTCATTATGTTAAGTAAAATAAGCCAGGCACAGAAAGACAAACTTCACATGTTTTCACTTATTTGTGGGAGCTAAAAATTACAATAATTGAACTCATGGAGATAGAGTAGAAGGATAGTTATCAGAGGCTGGGAAGGGTAGTAGGAGGCTGTTGGGGAAGTGGGGATGGTTAATGGGCACAAAAGTTAGAAAGAATTAACAAGGTCTAGTAGTTGATAGCACAACAGGGTGACTATAGTAAAATTAATTTAATTGTACTTTTAAAAATAACTGACAGACTATATTTGGATTGATTGTAACACAAAGGATAAATGCTTGAGGTGATAAATTTTAAAAAGGCTTCAACAACAACAACAAAAAACAACGAATACAAGTAAATTGAACTTGCTCATTAAGGTCATGTAATTTGGAAAATGGTGTTTACTTTATGTTTTTTTCTAAATATTTTAAGATTAAATGCTGAATTAGAAAAATGCATTGGAATTTCAAGTATATATAACAATTTATTAGGTCGGTACGAAAGTAATTGCTGTTTTTGCCGTTTTGCCATTACTTTTAAATGGCAAAAACAGCAATTACTTTTTTGCCATTACTTTTAAAATGGCAAAAACAGCAATTACTTTTGCAACAACCTAATAAAAGAAGAAATAGATTAACATAAATGTGGCATTTTGAATAAAATTGCTTATGCAATTTTTCATTAAGGCAAAAACTAACAATTCTGAGTGGCAATTAGAGTGACTCATCAATCAAATTATTTGATTGCATCAAAATGAAAAACTCAACAATTTGGCATTTTAAGCAATGAGTCCAAAGATATTCCAATTATATTGCTTAGTCCCCAGAGTATTTTTCCCCTTGTCTGGGATTGGCCAATACTGAAAACCATGCCTCTTCCTAAAATATAATGAAAGCTATGTTTTGAAGAGGCTTCTTAGGTCATCTAGACAGGGCCCTGTGATCCTGTGATGAGAGCTACCATTTATTGAATGTCTAGTGTGTGCCAGGCACTGTGCTAAGTCCTTTACATGCTTATTCTGCTCAGCATCATCCCCATTTTACAGATAAGGAAACAAAGATACAGAGACAGATGTTAGCTTGTCAAGTCACACGTCTGGTAAATAGTGGAGACAGGATTTGCACCAGGCAGACTGACTGTGGCTCCAGTTTCCCACTGGTTTTGGAGCTGTATTAAAACAAGCACCAGGATAAATAAATATGGGGGTAACTGTGCAACCAAAGAAAGGAACCTGAAGAATTGTTGACATGTGCAGCTCAAGATATAATCTGCTGTCCCAATTTTCCTTTTTCTACTCACTCTTTTTTTTCTATTGCTACTGTTGCAAAGCAAACAAGCTATCCAAATAGTCCACCTTTTAAACTAACTGTAGACTAAAAATATCATTTATTTATACTTTAAAAAATCTTGTAGATTTAGTAAAGGAAGATTTAGTAAAAATTCAATGAAGGAAGTATTTTCTGCTTAAACAGCTTGAGTTTACCTCTTGGTACACAAGATGTGGCCCTTTATTAAAGATATGGTCTTCTGTCGCCATCTTCAGGAAGAGATATAAATATCTCCTCTCTCGTGCTGTCAATTTTTAGTACATTCATGATTCAACCAAAGTTTGTTATATACAAAGAGATAAAAGCAGAATTAAAAAACATTTCTTAGTACATTTAGTGCACTAGTGGCCAGTATTTAAAGAGAATCTAAAAAGTAGACTGCAGTATAGAGAAAAAAGAGTATTGTATGTCAAAATGGGTTTTGACATTTTTAAGGAAAATTTGGGGTCTTCATCAAACTCTAACATTATTGAAATTTTTCTTAATAAAATATACCTGTAAGCTTTGTCTTGCTTTCCAAAGGTTTATGTCCAATGAGCAGAGGATAAAGTGCATCTTATTTCCTCCTAAGCTTATTTCTGCAGTCATGGAAGTTGCCCTTGCCTGGTGTTCTATAGAACATACTTAGATCTTGGCCCCAGAGAGCCTATCTTGTTCACTGATCTATCCCCAGCTACCAGCAAGATTTGTGACCCATCGTAGGCACCAGTAAACATTTGTCAAGTCAATGCTTTCCTTCTTGTGTTTTACAATGAATCATCCTTTACTGTATAACTTTGGAGATAACCTAGATTTAACCAAAAATGTTGGCCAGGCCCACCCAGCTTATCTTATCAGTAAGTGAAATGAGCTTTCTCTAAGGCAAGCCAGCCTCAGGATTAAAAAAAAAATACCCCCTGCTATTCACAGATCCTAAAATTCTGTTATGAAAAAGTCACCTTTTTGAGTGTTACCTTTTTACAATTTCCTACATAGGAAAATTAACTTTTTTTTTTTTTTTTTTGAGACAGAGTCTCACTCTGTTGTCAGGCTGGAGTGCAGTGGCACGATCTCAGCTCACTGCAACCTCCGCCCCCCAAGTTGAAGCGATTCTTCTGCCTCAGCCTCCTAAGTAGCTGGGATTACAGGCGCCTGCACTGCACCCGGCTAATTTTTTTTGTATTTTTAGTAGATACAAAGTTTCACCTTCTTGGCCAGGCTGGTCTTGAACTCCTGACCTCGTGATCCACCCGCCTCGGCCTCCCAAAGTGCTGGGATTGCAGGTGTGAGCCACCGCGCCCGGCCAGAAAATTAACGTCTTAAGTGCTGTTAACTCTAAGTTTGGCTGGACTCAGGGGAGCCTTAATTCCTGGGTTAAGGGATACCTTATCAGGAGTAGTACTACAGCAACTGTGGAAGGTGAGTGGTTAGGGTATGGGAAGAACATATTAGAATTTCTACATATGTCATCTTTAAAATGTCTTTGTTTTACATGACATTTAGGGTATATAACTCATTTTTTTTCTTTTTTTTTTTTTTTTTTGGGACGGAGTCCCGCTCTGTCGTTCAGCCTGGAGTGCAGTGGTGCGATCTCGGCTCACAGTGACCCCCGCATCCCAGGTTCAAGAGATTCTCCTGCCTCAACTTCCTGAGTAGCTGGGACCACAGTTGCACACCACCACACCTAGCTAATTTTTTTGTATTTTTAGTTGAGACAGGGTTTCACCGTGTTAGCCAGGATGGTCTCGATCTCTGGACCTTGTGATCCACCCACCTTGGCCTCCCAAAGTGCTGGGATTATAGGTGTGAGCCACCATGCCCAGCCATGGTATATAACTTATTAATACAGTAGTACATGTATATAATTTATTCTTATATATTTACACACACATCAGAGTGCTCACTAAAAATGTCTTATTAATAAGTTTGAAGATCACTGTTTAAAAAACGTGACTTTGGAGTCAGACCTACACTTGAAGTACAGCTCTTTCACCTATAGATGTGGGAAACTGGATAAATTCTTTAACCTCTTTAAATCTTTATTTTCTCTTTCATAAAATGGGAATAGTAATATTACTTTTGCAAGGTTGTGGTGAAAATTGAAGGAGTGGTCTGTAACGTATTCAGCCCTGGGCCTACAAAATATTAACAGTTCAGTAAATACAGCTGGCTTCATGGGGTTGTGTGTGATCTGTGTAGTCAGGGGCCTGAGTTCTGAGGTGGTTTGCATTTGGTTTAATGCTCTGCTATGGCTGCCTTGAAATTCTTAATAATTTTTGAACAAGGGTCCTGCATTTTCATTTTTTACTGGGCCATGTAAATTATGTAGCCAGTCCTAGTAAAGGGTAGCTTTTACTGCTGGCCTAGCTAAATTGCTGTTCAAGGTTTTTTAGTTCAGTTATCTAAAGGTTTGTACTCTTTGATCCACATCACTATTTAAGCTTCTTTAGGCTACACATGTTCCTTCTTTGAGGATGAGCATAATATTTTTTCTAATGTAATTTTTTGTTGGGATATAATTCACATGCCATAAACCTTACCATTTAAAAGGTAAAATTCAATTGTTTTGAGTTTATTCACAAGGTTAGCCAAGTCTCTTTATTTTATTGTAGTATTTTTAATTTTTTTGAGATGGAGTCTCGCTCTTGTTGCCCAGGCTGGAGTGCAGTGGTGCAATCTCGGCTCACTGAAACCTCTGCCTTCCAGGTTCAAGTGATTCTCCTACCTTAGCCTCCTGAGTAGCTGGGATTACAGGCGTACACCACCATGCCCAGCTAATTTTTGTATTTTTAGTAGAGACAGGGTTTCACCATGTTGGCCAGACTGTTCTCAAACTCCTGACCTCAGGTGATCCACCTGTCTTGGCCTCCCAAACTGTTGGGATTACAGGCATGAGCTGTCACACCCAGCCCTATTCTTTTTAAAGAGCCCTAGATTAGGAGTGAATTGCACTGATTCCACATTGTTTTCCCCACTCTTTGAAGCAGGATCTAATATATGATGTGTGACTGAATTATACTACTTCATGAAAATATATTGCCCATATCAAACTAATGCTATTAATGAACTGGCCATAACATTTTAGAGGTGGGAGAGATCCCAAAGATCATTTGGTCTTACTCCTTCATTTTATGGTTTAGTAAATTGAAACCTAAAGAGATTGACTGCTTTGTTCAAAGCTGCAAGGAAAGTGGTTAGAGCTGTGGTTAAACCCAGGTCTTGTTTTAATTTCATGTGTCCCTAGCTCTATAAATCTATGTCATTCTGTTTAGTGTTCACCTTTAGACAGCAGAACCAAAAACCTCACTAATATAGAAAATTAGGTATTTGCAGGTACCAGCAGCAGGGTTCAAAAGAGTAAATTTTTTAGTCTCCTTCCCTTTAGTAAAGTGGATATTTTCAGAAATACAGAATTTTGGGTGTCAAGCTATTTGGATAATCGTTTCTCTAGTTTTCCTCACTCTAGAACCCAACTATGTGATATTGAGGCCTTTATATTACCATTCATTGATGACATAATACTGTCCCTTCTGCGTGCAATTTTGGAAATTTATTCATCTATGCTGCATAATGGTAGCAATTTAATGAACTTGTAACATATTATTTAGCTCATTAAAGTCTTTGCATTTAAACAATGTTGATGCTTTTAAGGTTGTGAAGAAATCTTAGTTTAATGCAGAATTAGTTCTAATACATTCTAGAATTTTATCAGAAAACTTTCATGGCCAGGCAAACTAAAAACACAGTAACAGTAACTCAGGCAATCACACAGACTCATGCATAATTAAATCCTCCTTTTACATTTTTTGGGAGTCTTCTTTGAGAGGATATTTTAAATATTGATGTTGTGCAACTATAATTAATAATAAATATTTGGAGTGCTATTGATGACAGTGGTGGGCCTTCCGGAGCAGCCGCTGCCACCACGCTGGCTGCAGTGGGGAGGCGCAGGCGGTGGTGGCAGGAGCCGCTGCAGGAGCAGCAGTGGCGGTGGTGGGTGTGCCCCACGTCCCCTGTGCCCCGCGTTCCTGAGGCAGCCAACTGCACCACCCTCACCTTCACACAGCGGGGCAGGACCCACTCCCAGGTTTGGGACCTCCACTGGGGCCTCAACCTTGCTCCCGCCACGTCTTGGCAGCCCCCGAGCCCCCAGCTGAAGGCACAACCAGGACTCATGGGGCCGCCTGAGAGCGTCGGGTTTGTTTGTGCAGAGTTTGCAGGGGCTGCTGCGCCGCCTGCACCTTGCCTACCGCTGCTGCAGGCAAAATGCGGAGAGGAGGCTAGCAGACCCTGGAGCCCACCCCTGGGAGACCCCTCGGAGCCTGCCGTCCTGGGAGCCCCCATGGTGGGGCCAGGCCGATTCACCCACTGGCAGGGGAGCAGTACGGTGGGGCATGGAGGGACAGGCAGAGAGGAGCCTGGAGGAGGAGCTGGGCCCGTGGCAATGCTGTGTTCCATGGAGTCGGCAGGAGCCCCGCCTTCCCAGGGACAGCTGTAGCCGCCCAAGTCGTGGCTGTGGACCCAGGCCTCCCTGTGCTCTTGGGGGCCGGGAGCAGGCAGGAGCCCTGCCCTCCCAGGTGCAGCTACAGCCGCCTAGCCGCGGCTGCGGATCCAGGCATCTCCGCACTCTTGGGGGCCAGGAAGGCCCCCCTTTACCCCCGCAGCCTTGGAGGTGTCTGCTCCTGCTGCCTGGCTTCTCCCAGCTCCTGCTGCTCACTCTGATCTCGGAGCAAGGTTGGGGCCAAGCCCAGGTGCTGTTGCAGCCCAGCTGGGTGTGCGCACACTCAGGGCAGCGCTGACACACCAGTCCCCTGCCGCCTCAGCCTCCTCTGGGCTTTGGGCACCGATAAGCCCGTGAGGGAGGCCGCGGCAGGGGCTGAGGGCAGCTTTGCACTGGCCTGCTGGTGCCCCTGGGCCGGAACCGCCTGGGCACCATAAAGGCGGCAGGATCAGACAGGCTCCTGGGAAACAGGCAGGTCCCTGGTGAAGCCCCACCTTCCATCCGGGGAAGGTCTGAAGTCTGGCGGCCGGGCTGCTGGTCCCGTGATCAGAGTGGGAACTTGTGGTGCTTTTTTCGGGCCGTCCATGGCTGCTAATGGACTGACTGGCACACACTTCCTCCCCTCTGAGGCCCATAAAAAGCCACGGACTCAGCCAGACCTGAAGAGACGATGGGACGACCTACCTAAAGAGAAGACCTACCCTTCTCTGCTGAGAGCTGAACACTCATTGGGAAAACCCTGGCTACCTAGAGGAGCTACCTACTGCGGGTCTCCTCTGAGCTGTTCTGTTGTTCAGTAAAGCTCCTCTTTGTCTTGTTCATCCTCCACTTGTCCGTGTACCTCATTCTTCCTGGACACCCAGGACAAGAAATCGGGACCCGTCAAATGGTGGGGCTAAAAGAGCTGTAACACAAACAGGGCTGAAACACGCCTTTTGCTTGCCACGTTGCGGGCAACAAGAAGGAGAGAAGAGAGAAGAAAAGAAGAGCTGCAGCCCGTCAGGGATCCCAGACCTAGGAGCTCCCCGAGCCAGGTCTGTGACACCCTCTTTAGGGCTCTGCAGTTTCTGGCGTCTCCAAGCTTCTGGGTATCACCATGTTCCCTGATGTCAGCTGTGGAAGTTGCTTATGGTACGCCTGGTCTAGCAGCAGCCTTGCGGGGAGCCAGCTCTGGAGCCAGCACCTGGAGCTGCCCACCCTGCTGCAGCTGGAGTGCCTGGCTGCGCACAGTGGCCGGACCCCAAGCTCGCCCACACCTCTTGCTGCTCCACGCCTGACTTGCCCTTGGCAGGTGTGGGATCCAGGCCAGTAGTGCGAGCCAAGGGTAACCTTCCAGGCAGAGTGGGCGGAATGAGCCCAGAGGGCCAGAGCAAAACCCAGCAAAGGTACCACTGGCCACAGAGGTTTCTGGATGGCCAAGTGACACTCCAAGGATCCCATAACGCTATGTGGTATGTATTATAATCACTTTACATACATTCTCCAGTTCATCGAATTCTCACAACATATTTATGAAATGTGTTTTATTATCCATGCCTATTTTAAAGATAAGTAAACTGAGATGTTAAGAGATAAATAACTTGCCCAGGGTCACATATCCAGATGGTAGAATTGGACTTGAATGGAGATGTCTGACTCCAGAGCCCAAATCCTTAACCATCACCCTACACTTTCTCCCTATTCTCATTGGAGAAAATGATAAACCAAAATCTTACTTGATTCATTTTAATGAAACTATAATTTAATAATGAAAGTATAATTTATAATAATGAAACTATAATGAAAGCACTCTGCAAGGATAATGAGTAAACACCTTCAGATGGAAATAGGCCCAAGAGAAGATTCTGTAGCAGATGCTGCTCACCTGATTATGACCTTAGTATTTTGGCTGAAATAGTCAGTGAAGACACACCCTGTCCAGAATCCTGGCTCTAACAATATTTGGAACAGTTGAAAAATATTAATTTTAAAAACTGGAAAAAAGAGATCTATGGAGCATGTAGAACATATAAAAAATAGAATAGTAGAGCAAACTTACATGTGCTCATTATCCAGCTTTAGTAATTATCAGCTCAGGGCCTATTTGGCTTTATGTAGAATCCCATCCACTTCTCCCTACCCTCTCCAGATTATTTCTAAACAAATTAAGCAAATTCACACTTCAAATCTTTTCATGGTGAATAATTCAGCATGAATCTCTAAAAGATAAGAACTCTTGTTTGAAAGCATAACCACAATACCATTATAACTTCTAAAATTTAATAATACCTTAAAATCATCAAACATTGAGTATTAACAGTTTCATGATTATCTCATAGTTCTTTTTTTTTTTAACAGCTTGTTCAACCCTGGATCCAAATATGCTCCAGAAGATAAGTTGGTATGTCCTTTAAATATGTTTTAATAAGAGTTTCCCCTGCCATCCCTCATTTTTAATTCTTATAATTTATTTGATTAAAAAACAGATTGTCTTTTAGAATTCCCCAAATATCAATTTTGCTGATTGTATCCCTGGGGTATCATTTAATATACTCCAATATGATGACTACAAAAAGTTTTTCTTTTTAACTTTACAGTCAATCTTTAGGCATGCCTTCCTTTTGTTCATTTTGTCCTTAAGCATATCTTCAGAAATGTACAATTTTCCACATTTTAAAATCAATGTAGTTTCAATTTACTTTTATCTGATTTTGAGAATTTTTTTCATATGATTAAGGACCACATTAATTTCTTCTTATGTGAACTACCTGTTCATATTTTTTGATAGAGTTACTGGTTTTATTTTTTAATCAACAGAATCTCTAATATATTTCCTTTCTCTGTGATATTAATCACAAATATTTTTTCCCAGTTTTTTGTTTTTCTTTTCACTTGCTTAGGATATTCTTTGCCATGCAAAATATTCTTGATTTTTTGGTAATAGAAGGTATCAATTTTTGCCCATGTTGCTTCTGGATTTTGAGTCATGGTCAGGAATGTGTTTCTCATCTCCAGGTTGTGGGTGAATTTACTCATGTTTTCTTTTAGCACTCGATGGTTTTATTTTAACATTTATATTTCTGACCCAGTTGCAATTTATTCAGGTGTCAGGTGTAAGGAATGACTCAAATTCTACACTCTTCAGAGCAGGTTTTAAAACTCAGGACTTTATAAAGATAGTAAAGGGATCTGTTCAAGATGATTGAACCCACAGTCCCTGGTGTAATCAAAGTAGGGTGGTGCTAGCAGTAGGGTTCTGCTGTCTCCACATCCAGCTTGTTTTTACTGAAGAACTGGCACTAATACCTCATCCCTGGGGCCACGAGAAAAATGTATGCTCTGCCCTACTCAAGACTGGCCTCTTCTCCTGGATGTGAAGATTGTCCTCTTGTCCCATGGCCTGTGCAGCTCCGTGCTAGGAGTGGGTTTTCTTCATTACAGAGACTTTCTGGGGGAGTTCTTACTCTTCTCATGCGGAAATGCCGAGTTCCCATTTAGTATGGAATCTTAATTCCCATGTCAACCGATATTTGCCGAGGGTTTTGCTGACCTCCTCGTCACACTGACTAACCTGAAAAGTGGTCTGGCCTCTTTGCTTGGGCCTTTAGAAATCTCTAACCTGAGTACCTTCTCTGGGCAGGCTGTGTTCTCTCTGGTCAGTGAGGTAAGGAAATTTTTTTTTCTGCTACCTTTAGTGAACATAGTCTCTTTCTAAGGTAATAATAATAATAGCTAAAAGGTATTGGCTGCTTTGACAGGCACCAGGCTTACCCCTCATGCTTGTGGGGCCAGGGCAAGAGTACTAAAGAAGGCCCACATTCCATATGTCTACGTACTTCAAAGTTAGATATCAAATAAACTTTTAAAAATGTCCTTACCGGCCGGGTGTGGTGGCTTACGCCTGTAATCCTAGCACTTTGGGAGGCCAAGGCGGGTGGATCTCCTGAGGTCCGGAGTACGAGACCAACCTGACCAACATGGTGAAACCCCGTCTCTACTAAAAATACAAAAATTAGCTGGGCGTGGTGGCAGGCACCTGTAATCCCAGCTACACGGGAGGCTGAGGCAGAATAATCACTTGAACCTGAGAGGTGGAGGTTGCAGTGAGCCGAGATCACGCCATTGCACTCCAGCCTGGGTGATGGAGCAAGACTCTGTCTCACAGAAAAAAAAAAAAAAAAAGTCCTTACACTGAAAAAACTACAATATTCTTGAGGGGCCTTACACACAGGCTTGTGGGCACTCAGTCCATACATGTATGCTCCAGGTACATGTTCCCCTACCCCACAAATCACTTTCCTTTTAGGTCACCCTCTAACCTAGAAGAACACACTCCAGCAGAGAAGTCTGGAAGATAGCCCTGTAAATGGGCTTAGAGCCATTTGTGTAGGGAATTCCAGGGTCTCAGATATCTGGAACATGGTCTTAAAAGTGGGGTTGGATATGGGTTCTGGGTGGGCATGCCTCTTTGGCCTGGCAGAATCTTTGCTCCATAAGGAGAAGGAAAGTCTAGATGGTCCCCAGGCTGCTTTATATGTATTTTACGTATTTAATCCTTACAACAATCCTATGAAATAGGTAGTGTTATGCCTATTTTACAGATGAGGAAGCTGAAGCTCAGAGAGGTTTAGGTAACTTGTCCAAGGCCAAAAGGCCACTAAGTGGCAAAGTAAGGATGACAATTTGAGTAGTCTGGCTCCAGAGTCCTGTCTTCTGAACTGAAAGGATTGCCCCGTTGGACTATTCCAGGATGCTTTCAGTGTATTATATTAATCCCTCCCCACACCAATACTCAAGTATTATTGCTCTGAATATATAAACACTCAATAAAGTTGTTATGGACTCCTTATCCTTGGCAATCACCTGAGCCTCCTTTAGTAGAATTAAAGTATCTCTAAAATACCTTCCAGCTCTAGAATCCTGATTCTTAGGTGAAGATTACTATAGTTTCCTCTTTAGTATAAACTTCAACAGTATTCTAGAATGTATACCTGAAGGTAACACACAATTATTAATAATTATTATTAGTAATAATAATTGTTTTTAAGATAGAATCTCACTCTGTTGCCCAGGCTTGAGTGCAGTGGTGTGATCTCGGCTTACTGCATCCTCTGCCTTCTGGGATCAAGAAATTCTCATGCCTCAGCCTCCCAAGTAGCTGGAACTACAGGTGCACACCACCACACCTGGCTAATTTTTGTATTTTTAATAGAGACAGGGTTTTGCCATGTTGCCCAGGCTGGTCTTGAACTCCTGGCCTCAGGCAGTCCACCTGCTTCGGCCTCCCAAAGTGCTGAGATTACAAGTGTGAGCCACTGCATCCCGCCTAGTAATAATAATTATTAAATTATTATTTTAGAAACCTACCTAGCAGTGAGATTGTTGCACATCTTTAAAATTTTGAAACACAAATTAATACCTTCTATAGGAAGCTCTCATTGCTCTTACTAGCAAACACTGGAAAAACTTAATATCTAAGAAAAGATTTAAAACTGGGGGAAATGTAGTGCAACTTAGTATAATAGGAAATTTAATATATCTGGAAGAGATTATCATAAATTGTCAAAAAATGTAATAATGCAAATAGGGTATTTCTTGGTATGGATTTTAGAGAAGGCAAATAAATTAGTGTATAGGGCCCACTTGGGAAGAATATATAATGATGCCAGATACGGTGGTCCAGATCTAACAACTAGATGTTACCCCTATTATAAGAGATCCAAAACATTGAACTGTGTTGAAAGTATAGCATGCATTATTAGCTATATGACTGACTTTTCACATTTTTTCTTTGAGGCTAGCGTTTCAATAGGGGCTTTATTAAAAAGGTACACTATGACTGACATATTATCAGGAGGAAAAAAAGAATTGTTATCAGCGTTAATGTCTGGATTAAGAAATTTTAAGTGATGTGAAGTTTCAAATGTCTGTACGTTGCAAGTTGGTCTTCAGGCAATCTAGACTTTATGTAGAGTTCTAGCTAGTTACATTTGAAAGACCAGACTCTCTCTGGGTATCTAGGCATGCTTTTTAGAATAGGTCCTTTTCACACAGGGATTAAAGAGGCTTTTTCTCACTTGTCTGACCCGGTTCTTTTATGTTATCTTTATTGTACAGAGAATAAAGAGGAACCCCATCTTCAGTAAAATAAATCATAAAAACTTTTCGTTGATTTGATATTCTCTTAGACTGTACTGCCTTCCACAGCTCAATAGACAGAAACTCTTTATCCTTTATTTAAAAAGTTTGAAAAAAGATGGGAGGGGGATGGGAAACTTTAGAAATTTTTTTTCCTCCCCAAATGACTGATAATTGCCCATTCCCTTTAGCCCTAGCATTTTATATCTTCTAATGTGACTTGTATAGTTTATCTAAGATGTTAATTATTCCTGTAAACATGCTAAACATAGAATAAGTTCTGGATGATAGACAAAAATGCTGAATTTTAATTGAAAAATCAATCACTTCCTTTATGAATAAGAAATCATTTCTGCTCTAAAAATAACTGCCATTTAAGAAACTGAACAGACAAATGATTGGTACATATAATATGCAGGAAATCCACGTCACAACGAAGTAAAACGAGTCCAACTTTGTTTTCATTTTTAATAGCTTTGTTGAGATATAATTTAGATAGCATACATTTCACCTACTTAAAATGGTGCTCTTTAGTATATTCAGAATTGTGCAACCATCATTACCATCTAATTTTAGAACATTTTTATCATGCCTGCCCTCCAAAACCCCATAACCATTAGCAGTCATTCCCATTTCCCCGCCTACCCACCTCCAGCTATAGGCAACCACGAATCTACTTTCTGTCTGTTTATATTTGTCTATTCTGGACACTCCGTCTGAAAATGGAATCACACAATATGCGTCTTTTGTGACTGGCTTCTTTCACCCAGAATTTTTTTTTTTTTTTTTTTTTTTTTTTTGAGATGGAGTCTTGCTCTGTCGCCCAGGCTGGAATGCAGTGGCACGATCTCGGCTTACTGCAACCCCCGCCTCCTGGGTTCAAGTGATTCTCCTACCTCAACCTCCCAAGTAGCTGGGACTACAGGCGCCCACCACCATGTCTGGCTAATTTTTGTATATTTAATAGAGATGGGGTTTCACCATGTTGACCACACACCACATAAAATTTTTTATTTTAAAAATAAAATAATATTTTTAAGGTCTATGTTGTAGCTTGTATTAGTTCACTTCTTTTCATTGGAAAATAATTTTCCATTATGTAAACACATTTTATGTATTCATTCACAAATTGATGGATATTTGGATTATTTCCACTTTTTGGCTATTATAAGTAATGCTGCTATGAACATTCATTAACAAGTTTTTGTGTGGATGTATGTTATTCTCTGTCTTGGGTATGTACCTAGAAGTGGAACTGTTGGGTCATATGGTAACTCTATATTTAACTTTTTGAGGAACTGCCAGATTGCTTTCCAAAGCAGCTCCATCTTACTGAGATATAATTTATCCTCATAAGCAGTGTATGAGGGTTCAAATTTCTCTACTTCCTCTCCAACACTTGTTACTGTCTTTTTGATTATACTTATTCTAGTGGGTGTGAAGTGGTATCTTGTGGTTTTGATTTGCATTTCTGTGTTGGGTAATTATGTTTAGCATCTTCTCGTGCTATTTTTATTTTTAAGTCTTTTACTTAAAAATGTGGACTCTAACCCCATTTGTTGATAACTGGTTATATACTACTGTCAATTTTTATTAGTTTAATGGTATCTAAAGTGTGATACCAATGAGGTCAAGGCTACAAGTTCTAGTTCCAAATAATTGGTTGGTTTCATACAGAAGAAATTGTGGTTAAACAGCTACACTCATATGTCCTAACTGTGTCCATCAATCTGACAGGCTTTTAATTTATTTTTATTTTTTTGAGGCAGAGTCTCACTCTGTCGCCCAGGCTGGACTACTGCAGTGAACTGTGATTGCATCACTGCACTGCAGCCTCAGTGACAGAGTGAGACCCTGTCTCAAAAAACAAACAAAAAATAAATAAAAAGCCTTGTAATTTTAAACGTACAAACTTTCCCCTGCACCCAGGAATATACTGTACAATCCTAGCCTCCCTTGCAGCTAGACACACTTGGTTACTAAATTCTGGCCAATGGGATAAAAGCAAAAATGTTGTATGAGACTTACAGAAAATATTCTTAAAGGGAGAGGATATGCCCATCTTGATTTCTCCTTTCTGTTAGCAGGAATGCAAATATAACCACTAAAGTTTGTTCTATCGTCTTAGATCATGAGGTGAAAGACGTGTGCTGGATGTAGCAAGACAGGAGGGAGGATTCTGAGGATCGGACAATTTCTTGAAGCTGCTGTACAAGACCTCAACTGCCTATCTCCACACTTTTTATGTGAGAGAGAAACTTCTACCTTCTTTAATGGTTTGAGATCTTTAGTCATTTGCCATTAACCTTCATCATAACTGTCACAGTGCTATAGAATTTCTTTAATATTTCAGAATATCTGCCTGTTGCCTTTATACGTAATTTAGCTAGTTATAATTCTGATGTTACACTTTGTTCCTCTCAGAACTTACAGACACTGCTCCATTTTTTCTGGCAGCATTGCAAGTTGCAGTGTAGAAAACTGAGACCAGCCTGATTTCCACACACATCCTCGATTTTTGTTTCTACCTAGATCCCTGAAATAAATTTTCCCAATTTTTTATTTCAAAAATTAAAACAAGTAGAAAAACATCTAGATTCAGCAATTGCTGATATTTTCCATATTTGCTTTGTCTCATGTATGTGTATGTCTGCATGTGTATGTATATATTTCTCTATTTCCATCCACATTTCTTCCTGAATTAGCTAGAAATAAGCTGCAAACAATATTTTACTACTAAATACTTCAGGATGTGTTTCATAAGATTTTCCTAAAAATAAAAACAGCAATTCCTTAATATCCTCTAGTATGCATTCTGCATTCAAACTTCCCTAACCACTGTTTTTCCCCACATTCTATTTAAAATGTGGGGGAAAAACAAAACAAAACCAGCAGGATCCGATCAGGATTCACACAGTGTTTTTCGTTGTTACATCTCTTTAGTCTCTTTTACTAAAGCAAGAATAATCCCTTGCTTTTTAGTTTTTTAGTTGTTGTTATTACATTTACCTTTTGATGAGGCTAGGTCATTTGTGTTATATACTGTCCTACCTTCTGGCTTTACCTGATTGTTTTCTTGTGATTTCAATTAACTCATTCATCTATGCCATTTTTTCTATAAACTGAAAGTTAGGTCTCAAGGCTTAATTAGACTTGGGTTAGATATTATTTGGTAAAAATGTTTTATGCAGCATTTTATACTCATCACATCAGGAGGCAGGAGGAGCAAGTTGTTCTGCCACTAACGACACTAAGTTTGAAAAGCTGAGATAGTGTCCTCCAGATCTCTTCATTTAAAGGTAAATAATCTGTGGGATGATTTTTTTTTTAGCTTATAGGAACACCCTTTCATCGGATTATTTCAGTATACAGTCGATCCTTGAACAACACAAGTTTGAACTGTGTGGGTCCACTTTATATGAGGAGTTTCATTCTGCCTCTGCCACTCCTGAGTTAGCAACATCAACTCCTCTTCCACCTCCTCCTCAGCCTACTCAACGTGAAGACGTTGAGGATGAAGACCTTTATAATGATCCACTTCCACTTAATGAATAGTAAATATATCTTTTCCTCCTTATGATTTTCTTTTCTTTTTCTGAGACGAGGCAAGGAGGAGCAAGTCACATCTTACATGGATGGTGGCAGGCAAAGAGAGCTTGTGCAGGGAACTTCTGTTTTTAAAACCATCAGATCTCGTGAGACTCATTCACTATCACGAGAACAGTGCAGGAAAGACCTACCCCCATCATTCAACCACCTCCCACCAGGTTTCTCCCACAACACATCAGAATTGTGGGAGTTACAATTCAAGATGAGATTTGGGTGGGGTCACAGCCAAACCATGTCACTGATATCTTAAATTCATGTTGTAACTAAGTTCTTCTCTAGCAGAGAATGTAAACTGTCTTCCAGATGGGGTTCTTCATCTATCTTTTGCATGTTATATACCTTTCTTTCAGGATTTTAGTTTGTGTTTGCTACGCCCTTTCTTTTCATCTTGCTCAGTTTGGATAGGGGCAGCTATTTCTAGATCATGTATCTATTCTGATATATTTTATATAAGTTATTGTTTACATCCTTCCCACTTTATCTAGGAATGAACTGATCTTCTCAGAGCTAAAATATGGTGGCTGACTACTGTTTCCCCCCCTCCCCACTTTTCTGTAGCCTAATATTGGAAAAGAGTAGAGCAGGAAAATGGGTGAAATCTACTGGGACTAAGTACAGCCTCCACTAAGAGACAAGGTTTTGCTCTTGCTTAAGGTACTATGAAATGACCAGTTCCAGGACGTATCCCATGCAGCCAAAGATATATCTCACACCTATGAATGTTGGATTATTCCTTTGACTCTGCATAGTACAACCATCATTCAACCATCTCCCTGATGATGGCAGGTCCTGGTGAAACTATTTTTGCTGAAGACCTAAAGTAATATGTAGGATCTTCTCTAACGTATGCCCCTTCTTCACCTCAGCCTCTAAAAATGTATACTTACATTTTACTTTTCCAAATTGGAGCATTTTTTGTGAGAATTTTCATGAGTTTTTCAACTTATCTTCTGTCCTTACTACTGTTTGTTGAATCTTTTTCCCTCTTATTATTTAGGAAACTTCAGGAAGTAAATTCTGAGACTTTGCTTTACTCAAGTATTACTTTCTCATCGTTTAATAATAAATGGATCTATGTCTTGGGTTGGGAGGTATGGGAGTAGTGGTTAATAACACTGGTTCTGTAGTTGGACAGACCTAAATTTGATTCTGGTTCTGCCACTTATTGAATAATCTTGGTTAAATTACTTATTTTCTGGGTCTCAGTTTCCTCACATTAAAATGAAGTTATCTACTCATAGGGTTGTTGTAAGGATTTAGAGAGATAAGGGATGTAAAGTGCCATTTATTTTTTTCCCACAGTTTAAGAATCCTCTATTTTTAGTTAGGTACATGGTTGCCCAGAATAAAAACTAGTTCCTAAATCTCCTTGCAGCTAGGTATGCCTACATAACTAAGTTCAGACCAATAGCATATAAACAGAAAAGACTTGGGGTAGCTTTTTCTTTTTTATTTTGAGATCTCACTCTGTTGCCCAGGCTATAGTCTAATGGCGTGGTAACAGCTCACTGCAGCCTCAATCTCCTGGGCTTAAGCAATTCCTTCCACCTCAGCCTCCTGAGTAGCTGGGACTACAGGCCTGTGCCACTACACCCAGCTATTTTTGTAGTTTTTGTAGAGAAGGAGTGTCACCAAAGCCCAGCCTGGTCTAGTACTCCTGGGCTCAAGCAGTCCTCCCGCCTTGGCCTCCCAAAGTGTTGGGATTACAGGTGTGAGGCACTGTGCCTGGCCTAGGGTAGCTTTTGAGCATCTTCCTTTTAAAGGCAGCCAGGATGTGCCCCATGACCCTTCTCTTCTTTGAAATGTACTTGAAATGTACGTTTGATGGCTAGTACTACATCTTGGACCATGAGGTCTAGGGACAGCAGAGCAGAATGCTGGCATGCTGCCAGTAGCCTGAGTACTCAAGGATTCCTTTAAGCAGAGCCATCATTCTAGGCCTGTACTACCTCCAGGTTTTTGTGAGAAATAAAATTCTATCAAGTTTAAATCATGGCTATTTTGGGTTTCATTTACAGGTGAACTTACTCTACCATCTAAACAATTTCTTTCATCATTCTTAGCATTTAAGAGCAGCGTCTGGAGTCAGACTGCCTGAGTTCAAATCCAGGCTTTGTCACTATTTTGTGCATTCCTGGGCAAGTTACTTAAACTTTCCTTACCTTCATTTCTTCATCTGTAAAATGAGGAAATAACAGTAACTACTTCATAGGATTATTACTGGGGTGAAGATCAAATTATCTGATACACGTAAAGCACCATTTATAGTGCCTGGAACATAGTAACTGCTATTCATTACAACAACATAATGTTATTATATTATGAGTTTTACTCATGCTTTTTAATACTGCTTATTTCCAAAGGACACTACCAGTCTTATTTGACACTTTCAAGTAGAGGTTACTATCTACTGCCATATAGTAATAATTAACATTTATCTAATGCTTTACAAATTAACTTTTCACGTATGTATTACTTTGTTTCATTCTTACAATTATCCTGTGGGGTGAGTACTGCTATACTTTATTAAATGAGGAGAGTAAAGATCAGAGGATTTAGTGATTTGCCTAAGGTTACAATTGTAAGTGGCTGACTCAGACTTACTCCTCCAACTCATTTAACAGTCTGGTACAGCATGGGGGTCATTAGTTATACTAAAGATAATTTAGGAAATGAATATGTTCCATCCATTTCTATTTAAGAGACTTCTTTTCAATACATTTGTACATTTTCTCTGGAAAGTGTCTCTTCCTTTCTAGACCACTGCCACTATCTCTAACGCAGCCTCAAGCACTACCCCAGACTTCTAATACCTCATGCTTTGATTACTGCTTTCATTGCTATTCCCTTATTTTTATTCAAAAAATCAATGACTCCATTATTTTAAGGATACAGCGCAAACCCCTATGCTGAGCTCCATCTACAATCTAACCTTTCATGTGTCCTCTTGATCTTATATGAATTCTCCCTTGCACCAAACTGGGTATTCTCTTTAGTGTTCTCTAAATCCACTTTTCTGCATCTACACTTTTGTTTATTCCCTAAACGCATGTAGAACGCTCTTTCAATTTATCTTTACTTATCTCAATTCTATCTATATTTCCTAGTTCCTCCATGAAACTTTTCCTGATGTATTTTATCTGGAAAAACTCTTCCTCTTCTGAATTCTTATATAGAACTTACTGGCCAGGCACAGTGGCTCATGCCTGTAATCCCAGCAATTTGGGAAGCCGAGGCGGGCAGAACACCTGAGGTCGGGAGTTGGAGACCAGCCTGGCCAACAGGGCGAAACCCTGTCTCTACTAAAAATACAAAAATTAGCTGGGCGTGGTGGTGCGTATCTGTAATCCCAGCTACACAGGAGGCTGAGGCAGGATAATCGTTTGAACCCAGGAGGCGGAGGTTGCAGTGAGCCAAGATCACGATATTCTAGCCTGGGCAACGGCCTGTTTTGTCTCAAAACAAAACAAAACAAAAAGAACAACAAAAACTTACTGTCTTTATATAATTCATTTGGCACTGTTTTATGGCACGACATCATTGATCAACTATATTTTTGCTTCTATCTCAAACCTTTCTCAGGCCGTGTTTTTGTTTTTGGCAGTGTTCTTGTTGCCTAGCACAGTGCCATCTCACTTATTTGTTGATTCTGTTTCCTTAAAAACAAAGATGAGACCAATTCAAATCCTCATTACTGCGGGCAGCAACAAATCATCCAAACTCTGGCACTTCCAGTTCTTTCGAGCTTTCCTACCAGGTCGGAGGGTTGTCTTAAAACTTGAGGGAGATGAACTGAGTAAGCGATTACACTGAAAGCATGGGAGGGAAAGGACGTTCCAAACGTCCAATCCATCATCCTTTTGCAGCCTCTTAGTCACTGGGATTTTGAAATCTCTTTCCAAAGACTAGCTATGGCCCTAAATTGGAAATAGGCTACTTGAGAACACAGTGGATTCATAGTTCATCTCGGGCAGTTTTAGGAGAAATGCCACCAGCTTCTGCGTTTGAAGGCCAAGGTTAGCTGTTCATGGCGTGAGCACCTTCCTGCTTCCAACCTCCGGTTATCTGTAAATACCCAAGTCCTCTAATTTAGGACGCAGGTCATGGGAAGACGCTGGTTCTTAGGGCAGAAGTGAGCTCACATTCCCAGCATTTTTCTTAAACTTGGCAGAACTGCACTTTAACAAATTAAAATCCATGTGAATGAAAAGGAAAACTTAAGTAGGAAACAAACTTAAGCTTGAGTCAGTTACAGCATGGTGAGGATGTCGGTTACAGCAACACTCAGAGACCGATGAAGGAGAAATTCCAGTGGTGGGCTGGGAGACCGTCTCCATTCCAACTCCACCGCTTTTCTCTACAGAGACCCACGCACGCCAGCTCCCGCCTCAGTCACAAGGGAACGCCCGCGTGGGCAGGCAATCGTCCTTGGTGAGCCGGGATCTCCTCACCCCGAGAGCCGCAGGCTCCGCTGACGCCGGTACAGGTCTCGCTGCGACTCCCTCTGGGCGCGCGGAATCCTGGGACTTGTGGTCCCTTCCGCGCGCTGTCCGCCCTAACCGGCGCAGAGAGGACTACACTTCCCAGGATGCGTCGGGGGAAGAGGCCACAGGGACAGGCAGAGGGAGGGGGCGGCCCCAGTCCTCCGGGGCGTCGCTGTTTCCAAGCGGCGAGATCTCGCCTAGTAACCGGCAGCTGAGGTTCACTAGCGCGGCGTTGTGGCCCCGCCCCCGGAGCCCCGGCTGGAGGAAGAACCTGTCTCCCGCGGCGCCCCAGTGACGAAGTCCATCCCCGGGTGCGGGAGGCGGGGAGGGGAGGGCAGGCAGAGGATTTCGCTCGCTCGCCCGCGCGGGATCCGGGACGCGCCGGTGGCGTCCGCTGGCAGCAGAGGTTAGAGGCAGAGAGCGCGCGGATGCTCCGCGGGCGAGGCTGGTTCGAGAGTGGGAGGAGTGCAGGGCGCCGCCAGGGCGGCAGTGCGCGCGGGCCGAACAGTCCTGAGGGCGGGCATCCCTCGCGCAGCGCGCCGACCCCCGGGACGTGTGCGTCTGTGGGGGGTTGCTGTCCCCCGGGTCCCTCGGGCGACCCCTCTCCACGCTGGGCTCAGGGCAGGACCCGGGATTCCGTGGGACCCGGTGTTTAGCGCAGAGGTTTCTGGGGAGAAGTACACGATTTTTGCCACTTGTTATTTGATTTCTCCTCGACCAGGAGCGTTTGTAGGTAGCGCACTCCCTCCGACTGCACTAGTGCCTCGTTTCTTCCGAGTAAGACAATCTTTCATGATGCGGATTGGAGTTGCTGATCAATGAGAGCTGCTAAGTTCTTTATGGCTTTCTCGGTGAAGAGAAGGTTCACGGAGGATATGATTATTAAACACACACATGAAAACTAATTGGAGCATCTAAAAAATGACCATTGCATATTCGCCCTCGCTTATTAGGGAAACAGCAAGCGTTCCTTCAAATCGCATCAGCAACTGCCAGGCAGCAGCATTTACGCATATTTCATATCATTAAGGAGATGGAACTGGAGAGAGAAAGCGGGAGTAGGGGACAATTTTTAAAAATACCCAACTTGGTTTAGTTTGGGGATAATTTTCTTGGATTGGGTGACTTATGCGAAAAATCTGTTTCTTTCTTCCTCGCTCTCGCTTCCTGGATATAGACTGTCAATTTCGGATCCAAAGACGGCGATGGCAGAGCTCACCCGGGTTGCCTGTCAAATCAAGGCTATCGCAGAATAAATCCCGCCGCCTGCCGCGAAGCCCCGGCGCACCGCAAACTTCAGTGAGCGAACTGGGTGATCGCTGTTGGGATATGCAGATTCCTGATGTAAAAGGCGGGGTGGCCCCCCCGAGAGCCTCTCCCGGGGGCCGGAGCCCGCAGGTGCAGTGAGGCGCGCGCGCCGGTGCCGGCGCCCCCAGAGCCGCCTTGCCCGGGTAGAGGGAGCCCGGCGCCCGGCGGGGTCTGGCGGCCGCACACCGGCGGCGGCGGCTTGTCTGCGGCGGCTGCAGCGGATGATGGTGGCGGCCGGCCCGCTGGGCTGTGCCTGTGTGTCGCCGCGGAAATCAGCGCCCTGCGCCGCGCGCTGAGCCCCTGCAGGTCCGCCGCAGCCCCAGCCTCGGCGAGGACGGCCCCGGCGCGCGGGGGGGCGGGGGGCGCGCGGGGTCGGCTTATCATGGCGGATCGGACGGCGCCCCGCTGCCAGCTCCGGCTGGAGTGGGTGTACGGGTACCGGGGTCACCAGTGCCGCAACAACCTGTACTACACGGCAGGCAAGGAGGTGGTCTACTTTGTGGCTGGGGTCGGGGTGGTTTACAACACCCGCGAGCACAGCCAAAAATTCTTCCTGGGACACAACGACGACATTATCAGGTAAGGGGGTGGCCAGGGGCGGCGGGGAGGGGTTGCGTGTGGAGGCTGGGAAGGTGGGAAGCGGTTGACCTGGGGTCGGATCCGGGAGCCCCGTGGAATAGAGGATTCTCTCTGGAGCCGCATGGAATTACTGAAGGGCTGCTGATTCTAGGGCCAGGGCAGAAACAGTGTGGGGAGTGTAGGTGAGGAGGGAGAGATGTCTTTTCGCTGTATCCCTCCGGAATTCTGGCTTTTAAATCTCCAAGGAGTTGAGTGTTCTGATGCTTTCTTGCTGTTCTTTCCTGCTACAAGTGGAAGGAGCCTGGGTAACTATGAAACACTTCTTCCTTCCCTAACCAGGTGCACGGTAGGACCAATAACCTGAAGTGTGGGCATCATCTTTGGGAGGCTCCTCAGTGGGTTTCTCAGTAAGCAAGAGGATTAAAAAAGATCTAAAAGAAATTTTACTACTGGTAATTTGGAATCTTCATCTCAGATGCTTTGGACCTGGGAAATTTCTGCAGTGGGTGGGGAGTTTGTTCTCTAATATTTCACTTGGCAGTGTTTTAATGCCCAAAGCATATTTATACACTAAATGGATGCTTCCACAGCATCATTGAGGTTATTAAAGGCTGGCAGCTGCTGGATCACAAAATCCTACCAGCCAGCCCACACAATGACCAACATCTGCTAGCGGATGGCCCAAGACTGACTGACAGGAGAGCTCATTTGGATGAATGGCCGTTTTAGGGGCCCTCCCGATTAAATGGAAAGGGGTTATATTGTGATTCTTGGCCCTATCCTCTCATCTTTGGACCAGACACATTTTCCTCCAGCCCTTGTCAGCTTTTATGTGAGCAAACAAGGTATGGGCCAGATGCTGTTCACAGGGAATCCTTTTCAGCCTTCAGCAGTTAAGGAAGATTTTCGTCATATGGGAGCCTCAGCCCACAGGGAAAATGACTTGCTGAGGATGGACTACAACTGACAGAGACCATATTTATACCTTCCAAACTTGTGTGTTTCATTGATGTAGAACAACTACCATTACATTCTCAGAATATTGCCACTTTTGCTCTAAGTTTGTCTTTCACAATGAAATAAATGAAGTGATGTCATGTCCATGCTCCTAATTTCTCAGTGCAGAGAATGATTTCAAAGATCAGCTTTTTTTTCCCTTCCTAATGATGTGCTTATATTCCAGAGCCTTTTTTTTTTCTGAGACCTAAAGTTGAAAAATTGTTACAGAAGGCAAGCACTTAATATTCAAACTACAGATTTTAAAAAATCTTGACTTTTTTTGAAGATGGGAGTGCTAATGTTCTCAAGATTTAGTGGAACTAGCATGTAAAACTTTTTTCATGTCACGTATGACACAAATAGCTTTTTTTCTTCCCTCCCTAACATGGTAGTTGTTGTGCTTGGGGCATCCTTACATAGTTTTGTTCTGCAGATTTTGCTTCTCTAATTGCTAGGCTGATTATGAAAGTTACAGGTGCAAATGATTAACAATGACTCATGAAAAGGTTAGATGTTTAAAAATTTAAACCCATTATGTTTTTGCTCTCTCTGTCTTAATGCAGTGCTTTCCATTACAGCATCAAAATAAGATGTAGTCCTTTGGGTGAAGGGAGAGAGTGGCAATTAAACAGAAAATTCTCTGTGGTTAAATAATATTAATGTGACAGTTCACTGAACTACTTTGTGGATTTGAACTCCTAATCCTAATTTTTTCTCTGATACAAGGAAAAAAACCAAATGCACTGTTGAAGCTGAAGGTGGGAAAAGGGTGGAGTTGCAGTAAACCGTTGTTATGACAAGCAGCCGGGCTAGTGGGATGTGATGAAATCTAGCTTGGGTGGTTAAGGAAACATTCAGATTTGAAGAAAAGGTGAATGAAGTGATGTGTATAACTGGGTTTGCAGGGAGCCTTAACTGATGAAGGGAAAAAGAGACAGTTAGCATCTGATCTATTCATTAAGCTACTTTAGTGACATAGTAGTAAGCCTGATTTCAGAGGAAGGACTGTATTCATAATTCTCCACAATATTTGGTTGGGTCAGAGTATGTATAGGTGAGCAGAGCAGAGCAGAGTTCCTTAACATCCAAATATGTCTTTGTACACAAGAATAAAATTAAGTTCAATGAATTAAGAAACACAAACCACAGATTATTATGGAATTAAGAGCTATGAAATTGGAATGTTTATGCTGTTCTTTTGCTTTGTCTTACATATGTAAATATCTTTTTCTGGTGAAGACACTGCACAAACCACAATGCACAATTTTTTGTCCTTATGAATTTTAATTCGTTTCTGTGTATCCCGGTTACTACTATTCTTCCACCTGAAATATTGAAGTTTGTTATTAAATGGAGAGGACTATAGCTAAGGTTCTAATGCAAAAGTGTTTTGGTTTTTTATTGAATCATTACATGAATATCAAAACTTGTTCGTTTCTAATTCTTGTTTCCATCAGGTGAGATAGCATAAGTAATTGTCCACTTGGTACATAGCTTTTGCATTAGTTTGAAAGATATATTCATATGCATACATCTATACTGCTTTATTTTTTGTGCTGTTTTGCCAAGAATATTAACTAGAAAGCAGCCCAACAAGTATTGATAACACACTCCATTTTATAAAACCATGTGATCTCCAAGATCATAATGAACCCTAATAATAATGTAGGTTTTGGCAGAGCTCATTAGGGCTCAGCATATGTGTCCTTCTGCTTTGACAGGCTATATGTCTAAGTCAGATTTTTAAAGATGTTGCTATGTGAGGCATAATATAATTTACTGAATGTGGAGGCTTAGTTTTATTCTCTTGAATATTACTTTTTAATTCAGATAACAGATTAGAAGATGATGCCATATTTTAGACCTGATAACATTGTGATAGAACAAGTGAATACTTAAAGTAATATTTGCTATTGGGCTAACAACAAGATGCAAATCAGGGCTTGATACCAAGGACAGTAATAGAGACTGGGATAATTACTAACTTGGTTTCTACTTTAGGTAGTAGAACATGACACAGAGAATGGGAGTAAATGAAAGAAAAGCCTGTGAACACATTCATCCTCTGTTACTTCCCTTCCATTTTCACAGTGATTCCAGTTGAGACATTTATCTCCTCACTCTGGACCACTATATGTATTGCTTCTGGCTAGTTCCCTGTCTCCAGGTTCTTCTGCCTCGTTTTCCGGCTCCCATTTGCAAAGGAGGTTTATGTACAATGCTGCTTTAGGGGAAAGGGCACTGACTTCGTTATCATGCACACTTGGGTATAAATCCCACTCTGCCATTTACCGGGGGTATCTGGGTGAGTGGCATCACTTTTCAGGGCCTTGTTTATTTGTGAAATGGGAATGACAATACCTAAACTGCAGAGTTGTAACTATTAGAAAAAAATGTATGCAAAGGGTTTAGTGTGGGGCCTGGCCCTTAGTTGGTGCTCAATAAATATTCTTAGTTGTGGTAGAAGTAGTATTTCACTAAACACACACACACCCCCAGAACAAAACAATGATTCATCATTGCTCACAGGCAGAAGTCCAGATTCCTAAGCTTTCTGTTCTCTCTCCTAACCTACCATCCTATCCTTATTTTCCTTTTTTAAAAAATCATAAATTCTTTGCTTCCCACTTGCCATATGATGACTCTGTTCTTCCCTGCCTCACAGTGGAATGATTCATCTTCCCCGCTGGCCCTTCTCTGTCTGTCCAGCCGCACCCCTCCAATGGCATAGCAGTGGGAGCTTGGACTTTGCTGTCAGTCATACTTGAGTTTGAACCTAGGACTGCCACCAGCTGGCGACTTTAATAAACCTCTTCGAATCTTAACTATCTCATCAGTGAAACAACTTTTCACTTATAAAATGGAGTTTTAAAGTATCTCCTTTGTAGTTTGTTGTGGGGATTACATACAAAAATGTTTGGCCAGTGGTAAGTGTGCAGCACCAGGGTCCTGTTTGCATCTGCATCCTGCAAAGCCCTATCTGCTGCAGTCTCACCTCTCCCATGAGACCTTGTACCATCCTCAGATGAAGGGGCACCTTGCACTTCCAAAACTTTGTGTGTTTTGTGACCGATGCTGCTCACTTAATATGTATCATTTAGGGCTATCGTTTCATTCTGTTTTCATTTGTAAGCGTATATAAGACTCTTGAGGCTGAGAGTGAATTTTATAACCAGAGCTAACATTTCCTGAGTGCCAAACTCAGAACTAAATGTGTATATCGATTGATCTGATCCACCCTCTCACAGTCCAGTGAGATAGGCACTGTTGCTAACCCCAGGCTACAGGGGAGGCAGCTGAGGCACAGAGAGGTTGAGGATCTTGCCTGTTGTCACTGTCTGGCAGACTGTGGAATGGGAATTGGAACCCAGATTGGTCTGATTCCAAAGCTGCAAGCTTTGGCTTCACTGCTTTATGGCCTCTTATATTGTGGTCCCTACAACTGTGCCTTCTTCCTAACCAGAAGGTAGTAGATTGTTGCTCTTTGTAACTTGCTTATCCTCTGTTGGTCTATAAACCGTTTGATTTATTCAAGAATATTTGAAGTAGATCATTAGAATTCTGCCTGGAAATGGGACCATGTTTAAGTTTGCTTTAGAAACATCCCCAGCTCGGCCAGGCTAATCCCAGCAATTTGGGAGGCTGAGGTGGGCAGATCACTTGAGCTTGGGGGTTCAGGACTAGCCTGGGTGGCATGGCAAAACCCCATCTCTACAGAAAATACAAGGGCTGGCTGGGCATGGTGGCAGGTGCCTGTGGTCCCTGATATTCCGGGACCTAGGGCCAGAGAATCTCTTTGGCCCAGGAGGCAGAGGTTGCAGTAAGCCCAGTTTGTGCTGTTGCACTCCAGCCTGGGCGACAAGAGTGAGGCCCTGTCTCAAGAAAAAAAAAAGAAAAGAAAAAATTTAAAAAAGAGAAATATCCACAGCTTTGGAACAATGACCTGAAACAATGATCTATTAGAGATTTTAATTAAAAAAAATTATTTTAGTCAAAATTGTGACATGGCTCAAATAATCTAGTGCTGCAAATACAATTGAACTTGTTGGATTTGAAGAGACAGGTCTAACAGCCATGATTGGGCCTGGAGTGTCAGGTAAGCAAGTTCACATGAAGGCCTAGAGATGTGACTTTATATTCTTTAGTCCCTTGACCAGTTTGAATAAGAGAAATATGGAGGTAACTACAAAGAATCAAATCCATATTAAGTTGAGTGCTTGCTCTGTACCAGACACTTCATGTATATGTCATCCTATTGAATTCTCCCACCCTCAACACTGAGAAATAGGTCTTCTCATTTTACACTGAGAAATGGCTCTGCGAGGGGAAGAGATTTAATCAGAGTTACTCAATGGTACCATCCTACTGCTCATTGGATCCCACTTACTCTGTGCATTGGAAAGAGCGCAAAGTGAAAGCTTTTGACGGAAGCTTATAATGATCTTCATAAATGATTGCATTATTGCTCTTCTTATTAATAAATTATAGTCTTGTGATTTTTATTAAGATTTGTTTATTCTCTAAGTTGGGTGTAATTTATTCTTTCATATTTGTTAATTCATCAAAAACTCATTTTACATCTATAATGTGCCAGATGCAGGGGGTATAGCAGTGAACATGACAAAGTTTCTGCCGCCTCGAAGCTTACTTTCTGATGGGGGACGCCAACAGTGAATGGACAAGAAAATAAGATGACTATAGATTGTGATAAGTGCTAAGAAGAAAAATAATCACAGAGAAACTGGGTTGAATGGGGGTATGGAAGCCACCTTAGGCAAGATTTCCAGAGCAGCTCTCTAGGGAGATGGCATTTAAGCAGAAACCTGAAGGGTGTGAAGGGGAAGACAGGTGAAGATGTAGTGGCAGAGAAGAGGTTATGTGCAAAAGTGCCAGGGTGGGAAGAAACTTAATGTGCCTAAAATTCTGGTACAGATAGCCAGAGAAAGACCAAGGTCATTGTAATTCTCATCCAGGTCATTAATGCCTCATGGGTTTTGGTACCATATGCCCTAGATTTCCCAGGACAGTCACAAATATTCCATTCAGTTATTGTTGTGGATACTTGTTCTTGTGACATCATGAATCTAATTTTTAATTCAGAAATATGAGTCCAGGCTCACTCCTGTCATCCCAGCACTTTGGGAGGCTGAGGTGGGAGGATCGTTTGAGCCTGGGAGTTAAGGACCAGCCTGGGCAGCATAGGGAGACCCCATTGCTACAAAAAATTAAAAAATTTAGCCAGGCATGGTGGCGTGTGCCTATGGTCTCAGCTACTTGGGAGCCTGGAAGGTCAAGACTGCAATGTGCTGTGATCACACCATTGCACTCCAGCCTGGGTGACAGGGCAAGACCCTGTCAAAAAAAATATATATATATATGACTGTGTTTTGTTTTGGAAAATGTGGTTGCCACATAATGGGTCACTGCTTGAAAACATTGCGCTGAACTATACTATCTTATAAAGAATTGTATCAGTCCCACCAACCCCATCAATCAGTCATTTGGATGACACTGTGATAGGTGAAAAACTGTTCACATGGCAGCAGCCCTAATTAGGCAACACTATCCTGCAGCCTCTCCTATCCTCAAGGTGTGGATCTGAACACCTTTTTGAAGCACTGTGAAATTGTTTTCCACAACAGCCACACCATTTTAGCATCCCACCAGCAATGTATGAGAGATCCAATTCCTCCACATCGTCAAGATTTACTACTGTCTGTCTTTTTTTTACTATTGCCAGGCTGCTGGGTGTGAAATGATATCTCATTGTGGTTTTAATTTTCATTTCCTTCATGACTAATGATATTGATGATCTTTTCATAAACTTACTAGCCATTTGTATATCTTCTTTGGATAAATGTCTATTCAAATCTATTACCCATTTTTAATCAGTTTGTCTTTTTATTGTTGAGTTCTAAGAGTTTTTTTACATATTCTGGGTATGAGTCCCTTATATATTATTTGCAGACTTTTTTCCCATTCAGTGAGTTGTCCTATTCACTGTCTTGGTGGTACCCTTGGAAGTACAAAAGTTTTTCATTTTGATGATGTCCAATTTATTAATTTTTTCTTTTTTATGCTTTTGATGTCATATCTAGGCAACCATCACCTAATCCAAGGTCATCAAGATTTACTCCTATGTTTTCTTCTAAGAGTTTTATAGTTTTAGCTCTTACATTTAGGTAGATGATCTGTTTTGAGTTAATTTTTATATATGGTGTGAGGTAGGGGTCCAACTTTATTCTCTTGCATGTGGATATCTGGTTGTCCCAACATCGTTTGTTGAAAAGACTACTTTTTCTCCATGAAATTATCTTAGATGCCCACAGCCTTTGAATTCAGCCAGTAGGGGACTAACTTCTCCCATGTAGAAGATGCTGAATGTTTGGGGATCCAGAAATGGAAATAATCATTAAAGAGGTTAACCTAGAAGAAATAGAAACCATAGGCTTTGGTTGCTATTCTGTATTTGTAAAGATGCTGTTTGAGCTAATGAGTGACATATAGATTTTTATATATTTATAAAGTAAACTATAACTTAAATAGTGAGTGCAGTGTTTAGTAACTGCTGGTTTAGTGACCAACAACAGTCTATACATTGGATTTGTTTACTCCCAAAGGTTTTTGCTTTTTAAAAATGATTTTATAAGCATCAGCCTTGCTGCTGGACACAGGTCTGTTGAGCCAGCTGAGGAGGTGAGTGGTATGGAAAGCAGGGGGAGTTGTAACAGAGGGTGCTCTTTGACCTCTACTCTTTTATCAGTTCATTCCTTTCTTCCCCTAAAGGGAGGTAGGCATCTGGATGACCTCAACTAGAATTTGAAGGATTCTGGGATTGTCCACTGGTTTGCTGCCTGCCACTCCCTTTCCCATTAACACAAAGGAGGGGAGCAGCAGGCCAGCCTACCTCCCGGGGATGAAAGGAGCTCTCTCTGGACTGGTAATACCTTAATAGGCTGGTCAGAGAATTTTTCTAAGGCTATGGAGAATTATTTTAAGGCATGAGCCTTCATTTTTAGTTTAACTGCTGTTTAATAATGCCAGGAAAACATTTTTCTGTGTTACGAGTTGATTTTATGGATAGGAATAAAACAAGACTCACAAATGACAAGATGTCTTCTAAGTAAGGGATCATCAGTTGCAAGAAACTTTTTCAAAGAAGTACAGTTGAGAAGATTACAAGGTGACAAGAAAACCTTTTGGAACTCAATTACAGGGAGTGTGGCTGGTCTCTTAGGCACTGCACAGTATCACGCAGCTATTCTTTCTCTAATTATTTCTCTTGGAAGTGTCCCTGTGCATCACAGGGATTCACGTCTCTGCTTCTCTCTGGACAATACAGGCTTTTATTTTCTCTGGCTGCTTAACTCAAGGATTCATTTTGCACATGGCCACCCTCCCAAAAATCCACCTCAGTCCCCTGAGTACAATCCGTCTTGGTCCTACAGTACCAACTGAATCAATCTTTTGAGTCTTAATTCCAAATTCCCAGGAAAGAGAATCGAATTGCTCTATCATGGGTCAGAATGTCTACCAGGTCCAAACAGCTGTAGCCTGGAGGGTGGGACAATGTTTCAAAGGGCTGCCCCTTTAAAGAAGATTCCCCACCCCTAATAAAGGGGGAATAGACTGAGAGAGAATAAATGGCAACTTTACTACAGAAGGTGGAGTAGAAGAGAAGGAGGCAAATGATTTCTTGATGCACAGAAAAGGACAGTGATGAGAAATACTGAGTTGAGGACAAGAAAAGGTAAGTAAAGGGATACTAAAAGGGCTTACATTAAAAATATTGGTGATATGGCCAGGCACGGTGGCTCACTTCTGTAACCCTAGCACTTTGGGAGGCCAAGGTGGGTGGATCACCTGAGGTCAGGAGTTCAAGACCAGCCTGGCCAACATGGTGAAACCCCATCTCTACTAAAATACAAAAATTAGCCGGGCATGATGGCGGGTGCCTGTAATCCCAGCTACTCAAGAGGCTGAGACGGGAGAATCGTTTGAACCCAGGAAACAGTGGTTGCAGTGAGCTGAGATCGCACCACTGCACTCTAGCCTGGGTGGCTGAGTGATTCTCCATCTCAAAAAATAAAAATTGGTGATATGATATATCATGGAGTTTTCACTTCTCATAAGAGACTGTGCCGAAATGTCTCCAGACAGTGCTAGGCAATGGCTGGTGGCCATAGCCTTGGAAGGCCAGTTGGGCATTAAGTGTTTGCCCACTGGGGTGCCAGTGCTACTATTAAGGGTTTTTTATCCCCTGCTGGTCTGGTGTCAGGGGTGATGGGTTAGAGGGGCGCAGATGGAAATGAGGCTGATATTGGCAGGCACTGGGGAGGTGGCTTGATGGTACTCACAGGAGGCTTCCTGGGGCTGGCACAGTGGCCAAGGTAGTGGAGGTGGGGATGAGGGACAGCTGTTATTTACCAACTGGTAAAGAAATAGTTCCATATTTTAACTGGTAGAGATACTGGTGCATACCTGCTGAACATCAACCATGGCAACGAGTGAAAAGGTTTCACGAGTGAACCGTTGGATGATTTAGTGAGTGTAGCTATCTAACATATTTTGAAAATGAATTTTCCTAAGGCTAGATTTAAAACTTGCTTAAGGCTCCTTATTGCCTGCATGATGAGAGTCAAACTCCCACAAGATGTTCTCCACGGTCTATTATGATCTTCTCCCTGGCTTCTCTTCCAGCCTGATGTCCCTCCCTGTCTTAACATCCTCCAGCCACATCACACACCTTGCAGTTCCCTGAATCTGGCATCCTATTTTGTGTTTCCTCATCCCTGTGTGTATCATTTTGGTTGCCTGAAATGACCCCTCCTTTCTCCACTTATGCAGTCCTTCACTTCCTTCAATATCAATGCAAGTGCCACCTCTCCCTGAAGCCTTATCTGACAGCTCAAGACTATCTTGTCCTCCTTTCTCTATGCATCTGGGCTACCATGCACGTTCCTCCCTTCTGGAGTCATTGCATCGTGTTGCATTTGTTGACTTACCCATGTTTCCATCTGGTTTGAATTTCATGTGTGTGTCCCTGTGCCTAGCACCTTGTCATGGGCATAGTAAGTGCTTTGGATATTATTCTTTATATTTCAAATTATTTGGAAGGAGCAAGGTGTGGAATAGGGGTGAGATTTCTATAGAACTCATTTTATACATACTTCGTGAAGATAAAAACCCAAAAATATTATTCTCAGCTGGCATTGAGAGGCAGGATTCAGAATCTTCTTTTTTAAGAGAATATTTGAATGGCAATAATGACTGATTATTGCTGTGTTCTTAGACACCAAATTTGATTTGACTTCTTCCTTATACTTCTCTACTGGCCTAGATGGAAAATACAGCCATTGAGGACATAATGTTTCCTACTGGAATATGGCCATGGCCCTTACAATGAATGAGACATTCCTTTTGAATGTTTGTGCTTAAGGTATTTTGACTGTATTATAAGAAAAATCATGATTTGCATCCCTTTCAATGTAAGAAATGTGGTCTTTTAAGCAACTTTTGAAAATCTGTTGAAGTGTTTATAAGAGGGAA